>NC_000002.12:44735806-45038837 GCF_000001405.40 Homo sapiens
GGAGGCTGAGACAGGAGAATAGCTTCAACCTGGGAGGCGGAGGCTGCAGTGAGCTGAGATCATGCTACTGTACTCGAGCCTGCTCTGTCTCAAACAAAACAAAACAAAACAAAACAAAACAAAACAAAACAAAACCTTACAGTAGTATACTGCCATTGGTCCCCTGCCAGTCTTTATGCTACTATTGTCCTACTTTTTATCTATACATATATTATCACCCCACAATACTTGCTTGTTTAACCAATTATATTTAAAGAGGTTTAAGTAATAAGAAACAGTCATATATATATTTACCTATATAGTTAGTATTTCTGATTCCTTCATGTACATTTCCATCTGATATAATTTTTCTTCTGCCTTAAGGATTTCCTTTAACATTTCTTGCAGCATAGGTCTGCTGGTGATTAATTCCTTCAGCTTTTTGTATGTCTGAAAACATCTGTTTCACCTTGTTTTGAAATATATTTTCACTGGCTATACAATTCTAGGTTGACAGTTGTTTTTTATTCCTTTCAGTACTTTAAAGATGCTGCTCCACTGTCTTCTAACTTGCATATTCCTCACAAAAAAAATATGCTGTCATCCTTATCTTTGTTTTTATATAAAACATCTTTTTCCTCTGGGTGCTTTTCAGATTTTCTCTTTATCACTACTTTTAGGCAATTCGATTATTATTATGTGCCTGCTAGTTTTCTTCATGTTTCTTGTGTTTGGGCTTGTTGAAATTTCTTGCTGAGTTAACAGTTTTCATTAAATTAGGACATTTTTCAGCCATTATTTCTTCAAATATTTTTTCTGTTGTCTCCCTTCTCCTATTTTTTGAGAAGTCCAGTTTCACATGTATTGACCACTTAAAATTGTCCCACAGCTCACTCTTTATTTTATTCCTTTTTTTCTCCATATATTTCATTTTGGATAGTTTCTATCACTATGTTTTCAAGTTCACTAGTCTTCTCTTTTGCGGTGTCTAATCTGCTGTTAATCTTATCCAATGTATTGTTCTTCTCAGGCATTGTAGTTTTCATCTCTAGAAGTTTGATTTGGGGCTTTAAAAGGTATCTCCCATGTCTCTACCTGATTCTTAGAATATATTAAAGACCATTATGATAACTATTGTAATGCCCGTGTCTGCTAATTCTGACATCTCTGTCAGTTTTCGATTGAGTTCAGTTGTTTGATTTGTCTTGTCATTATGGTTTCTATTTTTTCAATTTTTTATATGTCTGGCCATCTTGGATTATATACTAGGTATTTTGAATTTTACTTCGTTGGGATCTGAATGTTTTTATATTTCTGTAAATGTTTTTGAGATTTTGCGTTTGTTTTAGAGACAGAGTCTCACTCAGTCATGCAGGCTGGAGTGGAGTGGCACAATCACAGCTTACTACAGCTTCAACTTCCCGAGCTCAAGTGGTCCTCCCTTCTCAGCCCCCCAGGTAGCTGGGAACACAAGCATGCACCACCATGCTCATCTAATTTTTGTATTTTTTTGTAGAGATGGGATCTTGCCATGTTGCCCATGCTGTTTTTGAACGCCTGACCTCAAGCAGTCCTCCCACCTTGACCGCCCAAAGTGTGTTTTTGAGTTTTGTTCTGGGATACAGTTAAATTACTTTGAAATAGTTTGATATGTTTGGGTCTTGCTTTTAAGATTTGTTAGGCAGAACCAGAGCAGCATTTAGTCTAGGGCTAATTATTCCCTACTATTGAGACAAGACCCTTCTGAGGACTCTACACAATGCTTGTAAATTATGAGGTTTTCTAATCTGGCTGGTGGAACACTCACTATTCCTGGCCCTGTGTGAGCACTGACCTACTCCCCTTCAATTTTTTGACATGATCTTTCCCCAACTTCAAGTAGTTTTCTCACATACATGCATGATCAGTCATCCACAGAATATTCTAGGGGGACCATCCACAGATCTCCAGAGTTCTCTCTCTCTCTCTTTCTCTCTCTCTCTCTCTCTTTCTCTCTCAAGTGCTCTCCTATTCAGTATTTTATCCTGGGAACTCTGAAGTTTCTTAGACTCTCAGTTCCATCTTCTTTTTTTTCTTTTTTTTTTTTTCTTGAGATGGAGTCTCGCTGTTACCCAGGCTGGAGTGCAGTGGTGTGATCTAGGCTCACTACAACCTCTGCCTCCCAGGTTCAAGCGATTCTCCTGCTTCAGCCTCCCAAGTAGCTGGGATTACAGGTGCCCACCATCGTGCCCAGCTAATTTTTTTATTTTTAGTGGAGACGGGGTTTCACCATCTTGGCTAGCCCAGTCTCAAACTCCTGACCTCATGATCCACCCGCCTCAGCCTCCCAAAGTGCTGGGATTACAGGCATGAGCCACCATGCCTGGCCCCATCTTCTTAACTCAGGCAGTCCACCTGCTTCTTTCTCATTTCCTCCATCTATGCTATGGCCTGGAAACTCTCAAGGCAGTAAGCTGGGGTAAAGGTAGGGCTCATTTCATTTATTTCTGTCTTCTTAAGGATTACTGTCCTGTGTTGCTGATGTTCAGTGTCTTGAAAACTATTGTTTTATATGTTTTGTGTAGGTTTTCTGTTGTTGTTTTAGACAAAAAGCTAAATGAGGGCCTTGTTACGCCATCTTTGCTGGAAGCAGAAATCTTTAGAAAGCATTTTAAGTGGACTTCATATCTAGCTAATCCACACATTGTATTCAAAGACCAATTTAACAATAGAAACCTCTATTTCTTGAGGGCCTTCTGTGTGCCAGGCACTGTGCTAGGTACATTCACACACAATTCATCCATATGGCATATTTATTGAACAGCTATTAGGTGCTAGGGACTATTCTAGACATTGGAAATACATCACTGTACAAAACAGATTTTAAAAATCTGTATCCCTGTGGTGCTTATATTCTAGTGGGGAAAGAGAGAAGAAACAAAATCAATAATTTAGTTATATTGCACATTAAAGGGTAATAGCTGCTACAGAAAAATAAAGAGCAAGATAAGGGGGTTTTAGAAGTGCTGGACTGAAAATAAATGATTGCAGTTTTAAAGAGGATGGTCAGGGAAGGCCTCCCTGAGAAGGTAAGACATATACACAAAGACCTGAAGGAGGTGACGGAGTGAGCTGTAGCTATAGAGATATCTGGAGGAAGAGCATTTTGGCTGCTCAAGCAGCCAGTATTAAGACCCTAGAACAGAACCATGCTAGTATATTCAGGAAAGCATAAGGAGGCCAGTGTTACTAGAGCAAAGAGGCCAAGGAGGAGAGTAATAGTAGATGAGGACAGAGTGGTAACCAGGCCCAATTGTGTAAGGGTTTTCAGGTCATTGTAAAGACTTTGGCTTTTGCTCTGAGTGAAGAGAGAAAAGGCTCATGATCTGATACATGTTTTAAAAGAATCACTCTGGCTGCTCTCTTGAGCAGAGATTGTTGGATGACAGATGGAAGCAGGGAGACCAATTAGGGAGCTATGAAATAATTCAGATGAGAGATGATAGTAGTTTAGACTGGGGAGAGCAGTAGAGATAGAGAGAAGTGGTTAGATTTTGATATATTTCAAAGGTAGAATGACCTGCACTTGTGGCATATTCAATGTGGACTGTAAAAGAAAGAGTCAAAGATATATTCAAGGTCTTTGGCCTGAGCAACTGGAAAGATGGAATTACCAATAACGAGATTTAAAAAAGACTGAATGAAGTGAGTTTTAGGGAAAATGATTGGGAATTCAAATTTGGACATGTTAGGTTTGAGATGTCTAGTAGATACCCAAGTGGAAATATTAAAATAGGAAGTTGGATATATGAATCTAGAGTTCATGGGAGAGGTTCAGGCTGATAGGTCAAGTAAGATAAAGACTAAGAACTGACCTAAATTTAGCAATGTGGAGATCTTTGGTGAGTTTGACAGCAGCATTTTTGGTGGAACGGTGGGGACAAAAGCCTGGCTGGAGTGAATTTTAAGAGAATGAGAGGAGAGGAATTGGCAACAGAGCGTCAAACAATTTTCTCAAAGAGTTTTGCTGCAAAGGAGGAATAGAGAAATGGTGCAATAACTGTCAGGAGAGGATATTTTACAAAGGGGGAAATAACTCCATGTTTGAATACTGATGGAAGTAATCCAGAGAGAGAAAAGAACTGATATAGGAAACAGAAGGGAAATTGCTAGAGCACGTCCTAGAATAGATCAAAGGGGATGGATCTAGGTGGCATAAGAGAAGGTACTGGCTGTAGATAGGAGTATAGATAGTTCATCTATGGTAATGGGCAGGAAGGCAGAATGTGTAGATGCAGATGCTATTAGGAGCATAAGTGTGGTGGTAGGAGTTTATGGAAGTTCTTAACTGATTGCTGCATTTTTTTTTTTTTTTTTTTTTGAGAAAGGGTCTCATTTTTGTCACCCAGGCTGGAGTGCAGTGGCTAGATCATGGCTCACTGCAGCCTTGACTTCCTGGGCTCAGATGATCCTCCCACCTTAGCCTCCGGAGTGGCTGAGACCACAGGTGTGTGCCACCACACCCAGCTAATTTTTTGTATTTTTAGCAGCGAGGGGGTATCGCCATGTTGCCCAGGCTAGTCTCGAGCTCCTAGGCTTAAGCAATCCACCCGCTTCGGTCTCCCAAAGTGCTAGGATTACAGGCATGAGCCACCGTGCCCGGCTGGATTGCTGCAATTTTGACAGTAAAGCAAGAAGCAGGGTCATCAGCTGAAAGTGAGGAGGAGGGGAATAGTGTCAGAATTTTGAAGGGAGAGTACAAAGTGCAAAATAATGACCTAGGATAGTGGGAAACTAAATGGACAAAGGAAATGTAAGTATAACTGCCAGATGTCATTAAGAGTCCACTTGAGGTTCATAGTCATGAATTTAAAGCAAAGCCAGTGAGGATGCTTGTGTGCTGTCTCTAGCCACATTCAGGTGCACAGGTGCAGTCATGGACCAGGCAGAGAGCTGGATTTAACAAATACGAGGAAGTAAGAGAGGGACAAGGAAGTTGAGGGTGTATGCAAGGGAGTAATTACAATGATAAGTCATGAAATTTAAGCTGAGCAAGAAAGAAAGATAAATATTAGGGAAGTGGGATAGTGACATGGTGATAAGATCAGTGTGGGCCAGTGGGACTGAAGAGTACCTTCTAGAAAGAATGAGCTGTGAAAGATAGGAGGGGTTGGTCAGAGATTGGCTAGAGTTGCAGTAACTGGTAAAGATAGGTTTGGAGGAGTGCCACTCAATGAGTAGGCCATGGACTGGTGCCAGTCTGTGAACTGTGTGTTACTGATCTGCAAGGAGATAAGTTCAGAAATTGAAAATAAATGTTTAGAAACACTGCTGCGACATCCAAGCATATGATCAGTGGACTTGTATTTGGAATGCCTTTGTGTTTTTAATCTCATTTTTGTGACTATATTTTACAAAAGTATTGGTCTGCAACAGATTAGATACAAACAAAGTCTGGTCCTCCCCCACAGTGGAAGCACATGCTCTCACGAGCATGCATGGGAGTGTATCTCCAAAGGTGGAGGACAAGGTCACTGGAGGAGAGGAGTGAACAGTGAACTCACCATCATCTCTAGTCTTCCAAGATAGCAGGCTGCCTGACTGCACAGCTCCAGGAAGCACCATTCTCATTGTATGTTACATGAACAATACAACTCCAGGTACTGTATGAATGGTGCTCTTAGAATGTTCAAGGAGATAGCTAGTGTTATCCCCATCTTACAGATCAGAAAACAAGCTCAGAAAGGTTAAATAATTGCCTAAACTCATACAGCTACTAAGGGGAGGAGCCAAGATTTGAACCTAGGTCTGTCTGCTGTGCTAAAGCTGAACTCTGTCCACAATACCACTCTCTTTCTCTGTCACATGCATGTAGCACAGCCATAAGCCTCATGAGAACTGGGGAAAAATACCTTTTAGGAATGTGTTATGGTCCATGTGACCAAGCCAGGCATTTCAATTTATTTTAGAGTCATGACTCATTACAGCTGCTGTGGGAATCCATACCCAGTCGCTGCTTAGACCCCTATCTCTCCAGTTTGTCTTTGTTGAACCAAGGGGCTGAAGCACCTCAGGAATACAGCATCCACTATCACCACAGGATTTCCTGCAGTCTGTTCTTGTGCTTTAGTAATTGCATATGTATTAAAAGCAAATTCTAAAGAGACATTTATGGAATGGTAAGATTATGAGTAATTTTAATACTTTAATCTTTTTTTTTCAAAATTCATATGATGGATAGATACATTACTTTTCTGATCAGAGAATGTCTAGTATAGATGTATACTTTAAACCATCTTGCTCATGGTTCAAGTCTTAGACTCTAAAACTCAGGGCTGTGATGAGGGCTGGGAAGGCCCCATCTCTCACTGAGCCTGAGTCCCAGATACACTGGGAGCCTCAGCATTTCCAGAAAAGTTGGTGTTTGTTGCTTCCTGCTCTCCCCAGGTGCATGGAGTTTCTGAGAAATCCGTAAACAACGTAAGCATTGATCTCTTAGGATTTCCTAATTTCCTTCATTTCTTGCCTATCCAGTAGGCCTCAGCAAGTACAGCAACACTAAAGTTAATTTGTAAAGCTTATCTGGGTGTTACTGGACTTGTGAACCCTGAGGTAACCCACTGCTTCTGGAAAGCCCTCCCATGCTCCAAGTCTGTATATTCACCCAATGCATAGGATACAGCGTAGGAATTGGGGGTTTCTGTGTCCATATGGCCCATCAAGCTGCCCCTGTGAAGGCATGGTCTATGGCACAGCACAGGACCTGACACACAGTGAGGAGTGGCTCAGTAGGAACGAGTTGGACAAGTCAATGAACAACTGCTGCCCAGCGTGTGTAGGTATTTTTGTGGTGATGTCTTTAATCTTTTCTACCTTGAGAAATTTACTGGCATTAATATATATTAATGTATTGTATATGAAAAGAACTTTTGGGCTGACTGGTATAAGACTTATTATTACATTCAGACACATGACTTTTCACCTAGGGAAGATATAGAAGAAATGAATCCACCAAAATAAGCAAATATAACTGGGCAGGGTAGGACATGTTCAATCCGGTTAGGTTTAAAGAATCAAAATAGAAAATAGGAACAGAATTTTACTTTGAAAAATAGTACTGTAAATCACAGTTTTGGTGCTGTGGTAAGACGAATCATTAAAATACTTGAATATGGTAAAATGCTAATCATCACAGTTATTAATTGAGAGTAACTAAAAACCTCTGGTTGGCCTCATAAGCATTAGTAAAGTTTTCAAATGCATGTTACTAATTATTGTTATTAATGTGAAGTTTTAAACCTGATCCCCTTTGGGAGACTAAGTGTCAGTGTGGGTGAATTTTTCACTATGCCTAAAAACCAAGAACTACCAAATGAAATTTGACTCTTCTTTTCTTCCATCTTACCAAATTGCTCATTTCATCAATATGAAAAGCAACTGATATGCCAGGCAGTATAGATATAAGCTGTCTCACATCATTTATTTTTATAAATTTGTGTTCCAGTCAAATGTGGAATACTTTGGTTTCAATATGTACCTTATTGATGTTAAGGGTCTAGAATCATTATAATGACTACGGTAAAGATAAGATATTTTTCTCTAGTTTGTCTACAAAAACCTATAAAAACTAGCAAAAAGGTTAACTATTTTATTTAAGTAGAGAATTCTTCTTCTAGATTTGAATACTAAATAAAACACAGAAGACAGTTACATCCTATTTTTTATTATACCTTTTGAAATAATTTGTATATACCTTTTAAATAATTTCAAGTGCCACAAAAAAATAATGTTAATAGCTCAAAATCAAAATTTAAAAAAAACCCTATGTATAATTTTTAAAATCTTTTTCTCCTCAAGCGTTTTACGATGGGATAATGAGACAGATGTCTCTCAACTGGAAGGACATTTTGACATTGTTATGTGTGCTGACTGGTAAGTACATAAAAATCACAAAACTCCTGTTAGAAAAAAATAGCTTTGCTGGAGTAATTGGGCTGTGTTGCTTAGCTGACGGCTAAGCAAAGTCAACAAATGAAGCACAAAGCCACCTTAACCTCAACAAATTAATATTCATCTCCATGTGACAGTTATAAGGTAGTCTTCTATCACACAGTAACTTCTACCACATTATTTCCCAAAGATTGATTTTGAGAAGCATTTCCATTTTCTGGAATTGCCTCTGTTTCATGCTTGACGTATCAGTAAATGGACGACTTAGGCAAATTGCAAATAATTATGGCTCGGAGAGGAATAGTCTGGAGAAAAAGGAGTTTATCAACACAAACAGCTCAATTAGCTTACTTCTTAGGAGAGATCTGACTATTGATATAAGGGAAAATATATGTGTGTGTGTACACACACATACTCTCTAGCAAATAAACATATCTGTGGAATATCTTTGGGGAAATAGCTTTTCTTAAAATATATGTTTGCTATCTAATGTTTTCAGTGTATTCAATTATAATAGTTAATTATACCTAAAACAAAAATTATAAAATTACATTTTATTCTTATGCAAATAATAACATGACAATCTCTGTCAGGTGCCTGCCTTTTAAAAATAATTTACATTCGGTATTTTGCCCTCTATTTTAGCCCAATCTACTTATTTGTTAATGAAAGTCTGATCGTAAGTTACAGGATAAATATGCATCAGACCTTAATAATTATTTCAACTAATCTTATGTATTTCTTCATGCAGTTTGAATAATAATTATTTCAGCTTATGGGAAACATTGACAATTCACAAGTATTTTCCCTGTTAAGAGTAAGATCTTGTTTGAGGTTTTATCATGATGTTTATTAGGACACTTTAGATTTGAAAACACATTAAGTTCAGATTCTGAAGAAGTTCTGTTATATTGATAAGGCCAATCATAAGATCCAGAACTCAGGGAAGACTTTCCCTAGAGGAGAATTGAATGAAATTTTCAGGAAGTGGGTTTTGTTATTATTATTATTTTAATAAGATTTTCAATGGATAACTTTTCTACAAAAGTCATTGGAATTAGGTTTGCTTTTTTTCTTCAGAAAAAAAAACACTTCTCCATGAAAAATAAATATTTTGTCTATTCTTAGCTGAGAGTTTCTAGTTTTTCATAGCCCTTTTAGTCTTTTTGCACCCAATTTCAGAAAATCTTGTTCCAAAAATAGGAGAAACCTGGATTTCTGACTAATCAATGATAATGTGCCTCAATGCTGCAGCCCTCATCTAATCAAAAATAAGGAGCTAAAACCTCACCGTATGATTCGAGCAAGTAATTTAGTAAATGCCTTTCCTCACCAAATATGAGAAAGAATCCTCCAGGTTTCATTGCACAGATGAAGATAATGCTGGCAGGATTAGATCAGATTAAGCATGAAAGTCAGATCAGAGAGCAGCGGCAAAAGGGAAGGGGCAGCATCTTCCTGAAGCTTTAGACAAGGGTCACACGTGGATGGGCTCTGATTATATGGGGAAGGCAGGTCTGGCCAGGAGATTTAGAGTTAAATTTGTCCCTTACGCAAATATCAAAACAGCCTGGCTTTGTCATACCTTGTGTTATGGACACTCTCACCATGTCATCCTATTTGTACCAGAGGGAAAAGCAGAGGAAGTAAGATTTAAGCTCTTTTCTGATTAATGTTCTCAGGTTAAAAATAGCCACACAACATGTTTGGAAAACATTCTTTTTTCCCTAGCCGACAACAGGGTCACGTACACTGATATACATAATGCATATTCAATTTAAGACTTACATTACACACACATAACATAATATTATATGTATACACACACACATAGATACACATCTGGTAGCTGTGTGAGAATTTATGGCTTCAAATGAACTAAATACACCAAGCTTCATTTTATAAATGGCTTTTCCATGCATGAATTGTTTTTTTTTTTCCCCTGGGTGTTGTAAATGCCAGAATGTCAGCCTGTTTATACTTTCCCATTTGTAAATGTGAAACATTAAGCTACTCTCACTGCGATGCTGATAGTATTTCCAAAAGAAATGCTTTGGTAATGGTCTCTCTTCATATTCGCGGGGATGGGTAAGCTGCTTAGAAACTTAGAAAGTACAGTAATATTTCTAATATGCACGTTGTGCATGTAGCAGTGAAGCACAGGATTCCACGAGTTCTTTATGTCCTGTTGGTGTGGTGTTTCTCTGTAAGAGTTATTGCATGGATGCTGCTTCTAGGGGCAGGCAGGCAGGCAGGCAAACCGTGCTACATATTTTTAAGAATGTCACTGGGGAGGAAAAGAAAGCTCTCTTTAGACACTACCTCCAAGACGAAACCTGAAATCCTCAGTGTCAGGAAGAGGTGCCACACATAAATAGATCACATTAAGTCTCACACCATCCTTTAGTCATTGTCAGCAATGAGATCTGGATTAGGCCACAGGAATATGAAGCAAGAGTCGGAGTTCAAATATTAGGTACATGGATTAAAATCTTATTGAAGCGTTTCCAGCAAGGGTGGCATTGTCTGATTCCCTGAATAGCTAACCAGTGGTACTGCTTGATCCCATTTACATGAAAACAAGCTCTATTCACAAACCTATTCCAAACCCACATTGTGGTTCAAGTAAAATGCACATGATTACAACAAATGGTGATATGTTTATGTTCTTAAATCATTCATATATTCAGATATTTACATTCAAACATTCAAAAACCTGTAGGCAGTGGGGGAAATAACTTATTTCCCAGAAGAGACAGTCTGTTAGTTCACAACTAAATTTAGTAGCTCAACTAGATTATAAAATAAAGAGGCAAACTGTGAAAGCTAGTCATTATTTCACCATTCAGCATTTTTGACAATGAAAAATAGTTTCATGGTTCAGCAGTTCCTAAATAACTTGTAAAATGTCAACTTTGAAATAAACAGAAGGAAAAAATGAGGTGCAGCCATACCTGCAAAAGGATGCTATTGACAAACATCAAAATATTAGAATATTTAACCACAGGTGTAGAAAAAAAACCTGCCTATTAAGTTCCTCAGTTGACTTGTTTAATGTTGAGTTTAATATAAGGATTCCTTTCTGCTGGAATGCAGTCCAGCCTGGTCCTTGCTGAGTTAGAATAGTGAGTGATTGTTAATTTTAAGCCTGCCTTTCCAGACTCCTGTTCAATCACAATATAATCTAAGGGTCTGGAAGTAAGATGTTTTTTATCCAATGAACGCTTTCATTCAGTGTTTGAACGGCCCTCCAGTTTATTGTAGCTCTGCAAAAATAGAAATGACTCTGTGCATTTGAATTCTCAAAAGGCTTAGAAAGCATATCTGAAATGCCACCCATACCCTGACCGGCCCATTGAGCTGGGTATGCAGGACAATCAGCACATCTGTGTGCCTGCAGCCCGAGACTTTGGAAAGAAATAAGGGAAAGTACATTGGCCTGTAGCAACCCACCCCGATTGCTCTCTCAGCGTTTTTGCACTTGCTATATACTCTAAATTGTTTCTTTTTTTTAGTCCTTTTTACTTTGCTCTAAATGATGAAAAATGTTTGATTTTTAAGCTGATTTTGTGAAAATTTTTTTCCCTCAAAATGGAAATACTGTAGGCTCTAGAATTTGTTTTCTTTCAGATGCTGTGATCATGGACAGCTCCAAATCACAACTCACGGAAGTTTACACCTGAAAATATCTTTCGCCCAAATATAGTCAGCCCTTTCACCTGACACCTGAGAAGACTCAGTCCCAGAGAAAATACATGAATCACCCAAGATTGCTCAACTAAAGGGGTAGAGCCAAGTAAAATTAGAATACAGCATTATTCTGAGCTCTCATAAAAATCAGTTGGTAAATACTGAAAGAGGTCATTCCTTTGCTGAAGTTAAATCTAAAACAGTGACTTTAACTCAGCACATTTCACATTGAAAATTACATAGGGGTCTTCCTTTCTGTGGCTATTGACAGAGAAAAATGTCTCCTTGTTCTCTGCACTAATTAACTTCCCTATGAGAGGAATTACAGATGCTCTGCAGTCTGCATGAAACTGATTCTAAGGGAGGTGATGAAAATGGTCTGGCACCTTTCCTTTGTTGGAAAATCTGTGATTCAGATCAATGGAAGAAAGCAAGTGTTGATCCACAAGTGAATTATATAGAGGTCTGTGTGTCTGTGTGTGTGTGTGTGCATGGGTGCCCTTTAATGGTCAAACTAGACTGCCAATGTATTTTGATCAGTAACTGAAGTGAGAGTTAAAATGGTATCTCTGTCCCCATCACTGACCCACTCAGCCTTTTTTAATAGATCCACTTAAGCTACTGCTGTTCTCTCAGCCCATTAAGACTTATTTAAGGGGTGAATTTTCAGGAGATTATATATCATTCCCTCTAAAACACATTGAAATTGCTCAGATGACATACTCTACAAAGTGTTATAAATTCTGCATCAGAGCTAAGTAGCAAGTGAGCTTACTTGGAATAAAGATCTATTAGAGAACTACAAAGAATTAATTTTGGGAAATTTGATTTGGAGAGATGGAGTAGACAGCATTACCTTTCAAATAAGTCTGTTTGGAATGTGTGCCGTGTGTTAAGCTGTGATGTTAACATCTTTGTAATCCTGACCAACTTTAAGGGGAAATAGCACTTTATAAGGGCATGTTTGAAGCTCAGTTCTTAAGGTGCTGTTCATTTTTTTTTTCTAACGATCTTACCGGTTTTAGGATGCACAGATATAAACCGAGTGTGGTCCTTTGCTTAAATGCCGCATGTCCCAACCAGCCAGGTTTCCCGTAGGCCTGGGTAACTGACAGAGATATTTTCCTACAATCATAATCTTCTTTTAAAAATCCAGAATGCTTAATTATTAAAACTCAAGATATTGGGCCAGACGCGGTGGCTCATGCCTGTAGTCCCAGCACTTTGGGAGGCCGAGGCGGGCAGATCATGAGGTCAGGAGATCGAGACCATCCTGGCTAACACGGTGAAACCCCATCTCTACTAAAAATAATAAAAAAAAAATTAGATGGGCATGGTGGTGGGCACCTGTAGTCCCAGCTACTCGGGAGACTGAGGCAGGAGAATGGCATGAACCCGGGAGGCGGAGCTTGCAGTGAGCCAAGATCGCTCAAGATATTATTGCCTCACTAAGGAATAAAATAGAGAGTCCTGAAGAGCGAATATTTTAAAGACATACTTATAGTTTGATTCCTTTCTCGTTAATTCTTAATGGTTATTAATTACTGTTTAATATGACTTAATGGCAAGTTTGTGTAGCACTTAATTTACATACATTCTGTGCTCCAAGATTTGAGAATGTAGTTTTGGGAAAGATAAAGTCTTTCCATGGGTAATAATCAGGTCATCATGAGTGATGGATGGAATGGGATGAGGTTCCATTCTGGACGTGGTTTCTAGCTCATCTGAGGATTCTTTTCCCATTGCTCAAAGTGACCTTCCATAGAAGAACCTTCCATGGAACCTGTGATGACCAAAGACACTCAAGCAATGACTTTTTGGAAACTTCTTATAAGCTGCTCTCCTCAGAGGAGAAAATCATCAGATCGGAAGAGAACCTAGTCTGTTGAAATATCCTACCTGAAAGTTGGTTCATCCTTGACAGTATCAGTAAAGGAGTGTGTACTACCCACTTTAGGGACATTGAAACTAACACCCTACATAAGCTCCTCAATTCCAAGGACTGTGATGATCTGCCAGTCTGTCCACAAGTAACTGCCAGTCTGTGTGTACGCTGTGCTGGAACTATTAATAGTAAAGCAAAATGAAGACAGAATGGAAGCTCCTTGAGAATGGGAACTTTGTCTTATTCATAGCTCATCCCCAGTTCCTAAATTTGCCCTTAGTATATAGTAGATGCTCAACAAACCTTTATCAACTAACATATCTTATTAATTTGATGTCCACATAGTCATATAGGTGGGTGTTTATTGACAAGGAAACTGAGGCTTCACATGAAGTGACCTGCCCAAAGTCACACAGCAGCAACATCAAAGCCAGAGCTCTTTAAAACCCTGAACCAAGTTCCTCCCTTGTCTGAAGTACAGCTCCACGCAACAGCCCCCTCTGAGCGAGGACAGCAGCCCTCCCACTGACAGCTGATACCCACCCTTAGCTAAAAAGAATGATGCAGGGCCCTAGAGTAGGTGGTGCTTACTCTTGCTGTGTGAAGAGACAGGAGGCCAAATCAGAAGGGTCTGACCTGCAGCATTAGAAATGGGAGTAGGGGGCCTTACTTAGGCCCCTCATGGAGATGGCTGATGCACAAGGTTGCTGAGTGTTCTAGCTTAAGGTAAGGGACTCACCGTTAGAGAAGAAATTCAAGTTGTGAATGGAACAGTTTTCCATATTACTTTCCAAACAAACGTATTTGAAATGCTGTTATGGGTTAAGAGGTTTCAAAAGTAGTTTTGCTGTCACTGCTTTTTTTTTTTCTCTCTCTCTCAAGACAAAGTCTCACTCTGTCACCCAGGCCAGAATGCAATGTCACGATCTCAGCCCACTGCAGCCTCCGCCTCCGCCTCCAAGGTTCAAGCGACCCTCCTGCCTCAGCCTCCCAAGTAGCTGGGATTACAGGCACACACCACCACGCCTGGCTAATTTTTGTATTTTTAGTAGAGTTGAGATTTCACTATGTTGGTCAGGCTGGCCTTGAACTCCTGACCTCAGATGATCCACCCACCTTGGTCTCCCAAAGTGCTGGGATTACAGGTTTGAGCCACCGTGCCCTGTCTGCTGTCCCTGCTTTTTAAAAAGACATCGTTGTCAATTTTTATTAAGTAGAAGACAGTCCTTTTATTTATTTATTGCTTTGCAAAAGACACAGCCTAGAACTGATGGCTCTAAAGCTGAAGATGTATGTCTCATACACTCCTCAAGCCATACACTATCACTATAGTGACTACCTCTACAGCACGGCTGTTCTTCCCCAGGAATCAACGTTTTCGTCTACTGTGTCCTCAGCTGTTTTCCAAATGTTATGAGAGAGGCAAAGAAATGCAAAGATGAGGCCGGGCACGGTGGCTCACGCCTATAATCCCAACAATTTGGGAGACTGAGGTGGGCAGATCACCTGAGGTCAGGAGTTTGAGACCAACCTGGCCAACATGGTGAAACCCTGCCTCTACTAAAATACAAAAATTAGCTGGGCATGATGGCGCATGTCTGTAATCCCAGCTACTTGGGAGGCTGAGGCAGGAGAATCGCTTGAACCCAGGAGGTGGAGGTTGCAGTGAGTCAAGATTGTGCCACTGCACTCCAGCCTGGGCAACAGAGTGAGACTCGGTCTCAAAAAAAAAAGAAATGCAGATGCTCTCTGCCTTCAAGAAGCATAGCAGCTGAATGAGAGGACAGCTGAATGAGAGGACAACAATGAAATGCAGGGACCTGGGAGAACCTCCAAATTCTCTACTTCTTGTACTGAGCTTGGAAAAGGGAGAGATCACTATGGATGCAAGTAAACAGGGATGGCTTTCTCGACCAACCCCGCCTAACTCTAGTCATCTGATGACCTCCGTCTTTTGCCTAAACCAGTCAGTGCTCTCTTCCGTACATTATTTCATGCTCAGGAGTAATTACAATTAGATGTGAGAGGCAGTACCAAGCAGTGGCTCAGAGCACAGACTCTGAAGCCAATATGGTACAGAGGTGAATCCCAGCCCTGCCAATTAGTAGCTGTGTGACTCCAAACCTCTCTGTGCCTCCATTTCCTTAGCTGTAAAATGTGGACAATAATAATAATGCTAACAGTAAAAACTACCTCATAGGATTGATGTGAGGATTAAATGAGCTATGAAAACCTCTTAGAAGGTACCTGTTAGCTAGTACTCAGCTCAGTGAGTATTAACTGTTTTGTTATTAAGACGTGTGTGTCTCTGCCATTTGTATTTAACACGTGTCCTTGTGCCTGGCTTACCTCCCTGTTATACTGTAACCTCCGTAAGGACAGGCATAGTGCCCCCTTCTTCCTTATCTCTTTACTGCTTGTATTAGTCCATCTTGCGCTGCTACAAAGGTACACCTGAAGCTAGGTAATTTATAAAGACATGAGATTTAATTGGCTTATGGTTCTGCAGGCTGTGCAGGAAGCATATTGCTGGCATCTGCTTCTGGTGAAGACCTCAGGAAGTTGCCTTATGGCAGAAGGCACAGGGGAAGCAGGCAGTCACATGGTGAGAGAGAAGGAGCAATAGAGAGAAACAGGAGGTTCTTTCAACCAACCAGATCTCACGTGAGCTCATTACCACGGGGAGTTCACCAAGACAAGGATGAAGGATCCGCCCCTATGACCCAATACCTCCCACTAGGCCCCACCTCCAACACTGGGGATCACATTTCAACACAAGATTTGGAGGGGAGAAACATCCGAACAGTATCACTGCTTTTCGGTGCTGTATATACAATTTGGGCCCCATGGTTTTGGCATCCTGGATATTCCAGTACTGTTCAGATTTCAGAGATTCAGCTGTACTTTCTAAGCTCAGTTATTATGACCTCAGTTCATAGTTACTATGTTGGTGCAAAAGTAATTGCGGTTTTTGCCATTAAAGGTATGGCATGGCAAAAACCGCAATTACTTTTGCACCAACATAATATCAGATCACGTATCCCAATATGGGGTTCAGAAAAAAAGTCCCTATCAATAGGTATCATTGGCAGCCTCTAGCAGCTTTGCTTTCTCTTGGCAGAGTGCTCTAGCAATGCCCAGGAGCCCTTCTGCAGAGGCTGGACAACTCTCCTGGTGTTTGGCAGCCAGCTCTGTTCTGCATGCCTTCGGCACAATATGCTTTCACCTGTCCCCACCCTAACCCCACCCACAGAATCCTTTCCTTGGTTTTAATAAACTTCCAGCTGTCTTCGTCCATTTTCTGCTGCTATAACAGAATACCACAGATTGGGTCATTGATAAAGAACAGAAATGTAATTCTCACAGTTCCAGAGGCTGGTAAATCCAAGATCAAGGCACGGGCAGGTTGGTGTCTGGTGAGCATCTGGTCTCTTCTGCCAAGATGACACCTAGAATGCTGCATCCTCTGGAGAAGAAGAACACGTGTCCTCACATGGCAGAAGGCAGGAGGGCAAAAAGGAGCCAAACTCCCCACCTCTCAATACTGTTGCATTGGGGATTAAGTCTCCAACACATGAATTTGGGGGAAACATTCAGACCATAGCATCAGGCATGGCCAAGTTAAGTAACTTGCCACCTACTGCCAAGCAACCCAAACTCAAAGGTCTGCGACCTGCAAGTTCAGATAAGGAAACTGTCTCAAGCTTCCAAGATAATAACTGGTGAAGACAGAGTCAGACTGACCCAAGCAAAGGGGTGACAGAGCTGCATGAACAGAAATTCTCTAAAGATCAGGGATGGAAAATGAAAAATCAAAATGAACTATAAAAACATGAACCTGGGTTGGGTACAGTGGCATGTGCCTGTAATCCCAGCACTTTGGGAGGTTGAGGCAGGAAGACTGCTTGAGCCCAGTAGTTCAAGACCAGCCCTGGCAACAGAGTGAGACCCTGTCCCTACAAAAAAAAAAAAAAAAAAAAAAAAAGAACTAGCTGGGCATGGTGGTGCACAACTGTAGTCCCAGCTACTTGGGAGGCTGGGGTGGGAGGATTGCTTGAGCCCTGGCATTTGAGGCTGCAGTAACTGGATGACAGTGCAAAATCCTGTCTCAGAAACAAAAAAAAAAAAAGAAAGAAAGAAAACAAAGAAAAGAAAAAAAACAAAAAATCAATGTAGAGGCCCAGAGAGGAAAATCCAAAGTTGCCATGGTCTCTGTGATATATTGTCTGAGATTGTTCTTTGTTTTTGTAGCTGTTCACTCCTAAGTCAGACGTTGAATCTAACCTCAGTGCTGTTTCTAGTCACTAAACTCTATTACCTCCTGAGATATATTTCATGGTTTGGGTGTCATAGGGCTGGTGGTTTGTGGTCTGAGGGCAGCCACACAGCACCCTTGGTGGGCAGAGGGCCCAGGTCTAAGGGAGACTAGGCTCTAATGACAGGAAGTTGCCAGAGTGCTTCATCTCAACCAGATGGCTACCCCAAACAGCAGTTTGGAAATTGTCCCTGTAACATTAACACATGGCCCAGTCACGTGTGAATCCTGGCCCATTGCATGTTGACAACTTGGCTTTAGTTGGATAACACTGACCACAATATCTTCTCCCCTCCCACCCCCTCCAGTGAGACACTTGAATGGTAGGAAACAATTTCTCTTTTTTAGCGTTGGGTAAACATGTGTAATTAGCCTTGTACTTATCTCCATTAGTATCATTAGACTTGAAAACCCAGTTTAATCTGGATTCTGCTCTCTTCTCAATGTCAGCCTGTTTCTGGACCAGTACAGAGCCAGCCTTGTTGATGCAATAAAGAGATTACTCCAGCCCAGGGTAAGTATGTTTCTATTTTCTCCTGAACACTGGCTACAGAATAATTAGTCTGTGCACAAAGATGGAGAGAGTAATGGAATGGCAGGATTAATGTCATGTAATACTTTAATACTTATTATGTCCAACTTCAATTGGGTCTTCTGATCTATTAGATTCTTTCCTAATCATAACTAGGAAACTTCTTACCCTTGGCCTTCTGATAAGAAACACAGTGGGTAGTGAAATAAATGCAGCCGCTTCAAAGATAGTGTGAGGTTATTTTTATCAAAGAATTTCTTGAGTCTTTTCCCTTGATAACAATATCTTCATATTAAAGTTGAAGTATGATATTGAAAGTTTTCTGTTGACTTCTGTCATTTTCAATTCCTTCAATGGCAACCTTTCTCATTGGTTATTTATTTATTGCAAAATAATACTTTTTTCTTTTTATTTCTGTTTATATTAAAGAAAAAGGACTTCAGATGAATCTGTATATTAATAGTTCTTTGCTTTAAAAGGAAGTCATTATTTACATATTATAAACATTAGGTCACAATGAAGCCAAGCATGGCATAAAATATTGTGCACATTTTTACATTTATATATCCATTTATGCCGGTGAGTAAATTACAGAGTTTGTATCCACTCTTATTTTGTTGGACTGTTAAACTAAGCTAGGAGGTCCTGCAGCCTAAACGGAGAGTTAATATACATCTATTTAAAGTAAGAAAATGAGTTTAAAGCTCATGCATTAAAAAAAAAAAAACCTTATAACTATGTAAGACTCTTGCTGTGCCATAGGAGTTTAAAATAGGTTAACAGTATTAATACAGTCGAAGATAGGAACGCATATTTATCTGAGAACACTGAAGTGTGTGTGTGTTTCTAAAGTATTTTTTTAAAAAGGTCCACTCTAGTCTTCTGACTCAGTGAGACTTACAGACCAATACCTTTCAACCTTTCTTTTATATCTTTTTTATAACCTTCAGTGGTTCCCAGAGCAATCTGATAATCATCCTTTGCCATACACTGTTGCTTTTTATTTTGCTATCTCTATGTAGCTCAGAAACTTAAAACAGGTGTCTTGGAGGAGTAGCCATAGCTTCGTAAGTGGTAGTCAGTCCAATTCAATTGGCCTCCTCAGTTCCCCTGTGAAATGGGCACCAGATCTTGAGGCAAGGAAGGGGCATGTTCCAAGCTATTGACGGCCACTGCATGGTTGAATAGGCCACCCAAGTTGAGGACAGAAGAAGGAATTTTGGGTTTCAGCATCCCCCCACCCCTGTCGGCCTTGGGTGATTCTTGTGGGCATTTGCAAGACTAGGATTTTCAGGGGCGGCTCAAGATTCTTGAATATGAAGGCCTCTATGAAAATGTATCATACATAAATATAATGCTTTCAAGGACTCCTGAATCTCACACTGTACAAATAGTACTTCACTCATCACCAATACCCCTTCAAAGCCCATTTGTGGCAAATACTCCATTTTGCAGCAGATTTGCATGATTTACCTAGGATCTATTGTAAATCATTCGCATGATTTACAATAGAAAAGTGCCCAAGCTATGAATAGACCTAAACGCAGATTAGACTGGAATCCAGCAGCTCTTCTGTACCCTCTAATAAACCCTGAACACACTCCCTCCATCTGAATCGTGGCCACACGCAGCAGCCCCCTCTGAGCAAGGACAGTAGTCCTCCTGCTAACAGCTGATACTCACCCTTAGCCTAGAGAAGGGTGAGGCAGGGCCCTAGGGGAGGTGGCACTTACTCCTGCTATGAGAGGAACAGGGAGGCCAAGTCAGAGGGGCTCACACTAACCTGTAGCATTAGAATGGCAGTGGGGGGGCCTCACTTAGGCCCCTCTTGGAATGGCTGATACTCAAGGCTGCCAGGTATTCTAGCCTAAAGTGTAAGGAGCCCACCATCAGAGGGGAAATCCCAGTTGTGGATGGCACATGGACTTACTGAAATTACCACCCAGGAACCTCATCCCCATCAACAGGTCTGGGGTAGTGGGCAGTTGTCCTCCCTGAGCCTCCACCCAAATGGACCACAGAAGGACCATGTGGGCTTGCCAGTGAAGAGCCCAGTCCCACATCCTGTGTTGATGGGCTAGGAGGCTGTCCAGAGCATGGGAGCAACCAGTAGAAAACTGGACTTTTCTTCTTAGCTCTCAGGGCTGGCTGTTTGGCTTCTGGAGGACCTCCCCCTCTGAGTATACAGTCCAAGACTAAGAAAATGGTCAAGGTTTTATTTCATTACAATTAGAGCTGGTTTTAGTGTCCTCTTGAGCCCAGACAACAACTCCATGGTTTTGTGGCCCAGAGGCTGAAGGTGTCACAAGAAGCCCACAAAGATGGCCGGGCACAGTGGCTCACACTTGTAATCCCAGCACTTTGGGAGGCCGAGGCGGGCGGATCACAAGGTCAGGAGATCGAGACCATCCTGGCTAATATGGTGAAACCCCGTCTCTACTGAAAATACAAAAAAATTAGCCAGGCGTGGTGGCGGGCGCCTGTAGTCCCAGCTACTCGGGAGGCTGAGGCAGGAGAATGGCGTGAACCCTGGAGGCGGAGCTTGCAGTGAGCCGAGATCACGTCACTGCATTCTGGCCTGGGCGACAGAGCAAGACTCTGTCTCAAAAAAAAAAAAAAAGAAAAAGAAAAAGAAGCCCACAAAGAAACAACACAGGGGCTACATGGTGGATCCTGAGTTCTTGATGATTCAGTGCAAGATACAGCAAGTTCTCCGTGCACTTCCAGCAAATGCAAACACTGCACTTCCAGCAAATGCTTCAAGTTCATAGTGTGGCCCCAGTTTCTGAAGGTCTAGTGTAGTGGGTGGAAAGAGTCAGAAAAATCTGCATACAAACCCCAAGTCTACATTAACTACCTTGTCTCTCTGAGCCTGCATTTCCTCACGTGTCAAAAGGCAAGGCTAGTGCCCACCTTGTGGATTGGTGTGAAATATTTACATATGTATAAATCCTTGATCTGTGCCTGGCTTACAGGAGGTGCTCCTTAAGGGGAGCTGCTTCTCTTTTATTGCTGTAGAACTTATCAAGGTTAATCCACATGAGATGTTTATCCAGGGGGATGCTGGCTTGGCTGATGGGATGCCTGAGTTCCAGGCCTAGTGTGGCCCTAACAGGCTCTGGAACCGCCTCTTGCTCCATTATCCCCAAAGAGGGAAAATGAGGGAGTTCACCTGTGCTCTCATAGAGTTCTATCAGCTCTGAAATCCTGCATTCTCCTCGCAGAGAGAAGGTATACATGGGCTGTGGAGGCAGAAAGCTTAGGCCCAAATCTGGTCTCTGCCACTGACTGAATTAATGTCTGGAAGCCTCAGTTTCTCATCTGTAAAATGGGGAGTGAAAAAGCTGATGCACTGTAATGCACATGATTGGCTCTGAGTATCTATTCAAGGCTAGCTCTGGTTACTTTGGTAAATACAGACTATGGGGGCTTTTTTTTTTTTTTTGAGATGGAGTCTCGCTCTGTCACCCAGGCTGGAGTGCAGTGGTGCAATCTCAGCTTATTGCAACTTCCGCCTCCCAGGTTCAAGCAATTCTCCTGCCTGGGCCTCCTGAGTAGCTGGGATTACAGACACGCACCACCATGCTAGCTAATTTTTCTATTTTTGGTAGAGATGGGGTTTCACCTATGTTGATCAGGCTGGTCTCGAACTCCTGACCTCGTGATCCACCCCTGCCCCGACCCCTTGGCCTACCAAAGTGCTGGGATTACAGGCATGAGCCACCACGCTCGGCCTTATGGGGGCCTTTTTCCAAGCATTTTCCTGGAGAAATGCTGGTGGGAGGGGAAGACATGATTTTCTTGACCTGGACTTTGAGAATTTCTGCACATAATTGGCACACTGCATCTCCCCTGCACATGTATCCTGAACACCTGTAGCAGGCCCTGTACTGGTTCTGGGAGGATTGCCTACCTGGATGAAGATGACACTTTACTATAGACGGTCCCCACGGAGTGGGGGAGAGTACTCTACATTGGCAAGACAGAAGTAACTGCAAAATGAAGGTTCAAGTGTCAAGCTGTGGGAACAAATGAATTCTGCCATCTAGGGGAGTATGGTTGATTTCTACCTTGAGCAAATCAGTTGTCTGGAGTCAGAGGGTCCAGAAGCAAAGAAAGTAGATGGAGAGGGGGAGTTTCCCTGCCTTTCATTTTCTATACTGGAGCTATGAATGAAGAGAGGTCCCCAGAGAGACCTTAGCCACCAGGGTGGGCTCCTTGCTTGGCCCAGGGGTGATGTCAGATCCCAGGCTGAGCTTAGATTCTCAACCAAACAGGCACCTGTGCCTGAAAAGTCTTTACAGGAGGCCCCAAATTTTAGCAGGGAATATTTGTTACCACCTGAAATGCAGGCTTTCCTCAACCTGCTAGTCTAAAGAAACTGTAAAGATAGTTAACTCCTGTCATAACACTACAAGGGACTCTCCAGCAAACTTAATAGATGAAAACAATAGAATAGGCATGAAAAAGGAATGAAATCAGCACATTTTACGCATTCCAAGAAGCAATGTCCCCCTCAACCCCCCACTCACTTTTCCCTCTGGTGAGTGGCTTGTTGTTGCTGATGATTGATAGGGTGACTCACTGTCATTGTATTCCTTAAAAGTCCATGACAACAGCAGTGTCCAGTATCAGAGGACCCAAACGTAATTTAAAATATAGGCGCAGCAGCCTGCAAGTTGAACTTTCGTCCAGAAATGACAACCAACAAATGGTATCTACTAATATTCCTCTGAAATGACTTTGGGTACAGGGAGGGGAGCCAAGCCAACCAGACAGCATGAGTTTACTCAGGACCAGAGGATAGAATATTGACAGTAATCCAGCTTGTTACCACTGCTAACCAACTGTCAAGAATTCAGAAATATCACTGTGGAATTCACTTAACCTTCTTCAGAAATTGGCCCTACCCGATCACCAGATTCCCAGAGTCCTGCCTATCTCCAAGGTGTGCTATAAATGTAAATCATAAACTCTCATATTATAAAAGCAATTTTTTGGGGGGGAGGACAGGGTCTCACTTGGTCACCAGGCTAGAGTACAGTGGCACCATCACTGCTCACTGAAGCCACAAACTCCTGGACTCAGGTGATCCTCCTGCCTCAGCCTCTCAAATAGCTAGGACTACAGGCATGCACCACCATGCCTGGCTAATTTTTGTATTTTTAGAGATGGGCTTTTGCCATGTTGCCCAGGCTGGTCTTGAACTCCTGGGCTCAAGCAATCCTCCTCCTTGGCCTCCCAAAGTGCTGGGATGACAGGCATGAGCCACTATGCCCAGCCAAGTTCTTTTTGCTCAGATACTTTCTCATCTTTTTTTTTAAAAAAAGTCTAACATCTCTGCCCACTTCTGTACAAACCTTTTTGTTTGCTTGTTTCAGGGAAATTGCCTTGTGTATGTGGGATCAGTACCGTGAACTGAAATGGTGCTGAGACACTTGGGTTCTTATCTGCTTACTGAGTCAGAGACCCAGCGACTCCTCACCAGTGCTTGGTGAGAAGTTAGCTCCTACAGTTGTAGGATTCCCCTTGACACAAGGGTTGTAGCTTATAGAGAGTCCTCAGATGGTTTTAAGACCCTCAGTGCAGGGGCCCAGCCCTGAGAAGTCCTTTTCTAATATCTACCCAGATGCTGTTCAGCACATACAGTAATGTGTGCTTAGCAGAGAATACCAAGACATGAGGTAGAATCTCTGCCCCCAAAGACGTTGCAGTCTGGTTGTGGAGATATAACATACACACAGGTAGAACTATAGCAGACAATGTAAAATACAGCCCAGTGCTATTTTTATTTGTTTTGTGAATCTTTCGAATTTACGCCTTAGTATTGGACTCTGTCCTGATTCAACAAACATTTGTTGAGCAACTGCTATCTGCTTGGCACTGACGCCATTCCTATGCGCTGAGGAATGTGGGCTAGGAGAATGAATATGCACTAGGAGCACTGTGGGAATCTCATAGTTTAGCAGGACAGATGAACACATGAACTCCCAGGAATTACAGTGCAATATGGTGGGTGCCAGGAAAGAGGTACCAGGAGAAAGCACCAAGAGTGACTGCCTGAGGAAGGTTTCCCTAGAGGCAGTGGTGTCTGACTTTGGTCTTAAATAGTAAGAAGGGCACTTTGAGTGTGTGGAGTAAGAAAAATCATGGTGTGTTTTGGGATCAACAAGAAGTTTGCTCTGGCTGGAGTGTGAGAGTGTCTGTGGTTTTGAGGTTAGGGTTGGGGAAGGGCAGGAAGATGAAGTTAAAGAGTTATGAATGGCCATCGAGACCATCCTGGCTAACACAGTGAAACCCCGTCTCTACTAAAAAATACAAAAAATTAGCCGGGCATTATGGCGGGTGCCTGTAGTCTCAGCTACTCAGGAGGCTGAGGCAGGAGAATGGTGTGAACCCGGGAGGTGGAGCTTGCAGTGAGCGGAGATTGCACCACTGCACTCCAGACTGGGCAACAGAGCGAGATTCCATCTCAAAAAAAAAAAAAAAAAAAGAGTTAGGAATGGCCAAGAACATTGTGATGAAGAGACCAGGCTCTACTGTATGGGTAACGGAGAGCCATTGAAAGTTTTTGAGCAGTGGTGTGGTCAGGTGTACCTTCTAGAAAGATCACTCTGCCCATAGCATAAAGGGTAGATTGGAGTAAGGGAGAGCTTGAAAGCAATGAAGCTCCTCAGAGGTCCAGTGTGGACCAATATCCACCTGGAATCATCCATTTAGGAGCTAGTGAAGACCTGAAAATGGAGAAGAGGACAATGAATGGATATTCACTGAGCGTTCCACTCAGCAAACATTTATTGAGTGCCTCTCAGATGCCAGTCACTGTGCCAGGCCCCGGGGATAGAGTTAGATATGACCTAACTCTACACTGGAGGGGCTTACAGTCTAGAGACAAGCAAGGGACGATCACCTGGTGGTGTGTGATTGGCACAGCAGAGGTGTGGGCAACCCTTGGGGGCAGGGAGTGGAGGTGGCCAACTGGGGAGGAGGCACAGTAGGGAGGCCAGAGAAGTCAGCAAAGGCGTCACAAGGGCAGGGAGTCTAACCTGGGTGCTGAGGGATGAGTAAGAGTAACCAGGCAGACAGAGAACTGGAGGTGAGAGAGGCATTCCACTCAAGGGGAGCATGTGCATGTTTGAACACACAGGATACATAAAAGAACAGATGGGGGATGTGATGAGGTTGGCCTGACTAGAGCCCAAGATGTGTATGAGGGAGTGGCAGGAGACCAGGCTGCGATAAAGGCATGGGGCCGGTCACGTGGGGCTTTGCCTGCCATACCAAGAAGGTGGGACCTAAGTCAAGGTTTTCAAACCCTGTTTAAATGGCAGAATGTTTTGGTCAAAATTTTTTAGCCAGCACCCCAATTACAAAACAGATAAAAATGATGCAGCTTTAGTTAAACTAAATGTGAGACTGGTACTTCCTCTGTCTTGGTCTTCCTCTTATCCCTCCAGGCCACCCCTGAAGCAATTCAGAACACAGTTTGAGAACCACCTGCAGTAAGTGACAGTGATGCAGGTAGGGGGATGTGGCACTGAGAGGTCTTGAAGGGCAATGCCATGTTTCCCAAGTTTCCAGCTTTATTTCGAAAGTGACAGATACGGAAGTGCTTGGTACCTAAGAGGTACTCAGCTTGCATATCTGAGTGTATGCGTGTGTGTGTGCTGCATTTGATGGATCCTTCCCTGGGAAGGGTAGGGGTTAGCAGTCAAGAATATTGAGTTTTATTTTGGACAAAATGGATTAAAGGTATTTTCAGAATACCCACATGCAGAGATGTAGTAGGCACTTGAAAATGTAGGTGTGAGCCCTGGGCAATGGTGAAAGCTATAGTTATAGACTTGGGAGTTATTGGTCTATAAGTGATAGCTGAAGCCATGGACATCAGTACAATTGCCAAGAATTAGATGGAACGTGATGAAAAAGTAGGCAGAGCCCTGAGGACCACTGACAATTAAAAGACAGGTCAGAGAAGAGAAGCTACAAAAGGAGACAGAGAGACTGAGAGAGATGCCAGGAGAGGAAGCAAGTGAAAGCTGCATTTCAGAAACCAGGTAAAGAAAATAGGCTGGACACAGTGGCTCACATCTGTAATCCCAACACTTTGGGAGACCAAGGTGGGAGAATCGCTTGAGGCCAAGAGTTCAAGAGCAGCCTGGGCAGCATAACAAGACCTCGTCTTTATAAATGACAACAAAGAAATAGAAAATCAGCATAAGCTTAAACATAGAATTGGTATTTAATAGTTTGGTTGCTAGGAAGTGAAAAAGGAACAAACTAAATGTGAGACTAGTGCTTCCTCTGTCTTGGTCTTCCTCCCCTAATGCATTTTATTGGCATAGCATATTCCTTTTAAAATAAATCTGAAGCTGGGGGGAGTGGGGAGGGATAGCATTAGGAGATATACCTAATGTTAAATGACAAGTTAATGGGTGCAGCACACCAACATGGCACATGTATACATATGTAACAAACCTGCACGTTGTGCCACATGTACTCTAAAACTTAAAGTATAATAAAAAATAAAATAAAAATAAATCTGAAGCATACCAATTTTTTCCAGAAGTACACTCCCTTTAATGTGTAAGTATAGATTAGTCTAGCAAAATAACAACAACTGAGCTCACAAGGTAAGCAGTATCTCTGTGGTTTAGTGGAACTTCTCCCTCTCCTCTCCAGGAATAAATGAATTCTCTTAAATTTCTGCTCATCAGTCAAAGTGTTACATTCAATTGAGTATTCATTCTGCGTTTAAAATAATTCTGCAACGGAATGCTTAGAAAGTTGTGCTTTGGCAAATTGAAAATAATTTTTCTAAAGTGATGGGCTAATTTGAAATCCATATTCCTTTTCTGGTTTTGATTTGTGCAGCTGAAATCGTAAAGCATATCCCTCTGATGGTACTGTTCCCCCTGTGACGTGTTCTCTCCCCTGGGGATACTGGGGTCTAAACCCATTCATTATGGGGAGGGGGAGATGCTGGCACTCAGTAGGGCTCAGTGAATGAATGGATGATGGGCTCTTTTCCATCCTAACTATTAATCCACCTCTCAAAGGTGTCTGTATTCAATGAACTGAAAAAGAAAACAAAACTCCTAAGTAGTTAGAGATTAAAACTACTGCCCAGTCTTTCTCTTTCTCGTGGGTACAGTGTTGTGCACAGAATGCTGCTCTCTAAAACCCCATCATAGCAGCTGACTCTGTAAAAGCTTCTCGGGAAAATCTTTTCAAAGGAATAAGCAATAGAACGTGGCTTTTGAATTCCCAAAGACTCAAATTCTTTAGATTACTCAACTTCTGGATTTAGTTTATTGTCTCATCAAATATTGACTGAGTGCTTACTATGTGCTAGGCACTGAGAAAACGTAGTGAATAAAACATTAGAAGATCCTGTTGTCACGGAGTATGCATTCCAGCCAGAGAAGACAGGGCAATAACAAACAAGGATACAATGTGTGTCCCTGGTGGTAAGTGCTAAGAACAAAAATAAGCCCGGCGAGGGACTGGAGAGTGATGGGGCAGGGGCTGCGTTCTGAACAGGGTGGCTAGGGAAGGACAGGTAAACTGAGAGCTGAAGGAGGAAAGGGATGTTTAGGCAGAGAGTGCTGTCACATGCTTAGCTGCTGTCACTTACAGCTTACCCCAACCAGGGCATGTGGAGATGCATTGCTTTGTCAATGCAAGGATCAGCCCAACCTAGAAACCTGTAGCCTTGTGAACATGATGATATGCAGCTTAGATAATAGCTGTTAAAAACCGACTCTTCAAGTGTTACTGTGAGACAATTTTTTGCAGGTGACTTTTAAATAAAACAGCTTCCATTATTCAAAAATCCAGAATGGCAACCAGCTCTTAGAAATGACTAAAATGACCTACCAGCATTCCCTGTTGTTTTTTTTTTTCTAATGGAGACTTTTGCTGTCCTGCCGAGACCATGTATTATATCTAGTTTCACATAAAAATGAATTTTTGCTGCTAAGTTTGAAAACTGCCTGAAAATAGCAATTAATATTGAAAAAGCTGACAGAACCTTAAGTGTAGTGGCATGATTGGTGCTGCTATAATTATGTGCCTGAGTGTGTACAGGCTGATGTAAACACAGTATGAAAACACACTTGATGCTCAGGACAGTGTAGCCACGTATTTTCTTACGGGTAAGTGAGGGCGAAGGGGAGAGGGAGAGAGAATTGATAGCATTTTTAGAGCACTGTTAGGTGGTGTAGATCTTTCTAATCTTACATCAGTATAATCTTTCTAATTATTTTCACATTCTGTATTTGATCCTCACAATTTGTCGGGGGGAAAAAGGCAGGGCAGGCTTTGTTCTTCCCATTTAATGGATGAGAAAACTCAGTGGATCAGCGAGGATGGGTTAAGGTTCTTATCGACAAAATGGAGAGATTGGACTACATTATTTCCAAGCTTCCCTCTAACTCAAAAGTTCTATGATTATTTTCTGATTGTCCTGAGGTGACACCGCTGTTTAATGGTGGAGACTCCCCTTAAGTCCAGTCCTTTCTGCCACAGTTCCTCCTTATATTCTTCAAATCCTTCACTGTATGTTTAATCATCTGTAAAATGCAATGTCTACTGTACAGGTTGTTGAGAAGATCGCTGAGGGGATTAAAGGAGGATTTGTGAAGCACCTAGCACAGTGGTAGCTATCATTATCATTGTCATCACTGTTACTAATAAGGAGACATGTAGTGTAGTGGAGAGAGCATCAGTGCTGGGGCTTCTGATCATTCACTGACAGAGTTGATAATACCTACAACATAGGGTGGTTTAAAGACTAAAGGAGGGTTGGGCACGGTGGCTCATGCCTGTAATCCCAGCACTTTGGGAGGCCAAGGTGGGAGGACCACCTGAGGTCAGGAGTTTGAGACCAACCTGGTCAACATGGCGAAACCCCATCTCGACTAAAAATACAAAAAAAAAATTAGCCAGGCGTGGTGGACTGTGCCTGTAATTCCAGCTACTCAGGAGGCTGAGGCAAGAGAATTGCTTGAACCCAGGAGGCAGAGGTTCCAGTGAACCGAGATTGCACCACTGCACTCCAGCCTGGGTGACAGAGTGGGACTCTGTCTCAAAAAAAAAATGTCTAAAGGAGATGATGTTTATATGAATGCCTAGCCCAGTGTCTGACTACACTATACCTACAACATAGAGTGGCTTAAAGACTAAAGGAGAGGATATTCATATGAATGCCTAGCACAGTGTCTGACTACCAGGTGCTCAAGAAATGGCTGGCTGGTGTGAATGATAAACCACTCTTCATAAGAAACTCAGATATATTTTCATGATTCCCTCAAAACCTAAAGAGGCATTTCACAGAGGTGAAGTGTAACCTTGAGAGTAACAGAAGCATATAGCCATCTTTATTTTTTTTTTTAAAAAAAAAAAAGGAGATTCTGAAGTTTGGCCATTCTGTACACATCTGAGAGGGAGGAAAAATCCGCATGCATCCAATAGTTAGCAAATGGTCATTGTGAAGTTTCATGTCAGATGGTCTTCTGAAATCCAGTACATACTTTATTCAGTTCCTCCCATTCTCCCCACTGCAACAATCACATAAGATTGTGTGGATTATTTAGAAAAGGCTGTTTACCCTCATTATACCACTTTCTTTGAAAAGCAATCATGTGAATACTATGAGGAACTGCTTGGCTATAGTGATGACCATCATGAGGGATTCAATAAAGTTGGAAACCAAGATCCTGGAGCCTGTATCTGACAGCGTGGTCACAGAAAAGGCTAGGGCAGGACTGAAATATGAAAACTCTCCAAGAGGAATTGTGGTTACTTGTCTCTATGAAGGATTTCTTGGTACTGAATTTTCAGGGTGCAAAAAACTAACAGATGTAAGCATCTGTTGTCACATGCCCCAGGACTGTGTTGGGGAAGCGTTGGCAGGTGCTAAGGAGTCACAAGGTGAATGGCACTGCCCTGGACCAGTTACTCTAAAATCTAGTCAATGGCTTAACCCACTGGACCTGAGACAATGCATATTGTTCGGAACACCGGCTTTCAACCACATTTTGTTTTTTATAAGTATTATTTGAAAAAGATAAAACACAGCAACTGGCCATTTGGATGTGAAATCGATTCTTATATGATATACATCTCTCCTGGAAATTATTCTCACTGTGAATGTCCATCCTGCATAGACATCTCAAGAACAATTGAGTTTTTCTACTTGAGAGCAGTACATTAAATGCTTTGACCAATGTCTGTTATGTTTGGTTACCTTCCAGTTTTAAAATATGTGAATTTCCTTTTTACTGTTCTAGGGGAAAGCGATGGTATTTGCCCCACGCCGAGGGAATACTTTAAACCAGTTTTGCAATCTAGCTGAAAAAGCTGGTTTCTGTATCCAAAGACATGAAAATTATGATGAACACATTTCAAACTTCCACTCCAAGGTTAGTTTTCTGCTTGTGTTAGATAACACTTTAATCCGCATTGCATTTTGAAGAGATCATGGTCTTTTTGGCAGGTAACCTAAATATTTGATTAAAGTACTCCTTAGATGTGTTGCTTCTGAACAGCTATTTGTATCTGATTATTTTGTGTGGTAAAGCCATCTTTTATCTTTGCATGTCTAGAAGGATTTTACAGAAACCATTCCTGTTTACTCTTTTCTCTGAAACAAACTAATCTTTTCATTCATAATAGACTAATTTGTAGGATGTAAGGGGAGGTGGCATAGAATGAATAACATGCATTTATATTTTAATGAAAAACCTTCAGCTTTTAAGTAGGTTAAATGCTTAGCCGCACTGAAATAAATAGAAGGTGAATGTCTAATTGTATCATGTTGGACTGTAAATCTTTATCTCTGCTTGCTTTATAGCTGGGTCAGTTGGCAGTTTGAGACTGTTAAATCTCATACAGAATTTCACAGTTGTGGGGTTATATGTCAGATGGAGGCACTACAAGATTTAGGTCAAAAGCACTTATCTGAGAGTGATTTCTAAGCCTGCTTACATAAAGCAATGTTATCAGCCTTTTTATTATTTATAGGTATAGACCAATATAGGACACTGAGAGGCGAGTGTTTCACTGAAAACTTTTTAGGATTCTCACGTTTGCTAGTAGTACATGTCACAGTGACTAGTATAACATGTATTATTTCAGTAATTTTGTGCCTTACGGAAATCTCCCTTCACTGAGCTAGTCTGACCTTGGCAAGAGACTTTAACTTGTCATGATTTCACAAGTTGTAACTGCAGAAAAATAAAGGCCCGAGCTTAATTTTCTCCTGGGACAATGTGAACAGCATCCTTTATTACCCAGGACTGTAATATAATGTAGAAGTGTGTTGGCTTTTGGAAAAATATATGAAAAATTAATCTGATCTTCCAAGCAAGAGAAAGAAATTCTCACTTTCTGAAAATGAATTTATTTATTTGAATCTTTAAGGTTCCATTTAGCCTCTGGGGGAAAAATGGTGCTTTGTGAACTGAAAGAGTTACATTACATCCTCTCACTGGTGGAGTCAGGCCCATTGCTCATGATCAGAAAATAAAAACAGGATGGTATGTGATTCAGATCTTACCAGCCTCTCTAGAATGATGTTTTCCCCTTTTCAATCCCTCCCCCTAAAAAAAAGCGGGTCTTTACCTGGTAGGAAAAGGGTCCCTCCTGGCTCCCTGGACTCCTCCACCCAAAGGAATAATGTGGCTTTCTCTCCAGGGTCGGGCTGGAACTACAAGGATCAGCTGACAGCTGCTTCAATGTCGTGCCATTCACTTTCCCCCTAGAACAACAAATGCTTTTAGTTTCCCAGTGACAGCTCAGGAGAGCAAAGGCTTGGGTTTCTCCACCAGCAAAGACGTTCAGCATTGTGCCTGATACCCTCCGTCTCCTCCCTGAAAGACCTGAGGAGCGTTGGGACATGCCAGGCACGCCCACCTCTCCTCTGTCTGGAACTTTAGAGTGTTAGCGCCTGGTGGCCAGCACACCTCCTCTTTTTATTTCCAACGTTGTACACTACCCTGCTAAGTGAAGCACATAAATAAGTGGCTTTATTTTTTCTCTGGTCATAATTGCTGAAAAGTCAAATTCACAGTTTGCTGACATTGGTACATTGGACTAAGAAATAGTTGTCTTCGTGGTTGGGGGTGGGGAGAGTGTAGAACCCTAGGAGAATATTCTGCAGAGTTGGCACATCCTGGATAAAAGGTATAAACGGGCGCCCATGATATATATATATATATATATTTTTTTTTTTTTTTTAATAATGAGAGCTATTTCAGCTGGTGTGGGGTTCTGCTTCTAGCAAAAGAATGCCTCTGGTCCCTCCTGTACCTGCCCCAGCAGCGGGGATACTGTGTGCTGACCGGGCTGGCACGTGCAGTTGTGCTCCTTTGCAGGAGAAGGAGCTCGCCCAGAGGCCGGAGCAGTGAGCCGGGGGCCACGCTGGAGGGAGCGGGCAGCGCCGCTGCTCCTCGCCCATCCCCATGCCCTGCAGCAGGGCGCGAAGGCGGAGGCCCAAGGCAGCACCCCTGCCCCTCCAGCCCTGCCCGCCCGCCCGGGGCTCCGGGACGCGGCCGCCGGGAGCCTCCACCCTGGCGGCTTTTGTTGGCCGCGTGCTAATAGCCAGGGCTTAAAAGTTTTCCATCTTGAGCGGCAATCAGCTTTCTTCCTCTCCATCTCTGGCCAAAGCCCCCTCGTCCCTGGGACGCGCTGCTCCCCAATGGAGGAGCGGCGTTTTCCTTCAGGCTGCGTGTTATCCTCTTAGCCCTACTGTGTTGGAATAGAGCGTAACCAGCTGGAGGACTGTAAGACGCCTGATAATGCCGCTCTTTTCCGCTGTCCCGTCTTAATCTTGTTACACAAATGGTCGTGAAGAGATTCATGAATTTTAATTTTGCCCTCTGCATTAGTGCCTCGCGTCACTCATACACAGCTGCCTTCGAAGCCGAGTTTTTCACCCCTCCTCTTACAACAGGGGAAAAAATTAGTTACTTGGCAGTAGTGCAAGGTAAAAAAAAAAAAAAAATCTACAGATTTAGGCAACCACCCATGAAGCTGATTAACAGTCAGTGATCAGGAGGAACAGCTTTGCCTCTTAAACTTTTCACCTCTCATTGTTAACTGTGAAATTTTATTTCCGTTAAAAAGCAAGCCTGTAATCAAAACGGTGCCATTCCGCACTTTTCTGCCAGTGCTTTTGTTAAACTGTGCCCACACCATGCAGCCAGTGTGCTCAGGAACCAGGCAGCCAAAGGTGTAGCATGTTTTAAAAATATTGCTTTTCAGTCCATCCTTGCAAGGGGAGAAAAATAAAACACTTCCCTCTCCTCCCCAGCCTTTTGGTCTCCTCAAGGCTGAGAATCAAATTCATTGCCCTCATAGTGTGGTTCAAAACCTTTCGGATAGTAAGATAGCAAATCGTTTTGTAAGGTAGAGATGTGACTTCGAGATTACAGCTGGCTTGATGCTAGTTGGTAAAAATACTCTCATTCATGCAAATGTTCTTTGAAATATAATTTTACATGCCGTGGGTTTTTTTTTTATAAACTTTCGCAAAACCACCCTGAAGTGTTTATTTTTCTGTATTTTTGTACATAGCTCTGAAAATAGGCTTGGGCTGGGCTGTGAAGTCAGTACATTGTGTTAAAAACACGGCCATATTGCACTTCTGCTTATCTATTCAAAATGCCACATTACAAGTGGCTGGTGCTTATAATCTGTGTGGTGTGCTGTTGATAATTGTGGATACTGTAAAGGGTAAACAGTCTGAACTCCACTCCTGCTGCTGCTGTTCACGCCGTAGTAAGGCTGAGCGTGTTACATCCAATTATGAAGTAAAGCATAATGCTACTAATAGCAGCTATATAATTTAGTTTAGTCCTCAAAGACCCTGTTTTAACCTCTGAAATTGGAAAATTATTTTATTCATGATTTGCTTTTTCTTCATTTTCTTTCAAGGTGCCTTTTGATATTTGTCAAAATTGTAATTATTAATTGGGCAAGGAAGTACAGCCTGGGTAAATGGAATTATTCTTAAAACTCATAACATTCCCCCATCGAAGCAAGTATTGGCTAAGAGCTTTGTGTGTGTTCAAGTACCCTCACATAACAGACTTGCTTGATTCAGAAATGATCCAGGGCTGGGTTATAGTGTTGCCTTTGAGGGTTGTCAGCTCTTCCCCATTGTGGAAAGGTCTCACAGGCAAGACGGGGCTGGCCCCTGGCCCCTTTCAGCAACGAAGCCTCCACTTTGGCCTCCAGAGGTCAGCATAGAATCCAAGTTAAAAGTGATTTCTAACCCATATTTACAGAAGAATTATTTATCCCACATATTACCTCAGGGACTTTATAAAGAGCTCATTTGAGTCTCTGTATATTAGTGCATTGTGAGTGAGTAGGTCAGCTGACTGCCACTGAGTAATCAACTTTCCCTTATCCCCAATCCCCAAGGAAAGAATTGAGCTAGCTTGGTCCTCTCTTCCCTCTGTAAAATACTTCAGTGAGCTCCCTCTATCACTAGGGCAACTGGCAACAAAAGTATTTACAGTGGTAAGTCCCGGTCAGTGGGTATGGACTGGGAAGTTGGTGAAGCCATTTTCTCAGCATTTTCTAAAATTAGACTAAATAGTAAGGTTGGAGGACCTGTGTTTAGGCTTAACACTCTCGCTACTTTGGTAGCAGCAAAAATCCACAAGGATCTTCCTAAATAGACAACAAATCATCTGTACACAGAACAAACTCTGTCTAAGAAAACAGAATGAAGTCACCTCAGTGACTGTACCACCATCAGTTCTTGGGAAAGTAGATTGGAAAGTGGATTAGAAATTAAAGGCTGAATTAGCTTTATGTTCCCCAGCGGAAAAGGGGAAGTGGGCTCATGACTCCTGTCCTTAATAGTGACAGCATGTCCATGTCATGGTTTGGGAATATGATTTAGAAGGAACATGCACTTCGAAAAGATTCAAGTTAACATGCCCCAGAGGGACCAACCTGGGAGAGTGTGATGTTGAGGCCATTCATTTTGCTTTAGGGTGGGTGGAGTGGGTGGTGTTTGACTAATTTAAACAATAAAGGAATTGACTCCCTGTATAATTTAAAGAAATATTTATTTTTTTATTCTTATAATCTAAAAAGAAATTAACAATTGGCTCATAAATTCCAACTTCAAAAATATTAATTTTGTCTTTATAAATAGCAAATTTTTATTTGCTAGAATAAATATAAATATAACTTTAAAACTATTCCAGCTGAATGAAGAAAAAGTGTACTTCATATGTGAGAAACCTAACTGGATTTTAAAATCTTATCACAGAAATATCCTCAGAACTTCCCTGCACAGTATGAACAGGAATGTTGCTAGTCTAATTGTTGGAGTATGTTCTCCTCCTCAGAGAAAAGAATTTTTGAGTGACTTATTATTAATGTTAAAACCCCTAAGAAGCACCTGGAGAGCCTTTGCAGTGTCTTGGGCCCCACAAGCCTTTCCCTGTGCCCAGATGTTGCCACGGACTCCAAGCAGTGATCTGAAATGCCCGCCTGCCTGAATAGTGTGGCATTGGTCAGAGGCAGAGGGTACAGAGAGCAGAAACTTCTATGTCAAATGCCCAGTCAGGTGATGATGAATGAGCCCCAGCTCTGCCTTCTGTCAAGTGCCTCACAGTTTATAGAGGTCAAAGTGCAGTTTGGGTATTTATGAAAAAAACCCTACCCACCCCCACCAAAAACAATCCCCATGTTAATGTATAGAATTGTCACATTAGTGCCACTGAGAACTACTTTGAGTTGCTTTTCTGTGATTTATTTTTCCAGAACTATATATTTTGGTGTAAAAGTCATCATGATACTCAACATTAATATTGACTGGTAAAGATCCCTAATTGGAGTCCCCTTACCTTTTTCTTTCTATTATTGTTTTCAGTTGAAAAAGGAAAACCCGGACATATATGAAGAAAACCTTCATTACCCGCTTCTGCTTATTTTGACCAAACATGGATAGAAGATTAAGCTTCTCAAAGACGAAGAAACGTATCAAGTGCATAGGGAATATTTTTACAAAAACGGAAATCTGTAAGGGGTATAATCGCCTGCCTGCGCCCTTTGCAGCATTTCACGTGTGGGCTATGGACTCCACCTGTCCTCACCCACGTTATTCCCCAGCTGCCCTCTCCAGCTCCCTCCCCGCCTCTTTTTACACTCTGCTTGTTGCTCGTCCTGCCCTAAACCTTTGTTTGTCTTTAAATGTGTATAAGCTGCCTGTCTGTGACTTGAATTTGACTGGTGAACAAACTAAATATTTTTCCCTGTAATTGAGACAGAATTTCTTTTGATGATACCCATCCCTCCTTCATTTTTTTTTTTTTTTTGGTCTTTGTTCTGTTTTGGTGGTGGTAGTTTTTAATCAGTAAACCCAGCAAATATCATGATTCTTTCCTGGTTAGAAAAATAAATAAAGTGTATCTTTTTATCTCCCTCCAATTAATTGTATTAAATCCGCCATCCCTTTCTCTGTCCCTCTCTCTCCTTCTTTTTTTCCTTTTAAACAGTATGTTTTTTTTCCTATAGATGTATAAGAAATGACTACATCAGCCCAAAGCCTCATAAACTGACCGTTTGTCCTCTGGACACAATAGCGTGGCCAGCCCTCTGCTCCTCCTCCCCAATTATGTGTGATTAGTCTCAGTGTGCTGTGTCAAGGAGGGGGAGTGTGCTGAGTGCTTATTATCTGTTTAGGTACAAGAAGAGCACATTTAGGCTCTGACTATGAATGAAAAGTGAGCCTTTATCAGGGCTTAAATCTAACTGCTGCTGTTCTCCAGGCCTCTTTCAAAATAGGTCCTTCCCAGAGAAATTTTGAGTAAATGGTTGATAAACCAGATTGCAACCAGGGGGAGTTTTTTAAAAACTCAATCACACAATTATCTTATTTAAAATAAGTATATATTGTTATATGCTGTGATTCAAGTGTATGGTAAACATTTAATAGGTGCTACCTAGGATTAAGAGAGAATGACTTTTCTGCAGGGAACCCAAGCTTATCCTTGCCTAGTGCATCCATGAGATGCTCTAATGCCTTTTGTGGAAATTCAGATGTTTATCTGTAAGGAATCATCTGTGCCCACTTTAGCAGTAATGTCATTAGTAGGTTAGCTATATATCCTCATGTCTTTAGTACAGGCAAAAACATGTATTCAGTGTGATACAATTAAAGTGATAGGTGAGAGACTGGGGGTGCATCCTTTTGCATGTTAAACAAACTTAGCTGTCATAAAAGCAGCGACTCTCAAATGTCTTCTCTGCTCACTTCTATCATCAAACAAATTTTTCACCATCAGTTTGCATGTCCTTGTATTCACCACTTTTTCTGCTCCATTAGAGCACCTAGATGGATCTCAGAAGGCATAGGTCAAGTCGCAGTTAGATCATACATTTCTTTCTCACAAAAACTTGAATTGCAATGCCAAGTGATGGGCTAACATCACAATAACAGCAATTTATTCCTCTTTGGATAAAACAGCAGTCTATTCTCAGTGCTAGATAAAGACCAGGGCAATGCAAACCAGCCATTTAGCTGAGTAGTTCAGCTAGTGGCAGCTCTCCTTTGGTGACTGTATAGGTTGCACACTGGCTTCATATTTTCTTGTTTAAAAATTAGAATTTGGCATGTTTTAAAAGGCAACACAAGCCATTCCATTTATACTGGTGAAAATACAGCAAAATTATTTCCTGTGTAAAACCTGCAACTAACTCTGCCAGACAAAGAAAACGCATCCCTGTAGTAGCACCTAAGATGGTCTATTCTTTTTTCTTTTTAAATATGGAACAGCAGGACTATGAGAATATTTTCTTTTTTCTCTCAAGAAAATACGTGAATTGGCAAGAATTCAATTTGTATTTGTGTGTTGTGGGTGGAGAAATCCAGTGTTTATGTCTCTGGGAGATACTATATTTTAAAAAGTAAACTAGGAATGTATTTTTTTAAATATCTGAGAACAGTGTTTCAGAATTGAACTGTTGCTACCAAGAGATACGTAGTAAGGAAATTCACTTATTATGTAATTAAAACCTAGAGAATCTCCTATACAATGTTAAGGGTTTCCTAGATCTGCTCTTCATGGGATCCTCACCTGGAAATCTCTGTAGTCCAGGTTCTTTGAAAGTTTGTAAGAAATGTTCTATATTATTGAATAATTTTAGTTTTTATTTTCCCGAAGTTTAATGGAATGCCGATACTGAAAAGTGAAATAGAGCAGCTTTGAAAGTTTGTCCATTTACATTTCTTTTGAACTTTATGATTATTTCTATGAGTCAATTGCAATTGAAATGGCCCATTCCATAATTGCCTATGTAATTATGCATGTGTTTGTTTCAGAAAGGAAGCCTGTCTGCTTAGGAAATCCTAAGAATAATATTTCTTTTCTTTGTGTACCTTTATCTTCTGATAAAACTCATGATTTTCCTTTGTCATACTAAGTAGATTTGGTTGGATGAAAGAATGTTTCTAATATTGCCCGTGGTCAGTTCTAATGCTGTGAGATGAATAGCTACATACAAGTTGGTTATAAGAAATATATTTTACTTTATAGCAAGACATATGCCATGAATTGGGATAAAAGTGCTAGAAAAGACTACCTAAGAGGTTGATGCTATTTTGTATAAATTGTGTATTTTGTTGGCTTTTTGACTGAGCATGAAAATGTAACTTCCATTAGGGAAGGGTAATTTAGGTGCTCAGTATTCAGCAGAAAACTTGTCAGGGCCATAAAAGCTTTTCTGGCTAGTTCCTCGGGTGTTTTCAGAGAAGAGCTGCCCGCCCCTTGCTGATTTTCCCTTTGGCTTCAGTATGGGCTGAATTTACCACTGCATACCTGTTGAATCAATTTGGGGGATCCAGCAGTTAACTGAGTGAATGGAAGGATTAGTTGCCCTCTGGAGCCCTATTTCAACAGCCAGGTGTCTGTCCTAAACTAGTTAACTGCTTTTGACAGCTGAAGAACCTGGTTTTAATACCAGAGGCAGGAGGTAGTGGTGTTTTTTTCCATCTCTCTGCTACCAAAGTGGGGCAACCTGCTCATGAGGGTTAGGTGGTTTTTGTTTTTTAATAGGAACCTAGCTTCCATGGATTTTCTTTGTGCTTAGTCAGCATTTGACTTGTTTCCAATCTATGCCAGACAATTCATTAGCATTGTCTGGCAAGAACCTCTCACTGGACTCTGGGGGTGGGGCAGAATGCCCACATAGGGGAGAGAGTCAAAGTATATGTACAAGCATATACACACACACACTCACAGGAAAGATTAAGCTATTTAGACCCGAGATCTGGGCTCCAGCCGCCAGATTCCAGGTACATCCCCACCCTAGATCAAAATCCCCTGAGTTCAGGCTGTATGAAACATCATAATTATGTTGATTGTATACCATAAAGAAAAAATGGATTTGAAAGTCAGGCTGATTTTAGGCAGGGTAAATATGTTTTCCTGAGTGGACTACTTCCAAATTAGGAAGGATCCTGTTAGTGTTTATCAAACCATTAAGCCTGAAATGCCACTTTTAATTCTCACATTTCATTTTACCCAGAGAGCTTACCTTCCAGGCTGTGGCTAAATGCTCACAGTGTTCTCTGCCCTGGAAGTCTGTGCATTTGGAGTCTGTATTTTGCTTTTTTTGTCCCCCTGACTTTTCAATTAATACATTTTTTAACAGATAAAACAGATCATACCGTGACTTTTAAAATGTCAACAAGCTTGTAAACAGAAATGTAATAAAATGGCTAATAGGAGATTCAATAGTTAATAGAGGGCCTGAAGTGTGAGCAAATACAGTAGCTGTATATTGGAAACTGTGCAAGTGAAGATGGCTTTAGTATTGCAAACTGAGGAAGAAAATTGTTTTTAATTAGCACCTTCATAAGAACTGCTGATTAATACTGTTTTGTTTGGTGAAAAGCTTTCAGCTGAGTAATTTGTACAGCCATTACAACAGTTTTGTTAGAGCGGGACTCCTGTTGTTAAACACAAACAGCAGATGATAATGGTGGAAGATGAGTTTGTCATGTAACAATTTACCTTATTGAAAAAAGCTTTATATAAAACCCAATACAGTAGGTACCAGCAGAAATCACATATTTTAAATCCTTCCAAAATTGCAGTGTGCCATGCTTATGGTTTGTTTTTTCCTCAGGGCTAGAAGCAGATTTTATATCATTTATAAAATTATATACACAATTTAAAGGTGGTGTAGCGTGGACAGACCACTTTCTTAGCAGCAGTTTACATTGGAGCAGTAAACTGGCATGTATTCAAACATTTCCTAACTACACAAAGAAGGTGGAAAAATGGAAGCCTAATTAAATAATGTTACTCAAATGTCAATTTGCATTGCGACTGGATGCAGGGAAATAAGAATTGGTGTTTCTGCCTTAAGTGGGTTTATCATGTATAGGATCTTAAAAAAAAAAATCTCAACAGAAGTTTAAGTAACCCTTTTTTTTTTTTTTTTTTTCTGGTGATGTTTTAACTGACCCAGAGGAAACAGTGCTCAATCAGTGAGACCTGACCAGAGAATAAGAGGCCGATTTCAGTGAACTCCCATAAAATGGATATTTTGCTAGCCAGAAGCATGGGAAATTGTGTGTGTGTGTGTGTGTGTGTGTGTGTGTGCTTAAAATAAAATCCAATGGTAAAGCATATTTGCATTAAAATATTACGCTAACCAAGGCTGGTAAGAACTGTAAATTATTGGAGTGGCGTAATAGAGCATGAGATTTTTTTTTTTAAGACAGGCCTTCGGGGTAATAGCAAGGGTTGAGGCTCACGACAGTGCCAAATAAGCTTTAGACAGCATAATAGTCTGCAAAGAAAGCCACAGAGCACTAATGTGAAGGAAGAGCTGTCCACCACATGCAGCAAAAATCACCAAAGGTCATTTTATGGTAGCAATTGTGACATAAAATTGGTGGTCATGCTACATGTCTAATACTCAGCACAGCTTTATAAATGATGGGCCCCTAGCGATGGCTGTCATTAAGTGCTTTCATCATAATAAACTTTAAACTGTTGGCTTTATGAATCGCCAGCTAGCTTCAGCTGTTCGTTGGATGGAGCTTGCAGTGCCTTAAGTGTGACAAGACCTATTAGGAATTGCAACCATGTTTCAAGCGTACTTGGCTTCCCCACTCCTGGGGTGATTGCTGCCTATTAAACGGCGTCTGGGAAGATTTTCCTCCAGCAATCTCTGATCAAGAGCTTTTTTGGGCTTTGACCTGCATTTCCTTCAAGACTTTCTCTGAGGAGTTTTATAAGAGCAAAACTCCAGAGCATTTATAGCCACTTCTGATTAATACCTTTCCAGTTTTTCTAGCAACTCTCCCACTGCTGCATAGAGAAAAGCTTTCATTGTTCCTGAGGTGCTTATTTGTGACCTTTTTTCTGCTTCCTGATTCCCTCTAACGTGTTCTCTCAGTGAAATCCTCGGGGTGGAACCCAGACAGTTGGTGAAGTTGTTACAGCTGGAGAGACAGAGAAGGAAAGAGAGAGGCTGTTATATTTTTAAAGGATTACATGCAGAGCAGCCTGGCCCCGCCCATTTAAATACTAATGTGACGTCACCTGCCGCCCGCTGTACCAAACGCATCCTTAATGAGCCCTCGGTGTAAATTGAGCCGACACATAAAGATTTCATGATTCAAATTACACTTTCATTAACCTTTAGCATGGGAAGTCTTTTAGTTTCTATAAATCTTACAGTGGCTTACCGTCTGTCCTACTGATGTGAATAATAGATGTTCGGAGAATCACTCTTTAAAAACCAGTGTTATTTAATTTACAAGGGCTAAATACATATTTCAGACTCACTTAGCAAGAACTTTATTTACTTCTTGTTGCTTGTTCTGACTTTGAGGCCACCCCTCATCCTCCCACCCCGTTTTCTTCTGCTTGACTCAGATGTTTTGGAGATGGTAAAAGCTTTCAATGTCTAAGTCCCTGTCTTAATACTCTTATTTGTCTTTCTTTTAGGCTAAGTAGTGTCCTAAAGATAGTTCAGGGAATGTCTCAGGTGTGGACCATTACACAATTAAATTAGCAAACCTCAGAGGGCTTGGATTAGAACCCGGCAGGGAACACTTGGGGATTCGAGGGCAGAGCCAAGCTTTCTGAATGGCAGTGGCTCTCCCAGGAACAGCAAGGGTTGGCCCGCTTGGTAGTCTCAGTCACAGACTTGTCTTACCAGATAAAGTATTGCAGGCACTCTTTTTTTCTCCTGGGAGTGAACAGGAAATACATTAGTGAATGTGTCAAGCCGAAGGGAAAACAGGAGTTGGAGGGCTCGTGGCTTTTCACATACAAAGGCATCCGCCATCCCACCACGGGAGCCGGCCAAGGGTGGACAAGTGCATTTTGAGGCTGCTGCCCAGGTGCAAGGGGAGGGGGCGGGGCGGGCCGCAGAATGCCCCCGAACAAAGGCGCCTCCAGGGGCCTGTGCAGAGGTCACCTGCTGCCTCCAGGGCAGATTAAGGAGGACTGCAGAGGGCATTTGGAGGAAATGGTGCTGTGCTTCTTTGGGAAATCAATTCGTCCCACCCTTAATAGGGCATTTTGCCCTCCCTCTTTGGGAGTCCCAGGCGAACATGCTTCCAGGTCTCTCAAAATCAGTTATAACAGACCCACGTTTGAAGAGGCGGCACCTTTCCCTGCCTGCGTTCCTTCAATAGCCTGTGCCCCCTGAGAATCTCTTTCTGCTCTCTGCAACATCTCACTTCCCTTTTCTCTCTTCTTTGGGCTCCCCCGCCCCTCTCTACCGAGGCCTCTTTCATAATTAGGCTGAAAGTGGAACTTTCCCCCACTCCCTTACTTTGAGATTTCTTTTTTCCCAGTGACCTGGGCTGCACTTTGCCCCCACTCCCTGCCTGCCAATCTCTTCAGGGTTAGGGCCTCTCTCTTTCCATTCTTGCCGCTCCCCCTCCTTGAGAGCTCCGGGAGGCCCAGCCTCCCTGAATCCGATCGGCTTCCAACACAGCAGCCCCCCTGTGGAGGAAGGAAGAGGCCTCCTCAGAATGAATGGCTGGTAAGGAGGTTTTTAATTTGTCTGGAGCTACAAGAAAAAGGCCTCAGAGCAGCGTTCCCTCCCTCACCTCTGCCGCCCACGCTGGGCCACTCTGCCTTCCCGGTGGGCACCGAGGCCGCACCATCCCAGGCCAGGTCCATGGTGAAAGCTGGGCGGTGGGATCTGAAAATGTTGGCTTGTTGTCTGGGCATCACCTGTGCAATCTAGAATAAGGACTCGGCTTTGTATATGAAATTCTACTTTTTGATGGTTTGCAGCCTACCAATGTGAGAAAGGTAGAAGCTGAACACGATGTGACTGTCAGACTAGGTCGGAAAGTGAGCTCAGGCCATCACTGTCTTGATCTGCAGTCTGCCTTCTGATGGCCGAGCTCTCCTTGAGCTTCAGGGAATGTCACCATGCTGTTCCCAACCCAGAAGGCAGTACATTTAAAAGCTTTGCCCACCTGACCTATGGTTCCACCTCCAGGTACATTAGCCTTCATTTTCCTCCACAGGCTTTATTTTTAGGAGCAGAGGCCACATCCCTGATCCAGCCTACATTTTGAGTGGATCTCTCACTGTCCCTCTGTCTCTCTCTCAAGCAGCATCTCATGATGCCAAGCGAGAGCAAGTATGAAGCAGCTTGGAGGAGAATGAAGCCGCTCACAGCTTCTGAGTGTCCAGAGATCTTTCCTCTCTCCAGGGATACTCCTGGTTGGCCCACCTTCTGCCCCATAAGATGAGAACCTCGGCTCTGGGCTGGGTGACAGAGGTTTTGAGTCTCCAGCTTGCATTTCTGCCAGCTGTTAGTGGTTTTCCCTCACCTCACAGCCAGGTGCTGCTTCTGGGTCCTCTCACACACACCCTCACCCCCAAGAGACTAGATAAACCATCAGTGGTTACAATAATCTCAATATGAATATGATACTGTAGGTATTTATCCAGCTCTACCCTTGTGGTAGATTGGTGGGGTTGGGGAATAGCAACAGTACTTTCCAGCTCCTTCCATCAAGAAATGGACTCTTTCTTCACTCCTTGATTCTGAACTTGGCTTGGCTTGCTTTGGCCAAGGAGACATTAGTAAACATGAGTACAAGCGGAGGTTTGAAAATCACTTGTGCATTGAGGTTTGTCCTATCTTGATGTTTTTGGAACCCAGCTACCATGTGAAAAAACCCAGGCTGTGCTGCTAGACAGTGGAGACATGTGGCCTAGTCACCCCCATTATTCAGCCATGAGCCACTGAACGGCAGTGGCTCTCCCAGGAACAGCGAGGGTTGGCCTGCTTGGTTGTCTCAGTCGCAGACTTGTCTTACCAGATAAAGTATTGCAGGCTCAACTCTTTTTTCCTGGGAGTGAACAGAAAACGAGGACCAAACAGCCCCTGGGAGATGCAGCTCTGGCTGCAGCTGTGTGAGTGGGCCAGGTGAGCCAGCAGAAGAACTGCCCAGCTGAGCTCAACCCAAATTGCCTGCTCACAGAACATGAGCTAAAAATGGTGGTGTTTTAAAGCAACTACATTTGGGGCAGTCTGTTAACTAAGTGATGAGCAACCGATAACTCATGCAGTTCTAGATCTATTCTCTGGGGGTACTTTTCTGCGTCCTTACGTTTAACTTTTGATACAATGTTTTGCCTAAAATGTGGTGAGTTACATAGTGACTAACATTTCAAAAACACAAAAATAGGATGCAAGTACCACAGGCCTCATTTACCCTTCAGAAATTGAACCTATTACAGAGGCACATCACTCTCAGGCTACTGAGAGAGGACACCAGAGAAAGTGGGCTACAGGAGAAAGAACAATGAACCTTGAATCAGAATACCTAGTCCAGCCTGGACTCTACCAGTACCAAGCTGGTGATTGTAGGCAAGCTGCTTAATCTCTGTGGACATCAGTTTCCTCTTCTGTAACATAGGAGAGCTGAACGACATAATTTGAATTCCCAGTTCATGCTAACTTCTGAAGTATTTGAGATAAAAAACATTCTATTATGAGGACCAGAGATATTGGCCACCTCAGGGAGTTAGAATTCTCTGGTACTGTCAGAGAGTTGTCAGACATTTAGCTTGGCCCTAGAGAATATGTAATACATTGCAGGGGACTTTCTCCCATGAGGTTCTGGGGTGGATCCCAATGTTTCACCTTCCTCTGCCCCAGGCTGAACATTGCAGGGCTACCTCAGGTACCACTGCGGGGGAAGGGAGGAGTGGTGGGGGCCCAAACTCCTCCATTTTTATTCACTGATCTAATCAATACAGACATACTTTTATCACACTTAGGAGATAATTGCATTTTTTTTTTTTTCCAAATTGAAGGTCTGTGACAATTCTTTGAGCAAGTCTATTGGCTCCATTTTTCCAACAGCATGTGCTCACTTCATGTCTCTGTCACATTTTTGTAATTCTCACAATATTTACTTTTTCACTATTAAATTGTTATGGTGATCTGTGATCAGTAATCTTTGATGATACTATTGTAATTGTTTTAGGGCACCACAAACTGTAGCTAGATAAGATGGTGAACTTAATAAATGTTCTGGGTGCTCTAACTGCTCCAATGAAAGGCTGTTCCCTGTCTCCCTCCCTCTTCTGGGCCTCCCTATTCTCTGAGACACAACAATATTGAAATTAGCCCAGTTAATAACCCTGCAATGGCGTTTAACTGTTCAAGTGAAAGGAAGAGTTGCATGTCTCTCACTTTAAATCAAAAGCTGGAAATGGTTAAGCTTCATGAGGAAGACGTGTCAAATGTTGAGACAGGCTGAAAGCTAGGCCTCTTGTACCAGTTAGCCAAGGTGTGAATGCAAAGGAAAAGTTCTTGAAGGAAATTAAAAGTGATACTCCAGTGAACACAGGAATGATAAGAAAACAAAACAGCCTTATTGCTGATAGGGAGAAAGTTTGAGTGGTCTGGATAGAATATCAAACCAGCCACAACATTCCCTTAAGCCAAAGCCTAATCCAGAGCAAGTCCCCAACTCTCTTCAGTTCTATGAAGGCTGAGAGGTGTGGAATCTTCAGAAGAAATGTTTGAAGCTAGTGGAGGTTGATTCATGAGGTTTAAGGAAAGAAGTCATTTCCAGAACATAAAAGTGCAAGGCAAAGCAGCAAGTTATCCAGAAGATCTAGCTAAGATCACTGATGAAGGTGGCTACACTAAACAATAGACTTTCCATGTAGATGAAACAGCCTTCTATTGAAAGAAGATACCATCTAGGATTTTCATAGCTAGAGAGAAGAAGCCAATGCCTGGCTTCAGAGGACAAGCTGACTCTTTTTTTAGGGGCTAATGCAGCTTTTGGTGACTTTAAGCCAGAGCCAGTGCTCATTTACCATTCTGCAAACCCTATGGCCCTTAGGAATTATGCTGTATCTATTCCACCTGTGTTCTGTCAATGGAACAATAAAGCCTGGATGACAGCACATCTGTTTACAGCATGGTTTACTAAATATTTTAAGCCCACTGTTGAGACCTACTGCTCAAAATAAACATCCCTTTCAAAATACTCATTGACAAAATATTCATTGACAATGCACCTGTCACCTGAGGGCTCTGATGGAGATTAATGTTGTTTTCATGCCTGCTAACACAACATCCATTTGGTAGCCCATGGATCAAGGAGTAATTCTGACTTTCAAGTCTTATTTCAGAAATACCTTAAGCAAGGCTATAGCTGCCATAGATAGTGATTCCTCTTATGGATCTGGGCAAAGTCAATTGATAACTTTTTGGAAAGGGTTCATTATTCTAGATGCCATTAAGAACGTTTTTGAGTCATGAGAGGAGGTAAAAATATAAAAGTTAAGAGGAATTTGGAACAAATTGATCTTAGCATTTGTGGATGATTTTGAGGGGTGCAAGACTTCAGTGGAGGAAGTCACTGCAGATGTAGTGGAAATAGCAAGAAAACTAGAATTAGAAGTGGAGCCTGGGCCGGGTGCAGTGGCTCACGCCTGTAATCCCAGCACTTTGGGAGGCCGAGGCGGGCAGATCATGAGGTCAGGAGATTGAAACCATCCTGGCTAACATGGTGAAACCCCGTCTCTACTAAAAAATATAAAAATTAGCCGGGTGTTGTGGTGGGCGCCTGTAGTCCCAGCTACTCCAGAGGCTAAGGCAGGAGAATGGCATGAACCCGGGAGGCGGAGCTTGCAGTGAGCCGAGATTGTGCCACTGCACTCCAGCGTGGGCGACAGAGCGAGACTCTGTCTCAAAAAATAAATAAATAAAAAGTGGAGCTTGAAGATGCGACTGAATTGCTACAATCACATGATGAAACTTGAGTGGATGAGGAGTCACTTCTTAGAGATCAACAAAAGTCATTTCTTGAGATGGAATCTACTTCGGGGTGAAGATGCTGTTGAAATAATGACAAAGAATGAAGAATATTACATAAACTGAGTTGATAAAGCAGGGGCAGGGTTTCAAAGGATTGTCTCCAATTTTGAAAGAAATTTTACCGTGGGTAAAATGCTATCAGTCAGCATTGCATGCTACAGAGAAATCTTTCCTGAAAGTAAGAGTCAACTGATACAGCAAACTTTAGTGTCTTATTTTAAGAAGTTGCCACAACCTCCCGAACCTTCAGCAACCACCACCCTGATCTGTCAGCAGCCATCGACATCGAGGCAAGACCCTCCACCAGCAAAGACTGTGACTCACTGAAGGCTCAGATGAATGTTAGCATTTTTGAGCAATAAACTATTTTTAATTACAGATGTACATTTTGAAGACAATACTATTGTAAACTTAATAGACTACAGTATAGTGTAAACATAAGTTTTCTGTGTGCTGGGAAACCAAAACATTCATGTGACTCACTTTATTGTGACATTGGCTTTACTGTGGTGATCTGGAATCAAGCTCACAATATCTCTGAGGTATGCCTCTACCTGTTGTGTGCTAGGCACCCTGGGGAATCTAATACTGAACACGAAAAACCCTATTACATGTTGGAGCCAAGTGAGAAAGACAAAATGACCGCCCACACATAGCTTGCATTTGAAATGTGCCAGTGCATTTATAAAATAATTATAAATTACCAGCCAGGTGTGGTGGCTCACGCGTATAATCCCAGCACTTTAGGAGGCCAAGACAGGTGGATCACTTGAGCCCAGGTATTTGAGACCAGCCTGCGCAACATGGCAAGACCCTGTATTTATGAAAAGTAAAAAAATTTTCTGGTTGTGCTGGCGTGCGCCTGTAGTCCTAGCTACTCCAGAGACTGAACTGGGAGAATCGCTTGAACCCAGGAGGCAGAGATTGCAGTGAGCCGAGATTGAGCCACTGTACTCCAGCCTGAGTGGCAGAGTGAGACTCTATCTCAAAAAATAATAATTATTAGTAAATTATATGATAAATTCTATGAAAAACAGATAAGGTCCTATTGGTAGAGAATAATAGTGGGGCCCTACTTCAGACAGGATGGTCAGAGAAAGCCTCCCTGAGGAGGGTCTCAACTGGTGAGAAGGAGCCAGTCCCGTGAAGAGATGGTGGTGGGGCGAGGAGCCCAGACAGAGGGAGTGGGTGGTGGAGGCCCTGGGGGAGCTGAGTCTACTGCCTCTGAGGCATGGGAAGCTGGCCAGGGTGGTGGGGGCCCCATGCAGAGGGACTTGAGCTGGGCAAGGGCCAGAATGTGCAGGATTTAGTGAGTTTGGATTTTATTTGGAGGCCGAGCAGCCATTGAAGGGTTCATAGTCATGAGAATGACATAACGAGGTGCACATTTTTTAGAGGTCACTCTGAATGCTGGATGGAAAGTGGGCTAGAAGTGGAGAGTCCAGTTAGGAGACTCCTATAACGTAGGCTTGGTGAGAGAAAATAGCAGCTTGGACTGGCGACGTGAGTGACAATGGGGAAAGGGGAGCAAACCACTTCTAAGTGTGTTTGACCCCAAAGAAAGAGGAGTTGCTGGCGGTTCCTCAAAGTTTCAGGTGAAGATAAGGTTGGTCAGCCTTATCTGCACCTAATGCTGTAGGAATTCAAGTCCCTTTGCCTGTGATCTGCCTCAGCCGACCCCACCCCACCTTAAGGCCTGGGATAGGCAGAGACGTGAGAGGACGGGCCCTGGAGAGGGGATGGACCCTCCACATGCTTCCACTTTCTGCTGCACAGGCTGCAAGTTCATAGCACTTGGGAACATGGAGGGTGGGGGGTCTTTGTATCCCATTGCCTTCTTGGCCCCCGAGATGGGCCCTGTCTAACATCCTCTTATACTCTCGGAGAGGGAGGTGGCAGTGGCTAAATAGGTTGGGGCCACAGGATAAGAAGTCCATTTCTGCTCTTTCCATAGATAGAAACCCTAGGCTTTGATTCACATTGTTTTTCTGGGCATCCAGCACTGCAGTGGAAATGTCTGCTCTTGGGGTTTCTCAAGGAAAGACCCATGGAGGCCAGAGCTGGCCTCTGTCCAGGTCGTGGCACCCCACATTGCTGGAGAGATGCAAAGCAAGTACTTGCTGATGTGGCAAGATTTCAGGAGCACAGGAAAGCTCTTGGGTGGGAAAAATGTGTCACTGATGTGAAAATTCCACCAAGAGAACATCTGCCCCTTAGCTCTAGTGAGGGGTTGCTGTGAGCTAGGCTGTCCTCAAGAGAGGTAATACTCTCATGGTCCTTTGTGTACACGAGCTGAGAATAGGCCTCACTGTGGGGGAGGGGAGCAGAGGACACTGGGAACCCAGATGAAGTAAAGGGACCCCAAGAACTGGCAAAGGAACAGAAATGGGAGAATTTTAGTGTGAAGAAACCACTCCTGGCCGAGCATGTGACTCATACCTGTAATCCCAGCACTTTGGGAGGCTGAGGCAGGTGGATCACCTAAGGTTGGGAGTTCAAGACCAGCCTGACCAACATGGAGAAACCCTGTCTCTACTAAAAATACATAATTAGCCGGGCATGGCGGTGCATGCCTGTAATCTCAGCTACTCGGGAGGGCTGAGGCAGGAGAAGTGCTTGAACCCAGAAGGCTGAGGTTGCGGTGACCCGAGATTGTGCCACTGCACTCCAGCCTGGGCAACAAAAGTGAAACTCTATCTCAAAAACAAAACAAAACAAAACAAACATTCATCAGCTTCACAGAGTGATCTGGGGCCAGGAGGGCTGTCCTCATTCAACCTGGCACACACCTTCTGCAAGTCCTTCCTGCACACAGGAATGTGAGAACAAAGCAGGTGGAAGGCCCTGCCCATGTGGTGCTTATAATCTAGTAGGGGAGACAGAGCATGTCCTCAAATATGCCAGATCAATGGAAGAGGAGGGGACTGGCTGAGGGTTGTTAGAGATCAGAAGAAGGAGCAACTACCTTATGGGAGAGGAGGCAGAATTGGTATTAGCCTTTGAAAGTTGTGGAAGTGGAAAGAAAGGGCATACCAGGGGCTTGAAGCTCATGAGCTGAGGCCCACAGGAAGATTTCAGGAAATGTTTGACTTGGCAGGAATGTGGAGTTCAATGGGGTAAAGATTATCCATTCACTCATCTCATAGATACTCCCTGAATGCCTAAGAGGTTTCAGACAGTCCGGGGAGAGCAGCGAACAAGATGGACAAAGTCCCTGATCTCAAGGAGCCAACACTTCAGTAGGAGGAGAAAGGCAACAGAAATGTAGACAAATAAGACTGGTTCAAATTGGGATAGAGGCAGTGAGGACAATAAAACGAGGTGATGTTTTAGAAAGTGACTGGGCTTCCTTTGGATCCGAGGTCAAGGAAGCTGTCTCTAAGGCAGCAGCATTTTAGTTGAAACCTAAATGACAATGAAGTCAACCTTTCAAGATTGAGGGGAAGGCCATTCCAGGCAGAGGCAGTGGCAAGTGCAAAGGCCCTGAGGCAGGAGCAAACCTGCAGACGCGCAGGGAGCAGAGCAAGGCATCTGCCAGGGAGTGGCATCCGCCAGGGAGTGTGCAGGCCCAGTTGTGCAGTGCAGGACCTTGTAGGCCATGGAGGGGAAGCTGGACTTCATTTCAATGGGAAGCCACTGGAGGATCCTAAGAAGGGGAGTGGCATGGTCTGATTCTTATGTTTATTTTTTATTTTATTTTATATTTTGAGATGGAGTCTTGCTCTGTCACCCAGGCTAGAGTGCAGTGGCATGATCTCGGCACACTGCAACCTCCGCCTCCTGGGTTCAAGTGATTCTCCTGCGTCAGCCTTCTGAGTAGCTGGGATTACAGGCACCTGCCACTGTACCCAGCTAATTTTGTATTTTTAGTAGAGGGTTTCGCCATCTTGGCCAGGCTAGTCTCGAACTCCTGACCTCGTGATCCACCCACCTCGGCCTCCCAAAGTGCTAGGATTACAGGCATGAGCCACTGCGCCTGGACTATTTTTTTATTTTTTTGAGACAGAGTCTCACTCTGTTGCCCAGGCTAGAGTGCAGTGGTGCGATCTTGGCTCATTGCACCCCCCACCTCTTGGTTCAAGTGGTTCTCCTGCCTCAGCCTCCTGAGCAGCTGAGATTACAGGCACATGCCACCACGCCCGGCTAATTTTGTATTTTTAGAAGAGATGGGATTTCACCATATTGCCCAGTCTGGTCTCTAACTCCTGAGCTCAGGCAATCCACCCACCTCGACCTCCCAAAGTGCTGGGATTATAGGCCTGAGCCACCACGCCCGGCCTGATTCTTAGAACCTTACTCTGGCTGCTGTGAGGAGAATGGGTGAGGAAGAAGGCCCAGTGAGAGGCTGTTGCAGCCACGCTGGCAGGTAGTGGCGGGGACAGGAGGACACACAGAGCCAGCTGAGGGCTGGGGAGTGAGAAAGGAGAGTAAGAACGCTGGAATTTATTTGGGAGCAATGGGGGCCCTGGGGGCTGCTTACCTGATGTCACCCATCCAAGGACCTGGAGTGATGATGCTCCTGCACTGGTGGGTGCAGATGTGGAAGCACAGTCCTAGGTCTGTCTTTGGTGTGTGTGCCGAGTGCAGGAGTGCAGGACTTTCCTAGGGCTCCCTGTTAGACCTTGGAGCCCAGGGCCGATGTGCTGCCCGGAGGTGGGGTCAGTGCCTCACTCGCTGAGGTGTGGCAGCAACTGGCACCTGGTGAGCAGTCGGTACAGCATGGCTGATTGACAGGAAGGCCAGAGGGAGGAGGCTGGACAAGTGCCCACTCAAGACATATCTCTGGCTCCATCTCTACCCTCTTTTCTGAGCTGCATTCCGGAGTTGGTGAAATGTCACAAGCCTCCTAAGAGCAACTCTAAAAATTGTCTTTGGAGGTCACATTTTTTATAATCATGGAACTATTTAAAGGACAGAAAACACTGGCTGAGAATTGGAAGGACCCCAAGGGAAATAGGAGCTCAGATTCATTGGGCACCTAACTGTATTAAATCAGGAAAATGAGGCTCAGAGAGGTGAGACAACCTACCCAAGGAGAGGCCAGTTGGCTGCCTGGCCACCTCTGCCCAGATGAATCCTGGCCACTCTGCCTGTGACCTTCTTGCCCAGAGGAAAGGCCCACCTAAAAAGAAGGCTTCCAGGTGAATTCAAATGCAAAGGAAGAGAAGGGTGGCATCACCCATGCTTGGTTCTCAGCCTGGCAGCGCTGTTAAAGCAAACGAAGAGTTGAAAACTGTTTCTGAGCAATGAGCCCTTAGAGCTGGGGCTGTGATGTGTATGAGTTGGGCAGATGTGAGACAGTCTATCCCACCAGATGCAGGCACATCTGATTCTCAGCCACCATCTAAAGTGGCGTGCCAAGCCTTCATTCCCTGCCTCACACATGGTGCTCATGCGCACACCCACACCCACACCCTGCCTGAAAAGAAGCTTTCCCTGGGCTTTAGGCTCTGGCCTCCCAAGACCTCAAGCAGTAGCCAATGGTTGGGTGATCCTGGTAGCCATCTCTAAAATCACCTTAGATGTCACTTTTGCCTTGGGACTTGATTGCCAACCCCTGAAATAGGTGTTGGGAGCGTGGTTAGAATTTCTCCTGTGATATCAGCACTGCTCCAGCAGCTGCACCCACCCACGTCGTGGGGTCACTTGCGGCCTGCACAGTAGGACCAAAGTGAGGCTCTAGAATCTCCAGGACAGCAATGCCAAAAGATATTTCTTTCCCATATTCCCTTCCATTCTTCATTGGCAAGGTAGAAACCAAATTTTTGACAGAGAAATTAGATGTGTCAGTGATTCACCCCCTTACAGTGTGATTAAGCTGCTTTTGATCATCTGTGCTAGATGTAAAGACTACGAAAATTCAGGAAAATAGAAGTGTTAAGGAAATAGAGCCAGCACATCAACATGTTAGGACTGATTTCCATCTTCGGGAGGACAGAACAAAAGATGGGTCTTCACCAGGAAGCAAGGGACAAAAAGAAGCCCAACAATCAGCTGATGTGCTGTGAGTAGGGACAAGAAAACTGCACAGAGAATCTGCGGATAAATTATTCCTGGGTAATTCTGACTCTTGATGCAGAGGAGCCCACACAGAACTCTGTCTCACAGGTGCTGGTTGCCTGGCTGCCTGGTTGCCAAGTAGAGAAGGAAGATACAAAAAATTCTGTTCCCTTACAGTGCACTTGACGTCACTACAGTAATTTTTTTTTAAATCAAGCACATTTAGACATTTCTTCCTTTTAGACATTCTCTTTGAAGAATCAAAGAGGGAGGAATTTGGGTGCGGTGTGAGGCAGCATACAATTCTCAGAGGACCCCTGGGCTGCCTGTGCGTCGTGAGCAGTGGGCTGGGGGAGAGAGCTCCCATCCTAAAGGCTTTGTAGCTTGCAAGGCTCAGAACAAACAGATTTTAGTTCATTGCTTATCTGATCAGTATTCACTTCCTAGATTTTTTTTTCAGTTAGGACTACATTCTTTATTGTCAATTGAATATTAATGATTTGGAATTTTCCACCTTTGATACTGGCAACGAAAGGTGCTAACCTGACATCAACAACCCAGGACTCTTCCCTTGAGTTTGCTGCAAGGGGTCTCCAGAAAGGGGCTGATGGGAGTGAGGTGTTTACCCAGCTCCTTCCATCCCAAATTAAATATTCAAATTGGGTTTGTTCTGGGGCATTGTTAAGGCTTGAGCTTTAATTTAATGGAAATGGCATTGTCCCTGGAAGAAAGGTTTCATTAGGCCAGGCCGCAAACTTTTCCCATTATCCTCTGGAGGAAACAATCTGGGTGACAGCCTGCCCGTCATAATCCCCGCTCCAGATTTATGGTGACAAAAGACTCTTAATACTGAAAATGTTCGGGGGGAGGAGAAACACTTCCCAAACAAGAAGTCTCTCCTTTCCAGGCCAGGTAACAAAGGGTCAGGAGGAATTTGGTGGGGGCCTCCTGGCCACCTGCCGGTTAAGCCCATGGTCAGTAGATTAACTGCAGCTCTGACTGAGTGTTTAGAAAGGCAAGTTACATGGCAGAGCAAACAAAATTCAGACTGTGCTTTACACATGGTAATCCCAAATTTAATAAGGCTTCACCACTGGGAAGCCAGAGCCCAAAAGGTAGCTGAGGTGTGGGGCTCTATTGTTCCCAGCCAGGGTTGTCGCCATTGGTTGTCTGAGCAGCCTCTGGGCCCACCCCCCTGGGGGTCTGTGGCCTCAGCTAAGAAAATTCCTCCTGGCCCTTTGGGGGGAGTCTGTTGTTTTCCTTCCTGCCAAGCTTCACCGGCCTTGTCCAGAGTCAAGTCACAACTTTGCCTGAACAAAGTCCCTGCAGAAGGCTTGGGTGGTCAGAAGGCCATATGAGCTTCCAGCCCTGTGGGCTGCACCAGAATCCGCCTCCCTGACCTGTGGGCTCATCATGGATGGGGCTGAGGCTTCACGAAAGAGTCCTGGGAAGTCTGTGATCCAGCCTTGGTCAAAGCTGCTGAGGGCCCAGATGTTTGTGCCCTGTTGAATTTCAGGCCTCTAAGGTGGGGGGTATGTGGGGTAGGTGTGAGTTATTTCTGAAATTATAATGAGCTGAAGGAATGTTTCTCTGTGGCCATCTTCCTGATTGTATTAGTCCATTTTCACACTGCCGATGAAAACATACCCAAGACTGGGTAATTTATAAAGAAAAAGAGGTTTAATGGACTCACAATCCCATGTGGCTGAGGAGGCCTCACAATCATGGTGGAAGGCAAAAGGCACTTCTTACATGGCGGTGGCAAGAGAGAATGGGAGCCAAGCAAAAGTGAAACCCCTTATAAAACCATCAGATCTCATGAGACTTATTAACTACCACGAGAACAGCATGGGGGAACCGCCACCATGATTCAATTGTCTCCCACTGGGTCCCTTCCACAACACATGGGAATTATGGGAGCTACAATTCAAGATGAGATTTGGGTGGGGACACAGCCAAACCATATCAATGATCATTCTTCATTGAGCAGCTATTTATCACCTACCTGCTATGTGCCAGGCACTGTGTTCAAATGCTCAGGACATTAAGGTGAAACAGAAAATAGACATGATCTTGCTTCACAAGGACCACAAACTGAGCTAAGTGCTGCAAAGGAGAGAATAATTGTCCCATGAGCCCATACAATACAGGGACTTCACTGAGTCAAGGGGAACAGGGAGGACTTTTCTAAGGAAATGAGCCACAGCAGAGATCTGAAGGGTACCAAGGGGCTAAGCCAGGCTGATGATGGGAGCAGAAGGGAATGCAGGGTGAAGGGAAGCCCACCAGTGTGGTAGAGTGTCTCAACAAGATGTGTACAAGTTGTATACAAGGAAGCTGGCCTCCTTCATTCTGACTCCTGGGGATCACAAGCCTGCACAAGAAGAAATGTGGGAAAAGCAGGGAATCTGGGAAAAACTAAAAATACAAAAATTAGGTGAGCATGGTGGCTTGTGCCTAGGAATCGCATCTATTCAGGAGGCTGAGGCAGGAGAATCGCTTGAACCTGGGAAGTGTTCCTAGTTTATGTGTATCATTTGTAAGAGGGCCACGGGATGCCGAGAATCTGTAAACAATTCCTGAGGAAACCCTAAACCTCAGGTGAACCTCCTGGACCTGGGCACCAAGCTGCTGAAAGATGAAGCAATTAAAAATGAAAAAACAATGTTCAAAAAGATAGTTTTCTGAATCTCCTTATTGTTCAAGATGGAAACCCAGTACACACATTTGCCTCCCATCTTTCCAGAAATCTTGCTGAAATAGTTTTAGAATTCCAAAAAGACATAAACCCATAATACTAAGGAGAGGAGGAGGAGGTCACCCACAGATAAGAGATGTAAGCAGATTTCTGGAATATGTGAAGTGTATGGGAGACATTATTAGAGGAAACAGCTGATGACGGCCACATAAAATGCTCTATGGAGGGGCAACAGAGAAGATGGAAGCCGGTTCACCCAGGAAACCTCAGAAAGATTCAGGAAAGGTATGTACACAATTGCACAGTAAATCCACACCATCTATAGTGCTTTTATTTTCCAAAATTTGGGTTTACTGTGATGACTGAGGAGGCATAAATGGAGAAATGAGGAGAACCATTTGCATGAATGAAATATATGAAAATAAACAAGCAGTTACCTAGTGCAGTGGCATGTATCTGTAGTCCTAGCTATTCTGGAGGCTGAGGCAGGAGAATCACTTGAGCCTGGAAGTTTGAGGACAGTTTGGACAATGTAGCAAGACCCTATCTCTTAAAAAAAAAAAACAGAAAAATATCACTTCTGGGGAAACAGAACTTAAAGAACAGATTACTCAAAAATTTTTTTAGAATTCTCGAACAGAATTGGGAAGATAATACATTCTAAAAATGGGATCTTGAGAACAGAATGAGCTCTTGGAAATTAAAAATGCAATTGGTGAAATAAAATAGTAGAAGGACTAAAAAGTTGAAATATCACAAAGCATAGAGCAGAAAGACAAAATGAGAAAATATGAGGGGGAAAATAATAAAAGACATATGTAATAATCCAAGATCTAAAAGGCATCCTAGAAAGAAAAAAGAAGTAAAGGGGAGAGAATTCTCAAAGCACAGAAGAACATTTCCTAGGGCTGAATGAGAATAGTCCTATGAAAAAGATCCACAACTAGACATAATCCAGGTAAAATTTCAAAACATGAAGTAAAAAGAATAGATTGTAAAAGTCTCCAAAGCAAAAGAGCCGGACACCTACAAATAAGCAGCAGTCAGAATGGCATCAGACTTCTCAGCAACACTAGATGCTGGAAAATAATGGGTGCTGAGGGAAAACGGTTTTCAGTCTAGAATCCTATACACAAACTATCCACCAAGAAGAGGACAACAGGAGAGTTTTCAAACAAACAGGTACAGAAAGTTTACCTCCAACAGGCCCTTTCTTAGGAAGTTGCTGGAGCAAGTTACTCCTGCAAAAGCAGGACATAAGATGGGAGAGAGAAGAAAATCTGAGGTTGAACTTAGGAAAGCCATAAAGAGTCTCAAGGGGACAGCTGTGCAGCACCTTGGAGAGCAGCCAGCCATACTGCTGTGGGATCACAGAAGACTTAAGAGGAACAGGGGAAAGGCAATTATTAGTAGATTAGAGAACATAATTCATTTAAAATTCAGATTTAAAATAACACAGAGCTGAGCATGGTGGCATGTGCCTGTAGTCTCAGCTACCCAGGAGGCTAAGGTGGGATGATAGTTTGAGCCCAGGAGTTCAAGCTCAGCCTGGGCAACATAGCAAGACCCTGTCTCTAAAAAAAAAAAAAAAAAAAAAAAAACACACACAAAAAAACAAAAATGAAAAGAAAATTAACATAATAGCAAATAATGCAAGCAAGAATAAAGGCATCTGGAAACCCTATGGAGAAAAATTGGGTTAAAAAAAAGTCAAGCTCTGAATATGAAGCAAACTAGGAGACATGATATGAAGCAACTGACGAAGTATAAGCAATGAGAATCCTTTTGACTTGGTGCTGGAAATACACTCTTTTTAGAGGTCCAGTGATCATGACACTGAACTTGAAGAGCAGGAAGTATAATCCTAATATTACTATTAGTAAATAAGAATTACATAATAATACAATGAAGCCAATGTGATCAGTTTCCCATTTTAAGACTCAACCTTTAAACAAAGCTTAGAAAACTAGGGTGTGTGCATCTGACAAAGGGCTAATATCCAGAATCTACAAAGAACTTAAACAAATTTACAAGAAAAAATTAACCCCATCAAAAAGCGGGCAAAGGATATGAACAGACACTTCTCAAAAGAAGACACTTATGCAGCCAATAGACACATGAAAAAATGCTCATCATCACTGGCCATCAGAGAAATACAAATCAAAACCACAATGAGATACTATCTCACACCAGTTAGAATGACGATCATTAAAAAGTCAGGAAACAACAGGTGCTGGAGAGGATGTGGAGAAATAGGAACGCTTTTACACTGTTGGTGGGACTATAAACTAGTTCAACCATTGTGGAAGACAGTGTGGCAACTCCTCAAGGATCTAGAACTAGAAATACCATTTGACCCAGCCATCCCATTATTGGGTATATACCCAAAGGATTATAAATCATGCTGCTATAAAGACACATGCACACGTATGTTTACTGCAGCACTATTCACAATAGCAGAGACTTGGAACCAACCCAAATGTCCATCAATGATAGACTGGATTAAGAAATTGTGGCACATATACACCATGGAATACTATGCAGTCATAAAAAAGGATGAGTTCATGTCCTTTGTAGGGACATGGATGAAGCTGGAATCCATCATTCTGAGCAAACTATCACAAGGACAGAAAACCAAACACCACATGTTCTCACTCATAGGTGGGAATTGAACAATGAGAACACTTGGACACAGGAAGGGGAACATCACACACCGGGGCCTGTTGTGGGGTGGGGGGAGGGGGGGAGGGATAGCATTAGGAGATATAGCTAATGTAAATGATGAGTTAACAGGTGCAGCACACCAACATGGCCCATGTATACATATGTAACAAAACTGCATGTTGTGTATATGTACCATAGAACTTAAAGTATAATAAAAAAATTTAAAAACTAGGGTGTGTGGCAGGACAGAATAGAAACTTTAACCTTAATAATGTAAAAGTACAACTGTAGTGGCAGAAGGTGGGATGTAGAAAGGAAAAGAAAGGTTAGAGGAGAGGATATTTGTAATAATATCCTCAACTTGCAAAGCAGATAGTCAAGAGGCACTGGGGAAAGTTGACGGATCCATAAATATAGGTTTAAACATTTTATCAAAGTTACAAAGGCAAACCATAGAAGACAGGAATATCTAAATACTGAACATTGAAATTCACACTCAGAATTCCACAGATACCTGAAAAAATGGTAAATGAAGAAGTAGAAATAAAAGTATATTACAAGTATAATGGGTATATGTTATATGGGGAAATCCACCTAGGGCCAGATAAAATATAATATTATGCAGTATTTGGGACGTATCTATTCATTGTTTATCTGACATTTGAATTTGACAGGGCATCCTGTATTTTTTTTTTCTCCTAAGTCTAGCAACCCTAGATCCACTAGAGGAACTAAAAATCAAAAGTGTGCAGGCTGGGCACGGTGGCTCATGCCTGTAATCCCAGCACTTTGGCAGGCCAAGGAGGGTGGATCACCTGAGGTCGGGAGTTCGAGACCAGACTGACCAACATGGAGAAACCCCGTCTCTACTAAAAATACAAAATTAGCTGGGCATGGTGGCACATGCCTGTAATCCCAGCTACTAGGGAGGCTGAGGCAGGAGAATCACTTGAACCTGGGAGGTGGAGTCTGCGGTGAGCCAAGATCATACCATTGTACTCCAGCCTGGGCAACAAGAGCGAAACTCTGTCTCAAAAAAAAAAAAGTATATACTACTTGATCTGTAACTGTAGGTTTGCATTATTTTGATAAGAATAAAAAATTTCAGATGTGTTCAGTGCATTTAGGAAATCAATCCCTTATTTTGAATATATATAGGAAGAGGCATATTTATTAAATCAGCCTTGCCCTGTCCCACTTAATACATTTTAAGCAAGTATTTAAAGAATATTAGTTTGCAAGGATTCCATTTGTAAGCCTGTCAGGCACCAACAGGACTTAGGTGCTTTGGTCAAGTATGTGCCAGATGCTGTGGGAGGTTGCTGGGTCTAGGAACTGGCGAAGAGACAAGATATATATTGTGTACAGAACAGCTAACTCTTTAAGGGAGGTTGGCTTCTATTGAAGTCAGATGATTGCGGGAAAATGGTGGTAAAGGTGGTGACTGCTAAGTGCTACAGGGGCTGAGCTGAGGGAGCAGGTGAAAAGCAGAACAGGGTTGGTGATGAAGATGAGGCTTAGAGGAAGAGGAGGAGGGTTTGGAAAAGGAAGAGGCAGCGATTCTAGCGCCTGCTTTTAAAGACCCTGATTTAAACCACACCTTAGGGCTGGGCGTGTTGGCTCAAGACGGTAATCCCAGCACTCTGGGAGGTCGAGGCAGGTGGATTGCCTGAGCTCAGGAGTTCAAGACCACCCTGGGCAACATGGTGAAACCCTGTCTCTACTAAAATATAAAAAATTAGCCAGACATGGTGATGCTCGCCTGTAATCCCAGCTACCTGGGAGGCTAAGGCAGGAGAATTGCTTGAGGCCAGGAGGCGGAGGTTGCAGTGAGTCAAGATCATGCCACTGCACTCCAGACTGGGTGACAGAGTGAGACTCCATCTCAAAAAATAAAAAAAAAAGCCACACCTTAGCAAAGCATTAGCTGTCTGCCTGCCCCCAACCTCTCCCAAATGCACCCCAACGAGCACCCACTTTTTGTGGGTCTCCAAACCTTCAAAAGGCTACTCAACCAGTGGATAAATGTCCAAGAGACCTTCCAAAGTGATGAATCAATGGTCAAGAGGTGATGGGGAACCACTGCTTTGGCTGGGTCTAAGCAAACCCTGGCTAGAGGTCTCCCAGGCCTGGCGGGCCGAGAAGATTAGCCTAACCCCTAGGGAAAAGTCCCTTCCCTGATCAACTCAGTGCGAGGTGTTAACCTTGTTTGAATCCTGATTTGAAACACCATCTGCCAAAGTTCATTTCTAAGCCAAATGAGGAAATTTGAACATTGCCTCAATATTGGTAGGATTGAGAAACTACCGCCAATTTTTTAAAGTAATGAACTATGGTTGTGCTTTTAAAGGAGACTTTAAATATTCGGAAATACTTATATCTACATATTTGAGAATTAATTTAGTATAATCCAATGTGGTCTTGCCGCAGGGGGTTGTGTGTTAAAACTATTGGCTATAAATTCTTGTACTTTAGTATGTGTTTAAAATTGTCAATAATAAAATTCCTCACTTAATATTCCTTGCTCTCTCTATAGATAACAGTCCCTTAGACTTGCTTAGCATGTATGGGTTACATTTATATCAAATTACCCTCGTGATCCCTGGAATACTCCAGTTGGGCAGTTAGGAAGTTTTTACTGATGAGGAAACAGAAAGACAAAGGCACACGAAGGGCTGACTTGGAGAGAGGTTCTCCCTCCTCTCTCAGGACACCTAAAGGTGGCAGGAAATACCTTCATGGCTTACAGAATATTTTACCTTTCTGAGTGCTCAATAATAAGTACTCCTGGCACCACTTTGTTTCTTTATTCAACATATAGCTGTTGAGCATCTGCTGTTTGTCATACTTTCCAGGGTGGCAGAGATAGAGATACCAGACATTTTTCCTACTTCCAGTTCTTCAGATATTTTTCCAAAATCAGATGGGATATTTTGCCCCAAATCTGAAGACCCTTTAACTAGAAACTCCCTAGAGAGGAAAAAACCACAGCCCTAGCCCCTGCCCATACCCAAGAGCCTTAGCTCATTCCTAGATACCAAATCACAGGGCAGGCCCCATTGATTCTGACTCCTGCAATTCCTGTCCTTCCCTCCCGGGAAAGACTCAGCAGGGCAGGGAACCTATGCTTGGGACAAGAACATCTTCCCCATGACCTTCACTGGAGGCCCCCAAAGCAGAACTTGAGCACCCCCTTGGTCTGCCGCTGTCTTCCATGTGGCAATACCCAATTGCCCAAGGGCAACAAACATTCTAGGACCTGGCCCCTAGGCACCTGACAGGCAGCCACCTTGCCACTGCAATGGCCCCAGCTCCCACTTCCCTGGGTTGCTGGAGGGTTTCTTACGTCAGCTAGGTTGCCCCTCCTCCACCCCGTAAACACCCCGTAAAAGAGAGACTCCAGCTGTCTCTCTTCCTTGGACAGCCTCCGTCAGCCAGGCATTTTGTGGTTCCTCCTCAGCACTCAGCACTGTGCCACCATCCTCCTCCTCCCCATGGGGCTGAAACAGCCATGGCTGATGTCTCCAGGGAGCATCTCATGAAGAGACCCCATGATGGGTGGTGCTTAGACAGCCATTGTTCCTACTCTGGCTTCCCTAGCCTGCTTTCCTCCAGCCCCGCATACTGTTCCCCTTCCCTTCCCTCTGTCTTCCTCAGTCAGTACCTACCTTCTGTCCCACAGGCTGGCCAATGACTTCACTGTCCCATCTCCTCAGGGATCACTCTGGAAGACCCTCTCATAGCTGAGGGGGCTGGCCTCCGAGTTCTCCACAAGTGGTGGGCTCTGGCCCTCTTCCCGCCATGTACCAGCTTGTTGGCCTGTCCTTTGTCTCTTCCTTCAACTTAGCTTGAGCCAGCTCACTGAGTAGGGACAGTCACATCCAATTCAAGACCTTCCCACTGTTCATGTTTCTTTTCCTGGAGCCAGGATTTTAAATTTGAGGTGGATTTATTGGGCATTTACTATATGCTAGGAAATGTGCTAAATACTTTTGTACATTATTTCGTGTAATCTGCCAAACAATGAGGTTTTTAAATTAAATTTCCTCTAAGACATCTGAAGATACTATTATCTTAGGCTTAGAGAGGGTAAGGAGCTTGCAGAACCAAGGTTTAAACCCAGGCGGTTCATCTCCAGAGAAGGCTTGAAGGCTGAATAAAGTGAGTAGCAATTACATCATAAATAGAACCACCCATGGACATAAGGAGATCCAAACTCTACTCTCACCTCTGCCATGAAACAGATGTGGGCAAATCATTTAATCACTCTGAGCGTCACTTTTTTCATCTTCAAAATGTGCATTGGAGAAGCAGGGCTAACAGACACTCTCTCGTGGGATGCAGTGTAACACAATGATTAAGCATGTGGATTCTAGTGCTAGGTTGTCTGGGTTCAAATGGTAGTTCTATTCATGAATTATGTGACCAAATTGCCTTGTGTCTCAGTTTCCTCATCTGTGAAATGGGTATGATGATAACAGTACCTATGGCATAGCATTATGGTGAGAACTAATTGGTGCATATCTGGTAGAGCAGTGCCTGGCATATAGCCACCATTAATATCATTATTATTATTATAACGAATGGTCTCTTCCATCAAAATTCTATTATTTTAGGATGCATTCAAATTTTTTTTTTTTTGAGACAAGAGTCCTGCTGTGTCACCCAGGCTGGAGTGCAGTGGTGTGATCTCAGCTCACTGCAACCTCCTCCTCCTGGGTTCAAGCGATTCTCCTGCCTCAGCCTCCCAAGTAGCTGGGATTACAGATGCCTGCCACCATGCCCAGCTAATTTTTGTATTTTTAATAGAGATGGGGTTTCACTGTGTTGGCCAGGCTGGTCTCGAACTCCTGACCTCAGTGATCCGTCTGTCTCGACCTCCCAAAGTGCTGGGATTACAAGCATGAGCCACCACACCCGGCCTGCATTCAAACTTTTAGCACCATTCTTAATGTAGCCAGAGTTTTCATGTTTAGAAATCAGGAGTTAAAGCCTCGTCTTTAATAAGAAAAATCCTCACACTTATACAGTAAGTCACTCCCTTCAAAACACATGCACATATAATTTTACATTAGGACCTCATAATTCTGGTAAGTCAGCAATAAAACTGTACATTTGTGCAGCTCTTCACAGTGACTGATGCATTTGAACCCACTTCCATTCACTTTGGCCCCACCCCACACTATGAGGCAGGCAGGATAGGCAATGTGGCCACTCAGGGACAAGGAAGCCTTCAGTCAGATGTAGTAGGTGACTTGCTTGAGGTCACACATTAATGGGCAACTGAACCAGCCTTGATGCTGAAAGATCCTAATTTCCAGTCTAGAAATCTCTCCAGAAAGAAATCTCTCTCTGTTCTGCAAGGTACTTTGTGCTTATATGTGTGTTGGGTCCCCGCAGACCTGAACCAGAATGTGGGTAGAATTCACCCCTGGCAAAAAGAGCTCCTCTCTTGTAACCACGGACTTAACCAGTCTTTATCTAGAATGGAATCCCCTTTTCTAGAGATTGTAGGTACCTAGGGTCACTGTTACCTCACAAAGGGTGGAAAAAAGAGGGGAAAAGGCCCTGGGCTCAGAAACACCCCTGTTCTCATCCCTGCGCTGGCCCTTGATAAGCTTTGTGGCCTTGGGCAAATCATGAGAGCTGTCTAAACTCTCTGAGAAATGTGGACGGGCACAACCACTTTGTCGGGAAGCTGAAAGCATTAGCAATGACACGTCGTAGGCATCAAGGAGGCGTTCAATAAATGGTAGTTTAAAAACAAAACAAAACAACAACAAAACTCCTTTCTCCAGAAGGCCAGTATGGCTGACAGACCAGCCTCTGGCCTCACTTCTGCCCTTGGAGATGCTGGCGCCCAGAAAGGCAGCAGGCAACGCAGACAGGTGACTTTCAGTCCTGAAACATATATTCTCACGTTGGGTACCTGCTGTTTTTAATGACTAATTTTTTCCCCCTGATACAGCCATCATTTAGCAAATACCAGGGCTAGTTATTAATTTAAAAACACCTTCAGCCTGTGCTTACAGAAACTGCCATTTCCCCCCTCGGGAATGAGTTTTTCGTTATGTTTTTAAAATTAGCTGGCGCTTGAATTTCATTTTCCATCCAAGCTTCCCTGTTATCTGTAAGGTCACAGAAACACATAGGCCGCGGACAGTCCAATCCCAGATATTAGGCTCCCGGAATTAAAAGCTGAAATAAGTAAATAAAGAGAGAACGCCCAGGGATTTTTTCAGAGCAGAAAGCCGGTCCCCAGCGTGACGCGGAAGCCAGGTTGCCTCCTCAAGTGACTCTTCCCTTACATTTGGAGGTGAAGGCTGAGGAAGAAGAGGTGACAGAGAAGGAAAAAGGCCTGTGCCCTATATCGCCAAGATCTGTTTCTTCTCCGCTCAGCAACGTGAAAGAATGAGAATGCATTCTGGAGGAAGAAGGGAAAAAAAAAAAAAAAAAAAAAACAAGCGCTGATTGTCCCTTTAAGCCATTTCAATCACAGTCTCGCAGTTAAAATAATGCTCACCTACTGCGCTTCCAACTGGGCCATCTACCTTTTCCGCCGGGTCAGGCCCAGTCAAGCCTGAGGAGGCGGCCGCGGCCCTCGTGAGCCCGCTCTAGGCCCGGTTACACCTGTTTATCACCAAGTCGCTTCATTTCCCTTCCCCTCCTCCCTGCTTGAAAAGGAGCATTAATTAAACCGGTAAACAAGCCGGCTCCCATTCTAAATCAGAGCTGCAGGCAAAGGAGAGATAACTTAGGCTCCGGAGAAGAGGGATTTTCAGTTAATTTATGGAATCCACCGTCACACTCTCTCCGAGCAGCCAGCTCCCCGCTTAACGGGGAAATTGAAGCAGACAGCCTTTGTCTAAACACTTCTTTTGCCCAGAATATCTTAATTTTCCTATTTGAATGTTTAATAAGGTTTGGGGTGCAGCAGCTTCCTTTTAATTGTGACGGTGCGGCCGCTTGGGCGTGATCCCTTGGCTGGGGCTGCAGGGGGCCCGTCCTCCAGGGGCGCAGAGGGAAGGACCAGCGTTTCCAAGCCGGGCTCTGGCCGCCGGCGCGAGAGCGAGGCCAAGGTCTGGGGGCAGTTCAGGGGGACCCCGAAGTCGGGACGGCCCAGAAACGCTTTGCCCACAGCCACCGCCCTTTCCTTTGTGAGTTTCCCCAAAGCCGTCGGTGCGACCCGGCGCCGACTCTCCTCCTCTTCTCCCTGCGAGGGCCCGCGCCGCCCGGGCCCAGTCCTGGGGGATAGATCCCTCGGGGCCCAACGGCTGGGCCACCGCCGGTCTCCGGCCACTGCTGCGAGGACAGGCGCTGCCTAACTAATTTCTCCTCTAAGGGGGCTGTGCGTGCGTCTCCTTCCCAACTGATGTCTGGAATTTCACAGTGTAAGTGGGATTCCCACTGAAATTGTAGTTTTCCTAAGATTACAGACAGTCCAAGAAAAACAGCTCGGTACGTCTTTGTCATTTCCTCTGTAAACCTTCAGGAAACAACACAGGAACGTCTTACATAGACTTTAAGTCAGCCTGCTTTTCCGGGTGGCGTATCCAGTAATCATGTTGACAAATTAATGGTAGAGAATTAGTTGTACATTAAAGATTTAAATTATATTATGCAGCACATTGTCATAAAGTGATATAAAACAATAGGAAAATAAATGTAAATGAATTCAAGTTACTGACATGTAAAACGCCAGACTGACATCTGTACACTTAGCTACTCGCTCAGCCGCGGTGGCGGGGCCCGCGCGGTCCCTCCGCAGACTCGCGGGCCGGGGGAGGCCCTGCTGCGGCGCCGCGGCGTACCAAGGGTTAAGCGGCGCGGCTCGCGGCCCTCCCGGCTCCCCTCCCCTGCGTGTTGATTTTCAGGCCCACCGAGCCGCCCGAGAAAGTTTTCAATTCGATGGGGCTGCAGCGTCTCAGGGGCTGAGCTCCTTAGAAAGCTTCGGGGGCCCCCGAGGGCCGCCTTGCGGGGAGGGGGCGGCTGCCCCGTCCGGGACCCGCTAATTACAGGGATTCGGTTTCCCCGCTCTGAAGGAATGCATTACCTGCAGCAAAGGAGGCGCGGCCTCTCAGGAAGGCCCCGAGAGGAAGCTGAATGCCCCAGTGCATTCCAGCCCCATCCCTAGGTTTATACCCGCAACCTCAGCCCATGCTGAGAGACTAATCGCTGGGCCATTGTCAGGGCTGTTGTCCAATCAGCCCCTGAATAGGAAAACTTCACAATGCCGAGTATGAATTAGAGGGGAACAAATGTGGATGCAGACTTTTTTTGCAACAATACCTAACTGAGCCTTTCAGACAGGACAACGGATGCACAAAAGCTCGACGGAAATTGGAGTAACTTTTGGAGGCCCTTGTAGCTGCCGTCAATAAGCGTCAGCCCCATAATGGCGGCTGCGCCTCCGCCACCAATTCCCCCCCAACGCTTTTTTTTTTTTTTTTTTTTTTTTTTTTTTTTTTGTGAGATGGACCAGTTGTTCATGGGGTGGGGGCAAACTGTTGTAAAAATTGGGCATTTTTGTTGTCCTTGTCTTGGAAACGGTGGCTCTCTGTTGAACGCAGCCAAATGGATTGTCTCTTCCTGACGTGGATTGTAGATTTGGTCATTATCTAGCCCACATAAAGTACTGACAATGTCCCCTCCCTCCGTCTGCCCACCCCCAAAAGAACAGAATAGCTTCTTGAGCTGTACAAATGTCAGGTCTCTGTTTTAAAATTTAGCTTTGTTTACCCAACAGAATGGAATTCATTACTGTGTAAAAGTGGCTCCATTTTCTGATCTTTTTATTCAAAATGTTGAGAGTATCAAAAAGCTCATTTGAAGGTCACAGGTTTATGTATCTATTCTCTTAAGTGTTTTAGAAATTCATAGGGAGGACACAAAAGGTGGAAAATGTGAAAACATACTGTTCATTGTTTATCCTAACCTTGCCATGGTTATTAGATAAATGAGTGTAGGGGAAAAAATGGCATTAAAAGCCATTGTGAACTGGGAATTTTTTTCCCCTGAAGACTGTTAATTTTAGCCCTTGATCTGTACAGGTCAATTTCTAATTCTTTTTACTGTGCAGTTTATATAACTTCTGCATTTCAAGTCTATAAAAAGCTTTTGCAGACTTTTCATAATGTAAGTAGCAATTTATTTCATTATGGTCTGAATTTTTTATGTAATTCCTATGGACATTCTGATGAAATTGTCAGGCTTAAAAGCTGTAGTGCTTTTCATTTGGGGATATGTGGACTTTTTTTTTTTTTTTTTTTGCTCCGGTCCATTCTTGCTGGATAATTTAAAATTAGAAAGATTAATCAGTTCAGTGATTTAAAAGACCACACTTTGGTTGGAACAAGGTCTGAGGCAAAATCATTTTTTTATTAGTAAATGATTTAAAAGGTCTTTTCAGCTAGTTATCTGAAGCTGATATTTAACTGTTACTTATTCCACTAATTTCTATCTTTTGTTAAAAGAACTTTCCAGCCTAAATCTCCTCGCTCTGTCCCATGCTAATTGCAGCTTACATTATATAAATGGCTTTGTAAAGAAAACTATAACTCCAAACCTTGAAAGTTGCGTGTTTCTATTTGCTCAAACTTGATGCACTTGTTTGAAGAGGGTCATTGCAGGGAGAGCTGTGTAGCCTGTAAGAATGTCCTGGATAACAAGCTTAAACAGAACCTTTTGTTGTGCCTAGTATTCTCAGGACTCCAAAATGAGGCCTCCTTTTTCTAACTGTGGGCTGAAGTGGTTCATTACTGCTGTTTCCTCCGCCAGGCCAGGGCTCAGCCATTCCCACTACTGAAGGTCTGTAACTTCCTTAAAAAGGAAGAAGGAAAACATGGCCCAGAAAGGTCTTGTTAGCACTTCCTATGTGAAATTAGCAGCTTTCTAAAAGGTACAACTCCAATTACCTCACATTGTGGAGGCGAGCACAAACTCAACAATATGCACAGCCCAGCAAGTGACATTCTGTCTTTCTAGAGTTACTTCCCTAATTAGGAATGAAGAAGCTCTATTCTGCTGAGTGCATCTATTTACAGTGGCCACAATGCTTTAACTTGAGCATCCTTCTCAAAGACCAGTGTTAAAAAACACAAGTGCTCTTTTCGCCGAGCAGGCTATGGTGAGGCGACACATTCCTAACGGTTACGCCCTCGGGGGGGGGAGAAGAAAAAGTGTAGCTGCTTTGGCAGCATTGTTAACACTTCAGGATTCATTTTCCACAATAACGCCCCTGCCCAGAGAGCTCTGGGAATTACAGTGGACAATGGGGAGGCATTCTTAGGAGGGTCTAATGATGGAATAAAAAGAAAAATATTTATTGCTTTTGACAGTTCCACAAGGGGCAAAAATCCTTGTCGTGGCTAAAGTTTCCCTAGCTGTTGGAGGAAGGCGGCTCACTGGGACTCAAACAGTTCCACTTCCTTTGTTAGGAGGCTGAGTACCAGGGCCAAGCTGGGAAATTAAAGATTAAGTTCATTAAGGTAAGATAATTGTGCGGAGGCATTGTTGTTGATACAGGTGGAGTGATAGGGGCTGGGGTAGGAAGCCCATTTACATGTAGGGACGACCCATTAAACAGGCTTAACAGACGTGCGAGGCAAATATGTTTATTATTTGCCTGATGGCTGACCTATGCTTTCACTGTTGCATTAGTCAACGGCCCCCCCCCCCAAAGGAGGGCCAGGACTCCCTGCCGGGAACCAGGTGGAAGTGAAGGCAAAACAGTCTCCAGCGAGCAAAGATACAGTCCTGTGGGCCCTTGGGGAAGACTGGCCTTTCTCCTCCCTCCAATGTCCTGTTACCCTGCTACCCGAGAGGACCAACGCCCCTCCAGCTAAGGAGAGGAGACAGTGCTCTCCCACCTGAGGGATGTCTTTAAATCTTTCTGGATGCTGACAGGAAACATTTGTGCAGAAGCGCCCTTTGGATGTCCTTCTTAAAGAAGACCTCACGCTCTCTTTTCTCCCTCTGATAGGAGGGAGATACCCTGATTTTCCATCAGGGAGCTTCTCAAACGCTTCCTTCCCCAGTGTTACTGACCTCCTCAGAATCTGACTTCGGGAATCTGGGCTGCCTACCTTCCATTTCATTCTTCTAAGAAAAACAAACCAAACATCATTCCCTGTCCCTGCCCTATCTGTCCCACACGCACAGATCCACCCTGCTTTGTTATTGAAAACTGGAGTTTGGCTTTGTTGGGAAGAGCTCCACCCTGCCCCCTTCCCAACTTGGAGACCTATAAATACTGAGAACTTTAGAAAAACAAACAAAAGTATGGGATGGATGGTGGAATTTTGGGGAGCATGGGGGTCCGTCCTTGCGATCTGTCCGAAGGGAGGGAGAAGGTGGAGAGAGAGGTGCCCAGACTGTGCCCAAGTGGCTGAGAATGTGCCCGGTGCAGTGTTCAAGAAAATTATTTCTTCACAAGCACCCTTATTTTTGCTGTGTCTTGGGCAGGAGGAGAAAGATCTGCATTTACTTTTGTTGGGGTCACTAGTTCATCATCTCTGGTTCCTGCACTTATTTTTTCTATTTCTGGTGAGGAACTGAGAAACACAGTTAAGGGTTGGAGATGTCTTTGATAATAGATATCCCGAAAGAAATTCACTTGTTTATTTGCGTGATAGGGTCACCTCTTACACAAAAACTCACCTGCCGTCCTCTCTTTCCCCTCCTGCCCTCCCTCCAGTCCCCCAGGGAGGAAAATGAACAGTGGCATAATGATTTTGGTAAATAGAATTCTTTTTAAAGCCATCTGATCACGGGGAGACATTCTGAGAAGACCCTAGGGTTTAGTCAGTGCTGATGTGTAAAAAAAAAAAAAAAAAACGACTTAATTTCAGAGAGGTTTTTTAAAAATATATGTAGATGCAATCACATGGTGAGAAGAGTTTCAGGAGTTAAGAATAAACGTATTTTGATTCATTCAGATTCTATGATCTCTCCCTACTTGTTGCTGCTGTTATTTTCTCTGAACGGAAAGATTGTTGATTTCCTTTAGCTCACCAAGCATCCATATTGTAGAGTGATGCGGAGAGTCCTTTGGTTATTTTCATAGATTATATCAGAGAAGTTTTTGAATGAAGCATTCTCAGTATTATGTATCTGTGGGTTTGAGTAGAACTTGAAGTAATTCTCAAGCAAGCAAGCAACATTTACCAATGTTTTTCTCCTCTTGTGTTGATGTCAGGAGTTCTTTTTATTTATTTCTATAAAGCGTCCTTTGTCCTTGAGAATGTTGAATAGACTTCTTACAAAAGTTATCAGAGGCCAGTCTGATAAATCAGACGAGAAATTAGGAACATCTGAGTTATTTTCTAAGATGGGTTAATGAAGAGATGAGGATTTGCATTTTCTTTTAAAGACCTAAGGAGGGAGGCAGGGTCCTCGGCTGTCACATTGTGATTTACCAGAAAGCAGAAAGGAAAATTTCATACACACCAGATTCCAGGCTGCAGGTTACTCGGAATGTATTAACTTTTTGAGAACAAGTGTGTAATCACTGGCCTTTAACGACTAAAAATGAAGTTTGAAAACCTTGTACAATGTCCTCAGAATGTTTGTGTGCAAGGAAACATTTATCTCCATAAACAGCCCTTTAACGGAAAAGAAAAACTGTTTTGCCAATAATCAGAAACGAAAAGATTGCTCTCTAAACTGGAAGAAACGACATTTATATTTTCAACCCTACTGAACTACTGAATTGAGATTGTTAAGAGGCTTTTTCTTTACTGCATTAAAAAAAATAGCCTGTCATCACATTGTCATAAAAGGAGGGAAGTCTCGTTTTGGAAATTATTTACAAGTTTGACGTCCTTAGAAATACCACCTTGAATCTGGAACTGTGATTAAAGTTGGTGAAAGGATGGGAGTGGAGAGACTGCACGTCTGTGTTCTGGCACTTGGAACATTTCTCGGATGGGGAAGAAACCCGGAGACTTCTTTCTCTTCCTTCCCTTTACAGTGTGATGGGAACATGGTGGGGGGCGCAAACTGGAGCAGCCAGGGAGGGGTCTGCAAAGCCCTGTAAACACCTCTCACTAAGCCATGAGTCCTTTACATATTTCAGGCTATTATTTGCATCACAGTTTCTGGAAATTCCGTTGTAACTTTTAAATTTTATCTATTAAATACTGATTTTCGTTTTTAAATAAAAAACTTCCTACTTTATGTTTTTAAAAATTTTTAAATAAAAAACATAAAAATGTTTATGGGCTCTTTTGTACTTTACAGTGGATATGAAAAAATGAGAATATACCTTGTTGAATTTAATGAAAGGTTGCTATTTCCTAGTCTGTGCAGTTCTTTTAAAAATGGAGGTGAAATTTACATAACATCAAATTAAACATTTTAAAATGTACAATTCAGTGTTATTTAGTACATTCACAATGTTTATCTGTAGTTTACTTTCTAGTTATAATTTTAGTTACAGAATCACCAACAAGTATTTGTAGAGTTGTTATTAAATATTAATATTCATTCAACAAACATTTATTGAGCAAATTGTTACAAGAATGGCACTAGGCTAAGCCATATGGGGTTTATAAAAATGAAAAAGGACTATCATATCCTCATATTTTTTTTAATCTACGAGAGGTTGTGCTAAAGGCATCAACAACTTTATTCTGGAAATATTTATTGAATTTATTAATAAACATTATTTGGCCCCACAGAGTCTTATCATTCTAAAACATCACAATATTGCTAAACATTTCTCAGCAACAATAGCCAATATAATTAAACTACCTACAAAGAGTTGAGAATATTTACTGTACTATATTTCTCAGAGTGATTTTATTTTCTCTGACACATTCCAGAGTTTTCAAAACTTATAATACGTAAGTTGGACTTGGTTCAGTATGTTTGCTTTGATGGGCATTGACTTTGTTTGGCTAGGTCTATTATTTCAAAGTGAAAATTTCTGTGTAGTTTTTTGTCAAACTCCAGCTTATATGGCTGAAAGAGGGTAGCAGGAGGCTCCAAGAGGATAGAAGTCACTTAACTTTGCTGGAAAAGCCATGCATGTTTCTCAAGGGACTCTAAGGCAAATGGTTCAGCACACTAGAAGAGTAGTAATATAGGTAATGAACCCAAGAATATTTTTAGCCGCAACTAGTTTTTAAAGATTGAAATTGTTTAATGTTAAAAAAAATGCTCTGTTAAAGCATTTATCTTTTCCTTGAAGGTATCTGTCCTTCAAGTAGAATCTGAATTTTGATGATGATGATGATGATGTTGATGATGGTGGTGGTGCTGGTCCTGAGGTAAGGGAGTTGGCACAAAGGAAACGTGACAAAGACCTCGTCTCATTAAGGCTAGTTGATACAACTTTGTGTGATCAGTTAGTTGAAGGGTCTTCTTTGGCCTCCAATATAGGAAGAAAATAACAAATGGACAAATATTAATTGAGTCGCCTTTCAGGAAAGGCTTTGCGTAGCTTCATTTGGGGGAATAAGCGCAGTAGTGAAAAGAGCTCAATGGTTGGGAGTTCCAGTCCTAGTTCTGCCACTTTCTAGTTGGGTACTTTTTGGCAAATTACTTGTCTGCTCTGAGCCTCAATTTCTTCATCTGGAGGGACAGTAATAGCTGCCTTGCATGGTCCCCTGTGAGGATCAGCACTAGTATGATGCTAAGTACATCCTCCATTCTCAATAAATCAGTAATTGCTGAGACAAATACACATACCAGGTCTGCTTGCCATGCCTTTCAATGACAGAACAAAGTAGAACATTCCACCGGGACAAGCAAAGCACCTTTTGGTGTGAGTTTTGCAAACCATAAAACATCAAATTAATTTCTCATAGTGTGTATGACTATGAATGGAGGCATGGAGGCTTCAGAATTAGTATTTTGAATGGGAATGTTAGAATCTATACCTCTGTTGAATACCATCTCTTGCTGCCACTGAAAGCTTACAAATACTACCTGAAAAATTACATCAATTTGCCATCAGACTGGAACCATCAATTTATGCCTGAAATGTGTCAAAATGTTGGGTATTTCTATAATGATAAAAATGATTGGAATTGCCATGTTTAATTAAAATGTTAATCCACTGTCATCTTAAATGATCTCTATTTACAGAGAATTTTCTGTTTGCTGTTAAGATGTTTTATTATTAAACATAAACCTTGCTGTTTAGCCAATGCCTGACACTAACTTAAGGAAGAGGTGACAATCTTCCAGGAGTGGGGAGAGGTGACCCCTTCATCAGGAGAGTGTCTCGTATAGGTTGGAGGAGGAGTGACTGCTGCGTGGGAGCCAGAAAGACCACCCTGGCTCTCAAATCCTCCACAGCCTCTGCTCCCTTATGTTCAAGATCTTTTAATGGTAGAGTTGACTGAAATGCAAATATTTTTGGAAAAAGGAACACCAAAGTTTGAATTTGCAAAAGGATGTAAGATGCCCAATACCAACCCCTTTTCTGGGAATGAGGTTGAGAGGTTTGAGGGTTACAAAATGGGAAGAAGTCTATCTGCAGAATTTATAACTGGCTGAAATTGACCTGAATCCGAGGAAAACTAGATTTCCTCTGTGTGTGTTGGTGGGAAGGTGGGTGAGTGAGGAGCAAGGGGCACTGAAACTTTGTGCCCCCCTTTTTTTTTTTTTTTTTTTTGAGACGGAGTTTCGCTCTTGTTGCTCAGGCTGGAATGCAATGGTAAGATCTTGCCTCACCGCAACCTTCGCCTTCCAGGTTCAAGCGATTCTCCTGCCTCAGCCACCCGAGTAGCTGGGATTACAGGCATGCACCACCACGCCCAGCTAATTTTGTATTTTTAGTAGAGACGTGGTTTCTCCATGTTGGTCAGGCTGGTCTTGAACTCCCGACCTCAGGTTATCCACCCGCCTCGGCCTCCCAAAGTGCTGGGATTACAGGCGTGAGCCACCGCACCCAGACGAAATTTTGCCCTTAGGGAACTGATATTATGTCTACTTTCTGGCCCAGGGGATGGCTGGGTACAGGAGCAGTCTCCCTTGAGGTACAAGAAGAGATCCGGAAAGAGATGTGGGAAGAGATTTGGAATAATTACAAGGGTCCCTGCTTGGTGTGGCCGCCATCTTAGATTGGATGTAGTCCGTTCTGCCTGGGTTACTCTGTACAAGTACCCTTCCCGTGTGACTCTTCCAGAACTTGGAGGATGTCTCCACTACACTGCGCCTTCCCTCCCTCTCCAGATGGCCACACTCCCTCCACACCTTGGTTAATGCAGCGCCCCCTCCCGCCCCCGGGTGGGCTGCTCCTCTGACTTCACTGGACTCACTTCCTCCTGTGATTTGCAGTTCCCCTCCCAGCCCATTGCTTCTTGGGGTGGTGGCTCCGTGATAGGACACCCGCCACCCACTTCCCACTCAAGCCTTTGTCCCATGCTACTCTGTGCAGCGTGGGCACTTTCTTCCTGGCCTGCAGGACAGCTCCACAGCAGGTGGCGGTGCAGCCGGTCAGCCTCAGGCCCACACGTCCCCTGCGTCCCCTGCGTCCCCTGCGTCCCCTGCGTCCCCTGCGTCCCCTGCGGAGCTACTGTGCTTGTGAGGCTCCTGGAGCCCTGCCCTTCCCGCCGTTAGCCTGTTCTGCTTAAAGTTCTTCCTCCATCTCCCCCAGCCAAATCCTACTCAAGTCATACCTCCTCCGTGATGCCTTACTTGACCTTTCCAGCCTTCTCTGGATAACAATCATTTTTCCGAAATTGCGGTAAAAATACATAACACAAAATCTACCCTTCAGAAACCTTGTTCCCACTGAACACTTACGTCCACTCCCCCAAGCCCCTAGTCCCCTCTAATCTGCTCTCTGTCTCTATAAATTTGCCTATTCTAGGGATCTTATATAAGTGGAATCAAAATATTTGCCCTTTTGTGTCTAGCATATTCTTTTTTAAAAAACTGAGATAGGGTCTCACTCTATTGCACAGGCTGGAGTATAGTGGTGTGCTAATGGCTCACTGCAGCCTCGACCTTCCAGGCTCAAGTGATCCTCCCACCTCAGCCTCCTGAGTGGCTGAGACTGCAGGCTCGCACCATCATGCCCAGCTAATTTTTAAATATTTTGTAGAGATGGGGCCTCACTGTGTTGCCTGGGCTTGTCTCAAACTCCTGGGCTCAAGCAATCCTTCCACCTTGGCATCCCCAAGTGCTGGAATTACAGATGTAAGCCACAACATCTGGCCATGTATTTCACTTAGCATAATGTCTTCAAGGTTTGTCATGTAGCATATGTCAGAGTTTCATTCTTTTTTAAGGCTGAATAATATTCCTTTGTGTGTATGTACTACATATTGTATGTTCATTCATATGTGCTGGACATTTGGGTTGTTTCCACCTTTTGGCTGTTGTGAGTAATGCTACTATTAACATTGGTATACAAATTTGAATCCCTGTTTTCTGTTCTTTTGGGTATATACCTAGGAGTGGAATTGCTCCATCATATGGTAATTCTATATTTAACTTTTTGAGGAGCTTCCAAACAATAATCATTTTGAGAGTGAACGATAGTTCACATTCACATGGCACCTTATGGTTTACCAAGTGCTGGCTGGTCCATTGGCTTCTCAGAACAAGCCTGTTTGACAAGTACTGTCATTAACATCACCTTTACTCAGGTGAAGCAAGTGAGGCTCAGAGAGGTTCAGTGACTTTATGAGTCACAGAACACATTGATGGGGACTTTACCTCAAAGTAAAATTGTGTGACTGTGCTACCATAAGTTTTCCAAGGCTGCATGCTACCGTATAGTGTTCCCTCATTGCTTTATCCCAATGCTAGAGTAACCCTTAAGTCACCATGATTATGAATGTGTCTTGACTCCCTCGCCAGGCTGCCAACCTCAAGGACAGGGGCTATGTCATGATTGTCTCTCCCATACTGTGCAAGGGCTGATACATAATAGGCTCGCAATAAATGTCAGTTGAATGAATAAGTGAATGAGTGGGTTCTTTATGGAGAGGGAGGTGAAAAGAGGGAGGAATGCCCCAGAGGGCTTCATGGCACCTTTCTGTTCTGCCCCAGACACAGAGGTGGAGCTGATGTCTTTGCATTGGCAGTGACCTCCACCATCAGTGGGAAGGTTATCAGAGAGAATACAGGACTCCCAGTTAAACTTGAATTTCAGATAACTGATGAATAATTTTCTTTAGTATAATACATGCTTATATGAAAAACTTATTCATTGTTTATCTGAAATTCAAATTTAACTGGGCATCCTGTATTTTTATTTGCTAAACTGGCAGCCCTAATCACTAGGTACGTATTACTTACTGTCACGTCACCAAAATCCTCAGAACTGCTGAGGACGAATAGGAAACTGGCTTTCCAAAGCTGAATTGCTAACTACTTTTTAATTTACAAAATGCAAATGGGGGGGCATTTTCTCCTAAATGGAAAATAATCCTACACCTGCAGTGATTTAATTCCCATTTGAAATTGCAGTTTCTGCTGCCTCCCAGATAGCTCTGCTCTGGTGTCAAAATAGTGTCTGCCATGCCTTTGGCTAATTCTGGCGCCCAAGCCATTCACGCTGGGAAGGTGCCTGCTTGTGGCTATTTGGGACATTCCCTGAAGGCTGACACACAGGGATCCCCCTCCACTCACTACTATTCTGACATGTGGAATTTATTACACTCCAATTTCTGCAAGATCTTTTGGGCTTGTCTGTTCTATAATCCAGAACTTCCTGACCAAGACTTAATTAGAATCCTGACTCGGTTCCCCCATAAGCCTGTTTTAAATTGTGGCACTGGCTAGAGACGCTGCCTAATCTCCCTGAGGGTCCTCTCAAGTTCACCCGAGACCCCTGGGATCAGTTCTTCTCACCACATATGTCTCAGACATCTGGGAAGGAAGGAGGTGAAGGAATCTAGGTGAGGTGTACAGTCACTGTTGCTTTGACCAGGTTGGTGTCTTTGGGGGCTGGGGATCTAGGGGGCTGAGACTCAGGGTGGTGGCAGAAAGGGTTGTCAGGATGACCCAAGGGAGGAAATAAGACTCTTGCATTGGTGTTTACTCAGGGAGTATCCTCCTAAGTAGTGAATGATCACCCTTCCCTGCTGCTTTTCTAACTCGTCTAATTTAATATTGCCAGGATGCAATTACTTATGCGTCTGCTGATTTGGGGACTTTATTTTTTAAACATTAGCTTTTCAGACTTAGAAGCAGCTGGGCTAGTGAAAAGTCACACATTTGGGGTCAGGGAGTGGTGGAAAGAAGGTGGCGGTGGCTCACCCAGGGCCTTGTGAACAGCAGCCAGGCGAATGGAGTGGCCAAGAGCACGGATCCAGCAGATACTGCAGCTGCTCTGCAACTCAGAGCACTTTCAGAAGTTTGGGGTCCCACCCAGAGAGTGATGGGGTGGGGAAAGGGCAGAGAGATCACACAACCTGGGGATGTCCCTGTTATTTAACATCCAAACTTGATATCTTGATCTTAGAAAGTTCCTGGGCTAAGGGACTGAGAAGTCTGCATTCTTCCAGGGCCTCAGTTTCCCTTGTGCTCCAAGTGTAGAGGACAATCTCCCACTGTCATCTGGCCAGGGTGAGGGGGCACGGCAGGAACTGCAAGAGGGTCTGGCATTTTGCATATTTAGGAAGACAGGTATCATCCAAAGTAGAGTTGGAATAGGTACAAAGTGAACAAGGTGGAGAATGCCCTTCCAGAGCCATGCAGGGGGTGGGGGAAGGCCAGGATGTACAGTGGTGCCGTGAAGGTTGAGTTATTCTGTGAGAGCTCTGCTCCCCTCTGGAACCAGGAAATGGAATTTGCCTTATAACTTAAAATCCCAGCTATACTTGGGCTGTCACTCATTTGAGGGGACCTGGTGGGACCTGACTGATGTGGGGCAAGGCAGTCCAGAGAAATCAGCCTGCCCTGTGGGACTTGTCACAAAATCCCTAAATGTCCCAAACACCAGGGCTGAGGCTGAAACAGAGCACTCAATGGGGAACTCATCACCGGATATCCCATTCCATCCCATCTCTGGAGGGGAGAGTCATCTGGGGTAAAGTAGCCCTAGGTTGGGTTTAGAATCTGTGACCGAAAAAACTAATTTTGCTATCACGAGAGACCCAAAAAGGACATCCATGGAGATTTCACCCCCTGATTACAACCACTTATCGGATTATATAGAAGACCTGACATGTGAGCTGCCCCCTGGTTAACCAGTCAACAAGGAAGGGGCAGAGAGGAAGAGGGAAGATCACTAAGAGGGGAGAAGGCAGGGTAGGTTCTGTGGGGACTGTTAAGCCCCACAGCCCTTGCCCCATTAGGAGGGGCCTCCTGGTAGACACACAGGAATCATCGAGAGACTTCTGAACCCTCAGGAAGGGCCAAAGAATGGACCAGGTCTCAGTCCTCCAGAAGCCTGAATCCAAAAGACAACCCCTGTCCTCTTCCTGGACTTCCCTTCCCAGCCAGGACCCTCTCTGACCGGATCAACAAAATGTGATTATTTTGCAAAGGTCTAAGAAATCAGATGATGAGGTTTTATAATCCCAACTTCTCCATCCTCTTCCCTTTGTGGAATGTTATGTTCATTCCAAATTAGTATCAGGAGTGGCTTTGCTGGTGGCCTATGGGACAGAAGGTCTGGCTGGTATGGAGGGGGGCTGTGAGCAAGCCACGTCTGTGACTGGGGGGCCACCTGGGTGAGGTAGAGTGTGGCCCCTCAGGATGCTGCTGTGAGTGGAACTGGAGAGGAGGCAGGGGGCTGAGGAAGGGAGCAGATCACTCCCTGAGGTCTCCACTCCTCATTCCCCTCAGCCCGGGCCTCTCTCCCAGGTCCCCTTATTCCTTGCCACTTGTGCGTTGATGATGTGAGGATGGCCAGAGGGGAGCCAGTGTGCTGGCCTCTTGTATAATCTGATAATTGGCCATAATCTGTGTACGAAATATTTGGAGATCTGCCTCCCCATTAACTCCTGCTTGAAGAATAATCACATCTCCACATACAGGCCTTTGGGCCAAGTTCTCCCTCACATCTCTGAAGCTCCTATCACAGCTTCAGTGCTACCCAGGATTTTTGTAATTGCCCACACCCTGTTCATTTTTAACTTTTACCACACATTTTTAAAGAAATAACCTTTAAAGAGAAGGCCTTCCATGGATGTCTTTGAGTAAATATGGGAGTATTAATAAAATTCTTTTTTTTTTTTTTTTTTTTTTTGAGATGGTGTCGCGTTCTGTCACCCAGGCTGGAGTGCAGTGGCATGATCTTGGCTCACTGCAACGTCTGCCTCCCGGGTTCCAGTGATTCTCCTGCTTCAGCCTCCTGAGTAGCTGGGATTACAGGTGGGCGCCACCATGCCCAGCTAATTTTTTATTATTAGTAGAGATGGGGTTTCACCATGTTGGCCAGGCTGGTCTCAAACTCCTGACCTCAGGTGATCCACCCACCTCAGCCTCCCTAAGTGATGGGATCACGGGTGTGAGCCACCACTCCTGGCAATAAAATTCTTAGAAGCTGACAGGAAGGGGGTCTGTTAGGCAGAGCGTGCATATGCTCCACGGGACCATAAGAGGGTCTTAGTGAGAATCCTGGGCGTGGGGATAAAACACTGTGTGTGGGGATTTGTGTTATAGATGTAGAAGGACAGCGATGCCTTCGGTTGTCATGGAAACAGCACACGGAGGTTGTTGAGATGTGGGACAGTTGGGTGGCCGGCCTGACACTCTGGGGTAGCCACAGCAAGCCAAGGACGGGGTAAATGTGGAGACGCTGGTCTAGAGCCCCCTTCTCTGGGAGCTGGCCTCTGAGTCTGCTCTTAGTGTGGGAAACCACTTAAGGACAGGAGGAGAACAGAAGTGAGAACCAGAGGGGCTAGGGACCCTCTCAGGTGTTCAGTGCTGGTGATGTCTGTACAAAGAGAGCTTTTCAGCCCTTCAAGAGCCCCCCAGGGCAGGAGGAAGCAGCCCGAAGCAGGACAACCCCAGTAGGTTTGAATCAGCCTGGAATAGCGTGTTGAGTTGATGCTACATCACTGTGTTGATTTATTGATTCATTCAGGCAGGGCTGGCATTATAGGGCAGATGGACTGTAGGTGGTTCATAGTTGATATTTGAGGGGAGGGGGGTACCAAAAGAGCCCTTCTGTTCCCAATTTCCCTCCAGCACTCATCAATGTTACCATCTGAGTTTTATGCCTTTGGCTGAAACATATCCCTCCTGGGGCTCTTCCTCTCCATTGCAGGCTCTCCAGGAGGAGCCCCACATTGAATCACTGCAACCTCTTGTGGACTATTTTATCAAATGCTTTGGCAGGACCAGAGCAGCCTGGACTCTCAGGGAACCTGGCTTGGAGAGTGCGTGCTGGAAGAAGGGAGAAGGATGAAGAAATGGGAAGTGAAACTTTCCAGAGGTAAACTTTTCCATTCTCCCAATTTGTCCATCTGTCCCTCAAGGCCCTGGTGGGTAGCAGAGATGCTGTGTGCACGGCATTGCCTACAGTTTCCGGACACTTCTCTTTTCTGCCATGCTTGGCCAGTTCACTCAGGAGGTTGAGGGGAGGCTGCTCTGAAAGGAGGCCGTCGCTACCCAGGATGTGTGAGCTGTGAGCTGTGACATCCAAGCATTAGGAAGGATCTGCTGTGGTGCCTTATTCCAGATGCTGCTGCTCGTCTCTTCCTGCGCTTGGCCTGGGATGCCCTGTGAGTAGATTTGCCAGATTAAATGCAGGAGGCGCCATTAAACTTGAATCTCAGATCAACAGCAAGTGAATTTCTAGTATAAGTATGTCCCACATATTGCATAGAACATAATTATTGCTGTTTATCAAAAATTTGCATTTAAGTGGGTATCCTGTATTGTCATTTGCTGAATTTGGCAACTCTAGCTGTGAGTAACTTGGAATTCCAGGGCCCTGCTTGGCCTTCCTTTCCTTCAACATGAGGCTGCCGTGAAGATAAGCAATAGTTTCTATCCTTGCCCCTCACCCCCACCATCTCCTGCTCCTTTCCCTGCCTCCTGTCTTTTTCTTCCTGTTTCCCTTCCCCCAATCTCTCTCTCCAAGAACAGAAGTTTTAGAGTCTGACACACCCAGACACAATCTTTGCCTCCCTATTTACTGCCTGCATGATCCTAGAAAAGTAACTTTACTTATTTGAGCTTCATGTCCCTTAAGTAATATGGAAATGATAGTAAGGCCTCATGAGGCCACTGCTAGGATTAAGTGAAGTAATAGAAAAAGAAAAGGCCAATTATGGGGTTGATGTCATTAAACCAGCAAACAGCTTTTGAGCTGACAGCTCTCCACTCCAACTCAGGGATTTATGTGCACAGGTGCTGTCTGTTTTCATCCCAACCCAAGTGCACACCCTGGCACCTCTCACAGTCCCCAAAGAGGCTTTTCCTAGCACCATTTGTGAGTAGTGGAGACTGCATTACGAGAAACAGTGATACCACTTACTTTGCAACCAACCTCAAAACTCTAGGAGACTTATGTTTCCTCCATTGTCACTCTGAGGTTTCTTTATTGCTTTTTCTCTCTTTATTAACTCTTCCCCCTTCTGCATGTGGTGGGCAGCCTCTCTCTCCTGCTCCCTCGCAGTGGTGATGCAAATCTGGCACTTCACACTCTGCAGCCAGTTAGCAGCCAGCTTTTGCTCTTGAGTTTTCCTTTCCTGCCTCACCCTCCTCTTGATGTCATCTAGCCTTTTGATGTCATCTAGCCTTTTGATGTCATCTAGCAGATTTCCTCCAAGCAGGCACAAGGCTCTCACCGAGAGGAATTCTGTGGAAGTTGATTTTCTGCTTATCCTTACTCTGTGTGATAGGGCCCAAAACACTTGCATGTAGGATACTCATTTACATTAATCCTTACAGCAACTCTGTGATGCAGGGATTGTTAGTACTCCCATTCACAGATGAGGAAACTGGGGCTTAAAAGAACCCCTACAAATCCACAAGGAAATGATCTACAGTCCAATAGAAAAGGAATTTTCAAAAGGATCTGTAAAATATGGTACCCATCATATAAAACTTTAAGCCTGTGAAAGCAGCATATATTTTTATACAGAGGTTCCCCCAACCTTTTTGGCACCAGGGACTGGTTTCGTGGAAGACAATTTTTCCATGGACCAGGGGGTGGGGGGATGATTCCAGCACATTATATTTATTTTGCACTTTATTTCTATTATTATGACATTGTAATAGATAATGAAATAACTATACAACTCACCATGATGTAGAATCAGTGGGAGCCCTGAGCTTGTTTTCCTGCAACTAGACGGTCCCATCTGGGGGTGGTGGGAGACAGTGACAGATCATCAGGCATTAGATTCTCATAAGGAGTGTGCAACCTAGATCCCTCGAATGCACAGTTCACAATAGGGTTTGAGCTCCTATGAGAATTTAATGCCGACACTGATTTGACAGGAGGCAGAGCTCAGGTGGTAATGTGGGCAATGGGGAGTGGCTATAAATACAGATGAAGCCTCACTTACTCACCCGCCACTTACCTCTTGCATGTATGATACTCATGTATGAACTGTGTACTCCAATTCCTAATAGGCCATGGACTGGTACTGGTCCGTGGCCTGGGAGTTGGGGACCCCTGGTTTTATTATAGATACTCACATATTCAGTAAGTGTTTTTCAAAATGCACTGGAATAATAAACACCAACTTCAAGAAACTGGTTACCTTTGGAGAGGAAGGAAGGGGAAGAGAAGAGGATTGTTTTAGCTAATTGTTAACCTTTCAATTCTTCTTTCAAAAAAGGGTGATAGGAAGTAACTATAATGCAATGTTTATGTCTTTAATGCTAGTGGAAAATACATGAGTACCTCATATATAAATGTAAAGATTATATATAAATACTTGTTACATAGTTCTCTGAAATATTTTGTCAATAAACTGAGACATTTTAAGAAAAAAGAGATTAAATAACCTCTTAAGATCACCCAGCTGGGAAGAGGCAGATTTCAAGGGTTAGATTTGAACTCAAGTCCATCAGACCCCAGAGATAAACTCATAACCACACACCTTATGTCTCCCTTAATTTATTGACATAAGTATTCAATTAATGGTCTTTCTCTTTGTGTCTCATCTGAGAGTTTATAAACAAGAGTAGAAGTGAGTCCCTGGGACCCAGTGTTCCCCACAGGCCCTGCTGGTGTCAAGCAGTTTTGCTCAGGCAGTCCTCAGCAGTTTCCTGGGTTCTGTCCATTCATGTACAGAAGAAGACTCAGGCCTGCCCCCAGGGTTCACTGACACCATAGGGTCCATCAGAAGACAATGCAACAGCCAGGTGCGGTGGCTCATGCCTGTAATTCCAGCACTTTCAGAGGCCGAGGCAAGTGGATCACCTGAGGTCAGGAGTTCGAGACCAGCCTGGCCAACATGGTGAAAACCCATCTCTACTGAAAATACAAAAATTAGCTGGGCATGGTGGTGGGCGCCTGTAATCCCAGCTACTTGGGAGGCTGAAGCAGGAGAATTGCTTGAATCCAGGAGGTGGAGGTTGCAGTGAGCTGAGATTGTGCCACTGTATTACAGTCTGGGTGACAAGAGTGAAACTCCGTCTTGAAAAAAAAAAAAAAAAGGCAACATAAGATGCTGGCAAACAGAATATGTCAAGATGCCTAAACGTAACCTTGACATCTCAACAGGCCTGGTGTGAAGACAATGGCCTAGGGTCGTGCAGAGGCATGGGCTCCATATGGGTCCTTTTAGACTTTGTGGAGCCACCCAGGAAGCTTCCAGAAATTTTGTTTTCTGAGTCCTCATTGAAAGAGTATTTCCTCCTCCTTGTCTTCCCCTCAAAATAGCACCCACCAACCATTCCTATCATCCTTGTCCTCTCAGAAGAGTGGGGAACCAAACGGGAAAGGGGGCTCCTGCCAGTGCACACAGACCCTGGGCATGGTGTACATACAAAGCTCTCCTCCCACCACACCCTACCTCGAAGGCCATGATGGCCAGGCCCAGGGCAGATGGGAGTCAGTGCTCCTGCCCCTAAGCCCTTACTCTCCCCGGCACCCATGTGCCTCTCACTTCCAGAAATGCCTTCTCTTTTGTCTCCTTTGTTCTATCCATCTTTTAAGGCCTATTTAAAAGCCCACCTCCTCTAGGAAGCCTGCCCCGATTCTTAGCCCACAGTGGCCTCTCACCTCAGAACTCCCACAGTATTTGCTATTCGGAGCTCTCGAAAGCTCCTGATGCATTGCTGGGTTCCGTACTCTTTCCCCTCTGCTAGTTTGACCTGTGCGTGACTGCAGCTCAAGGCCTGAGCTTCATTTGTTCTTTCCCATGGTACTTGGCATGCCGGGCACACTGTAAGCGTTCAATAAGTCTTTGCAAATAAACCGATGAAGGAAGAAACGAATAAAGCATATTTGAAGAAGCTCTGAGAAGTTATTCCTAATGAAGGAGACAGCCCCAAACCAGGTCAGGTGAAAGTCAGCCCATCCCAGTCTGGCTTCCAGGAAGACCTTGGACACCCTCTGCCTGGGGGAGGAGCTGCTGGCCTTGGAGGGGCAGGAGAGAGAGAGAGGGAGGCGCAGTGACCAGACTGGATGCGGATGTAGTAGGTGCAGGGGTCACTTGGGGGGGTTGAGGGGAGACCTTGTCCTTGACCTCCCCTCATTATATTTTTGTTTATTTTTCTGTTTTTGCCCAATTACCTCAGACAATGCCCCATACTGGCTAAGAAATGTGAAAACAGCTGAAGAAGAAATAAAGCAAAAGAGAAAAACAAGGAAAAAAGGGTAAACAAAGAGAGAATTCACCTTTCACTCGCCTGCAAAGTCCTCGGTTGGAGAATGAAGTTAAGACACAAAAGCTTAGCAACAACAACATTGTGGGGGAAGGCACGAGAGGGAAGCCGAACAGCCATTAAAGCAATTAAGAAAAGATTAAGGTCGCTGGTGGTGGAGAGAGAGAGAGACCCATTAATCAATAGGCCAGAAATCGCAGCAGGCTACAAAATTATAAAACTAGGCAAACTGGAGAACCACAGAGGCTCACCTCAACCAAGATGCCTGAGTAACTCAAAAACAGAAACATTATATTCATTTCTCAAGCTTGGGGAAAAAAAAACAGGTCTTAGAAGAACTCTTTCCTTTTAATCAGCTAATGGAGACTTCCTGAGGTGGGGGTGAGATCCATGTTGATTTCAAGGCAAATTCTAAAGCATCAAGGTCTAAAGAAAAATTTGTAATAATGAGTGATAAACAATGTTAGTGGGCTGAGGGGATATCATAGCAGAAAGCTGTGCGGTAATCTTAGGCAGGGTCCTAAAATGCCCTAGGGTAGGTTACATTATTGTTCACAAATATTTGCTGCCCCTGCCTGGGGAAGACATACATCCCAGCCCCACTGACAGCCCGCTTGGCTCTCTGACTTGCTTTGGCCAATGCAGTACGTGTCCCTTCCAGGCGGAAGCTTTAAGAGCCAGGGGCACATGGTTTGCCATATGCTTTTTGTCCCTTTGCAATAATAGCACAGCAATATTCTAGATCCAACTTGTCCAACCTGCGGCTGGCTGGCCACCTGTGACCAGCTTTGAATGCAGCCCAACACAAATTCATAAACTTTCTTAACACATTATGAGATTTTTGTGTGTGTGTGATTTTTTTTTTCTTTTCCCTCATCAGCTCTCGTTAGTGTTAGCATATTTTGTGTGGCCCAAGACAATTCTTCTTCTTCCAATGTGACCCAGGGAAGCCAAAAGATTGGACAATGCTGTTCGAGATAGATTCCCCAGACTGAAACTAAATGGGGCAAAGGCTCAGCCGACAGGCAGAGGACCTGTAACCTGAGCAAGAAATAAATTTTGTTGGCTTAGTACTGAGAAATGGGGGAGGAGTGTTTGTTCCACAACCTATCCTGATTAATACATTTCCCTGTGACATGTCACTGCCACACAGAACCTTCATTGGCTCCCTATTTCTTACAGGATAAATCCTGAACTCTTGGTCTTGATATCAAGCCCTACTCCCTGCACCCATTCATCTTAGATTCTGCATTTCTCTTTGTGTCTTGATTGACTTGTTTCCTCACTGTGCCCCACACATAACTTTTTGGGCAAGTGTTGGTGAAGTTCTCCTCTGCCAAGAGATCCAAATTGTGCAGGCCTTTGATCATGCTCTCTCTGACACCTGCTCTGTAAAGCCATTTCTAATCATCTCCATCTCAAAGCTATTTCTAGATCATTCCAGCTTATGATATCTGCCATTCAAATAACACTTATTTTTACTTAAAAGACACATCATGTAGTCCTTACCAAGTGCGAGACATTCTATTCAGAGCTTTATATATTTTAGTACTTTTAATTTTCACATAACCTTGTATTCCCATTTTATGGATGAAGAAATAGAGGCCCAAAGTAAACTCATAAAGCTGGGAAGTGCAGACTAAAGATTCAAACCTGGGCAATTGGACTCTGTGCCCTTAACCTCTCGAGCACATTGCCCACCTGCTTCTGCACTGTCTTACCCATGATCAGCCTTATCTCCCCAACAAGATGGTAGAACCCCAGAAGGCCCCTTCTAGACCACTTGTATCTTCCCCAGCATTTAGTCTCATAGCTGGTCTATCAGCTCCAGGCCAGTATTTGTTCTTTGATTTAAAATCTAATGAATCAGTTGACTTCATGCATTCCCTTGACTCCAGGTAAAATAGAGGCAAAGCCATCCATTATAGGGGAGGCTTCCTGAAATCTAGCTCAAGTCTCTACTGCTGCAACATTGACTTGTTTTTGTTTGTTTGTTTTAGGCTTTCATGAAGATGGATAGCAGATTAATAGATCTTTCTTATGACAACTATCACATCCAAAAACTATTATTTTATTAATTCCTTTTGAACTCTGCCTTGTTCCAAAAAGGATATAGGGTGGCTAATAAGAAACCACAGGCCGGGCGTGGTGGCTCGTGCCTGTAATCCCAGCAGTTTGGGAGGCTGAGGCGGGTGGATCACCTGAGGTCAGGGGTTTGAGACCAGCCTGGCCAACATGGTAAAACCCCCATCTCTACTAAAAATGCAAAAGTTAGCCAGGTGTGGGGGTACTTGCCTGTAATCCCAGCTACTTGGAAGGCTGAGGCAGGAGAATTGCTTGAACTTGGGAGGTGGAGAGGTGGAGGTTGCAGTGAGCCAAGATTGTGCCATTGCACTCCAGCCTGGGCAACAAGAGTGGCACTCTGTCTCGAAAAAAAAAAAAGAAAAAAAAGAAACCACAAAATACAACAGAGAATACATATAAAGAGTGGGAAAGAAACAAAACAAAACACATTGTTACATTATTAATAAAAAGCAATTGCAAAATAATGCATACTGTGATCATGTATACAACTCATAGAAAAAATCTAACCACAGATTTCTATAAGCACATATAAATATTTGTTATTTTAAAAAGAAATATTAGAAGCAAACTCAATAGTGGTTGCTGCTGGGGTGGTAGGGGTGTGGTGGAACAGTTTTAGAGGGAGACAGATGGCGTTCAACTTCATGTAATGTTTTATGGGTTTGAAGCAAATAAAATAGTAACAGTTGTCCATTTTGTATGGCAGGGATCAAGTATAGTATTATTTTGTATATTGGAATTTGAAAAGTTTCTCCAGTTTGAAAAAAAAAAGGGAAAGAAATACAAAAAGATTTGAACAAATATCTCAAGGCTGTGTTTCTTTGCTCTAGGGAGCCACTCATTTTTCTCTAAGCTGTTTTTTTGTTTGTTTTGCTTTTTTGAGACAGAGTCTCACTCTGTCGCCCAGGCTGGAGTGCCATGGTGCAATGTCACCTCACTTCAATCTCCATCTCCTGGGCTCAAGCTATCCTCCTGCCTCGGCCTCCTGAGTACCTGGAACTACAGTCACACGCCATCATGCCTGGCTAATTTTTTGTATTTTTGGTAGAGACAGGGTTTTGCCATGCTGCCCAGGCTAGTCTTGAACTCCTGGGCTCAAGTGATCTGCCCGCTTCAGCCTCCCAAAGTGCTAGGATTACAGGCATGAGCCACTGTGCCTGGCCCTGTCTCTAAGCTTTCTAACAGCCAATATAAAGGAAGGAACCAGGTCAGTTGTATAATTCCCAAGGTCTGGTCATGAGTGTCTTCAGTGTGGAAACAGATCCAGGCTTTGGGAACCCAGCTACCCTAGTACTAAGAACCCTAGAAGCAGTGGCAGCTCTAGAATGTCCACACAGGAGGGTGTATAAGCCAACCACTGGGCGTTCAGGAGTATGTGTGCATGGAGGACGGGGCTGTTTGTTAGGAATCTGCATTTGTATATCTCTTCACCTAAACTTGTTTGTAAGAAAGGCTCAGGTGGGGACCACCTTTGGTTCTGCTGCTGTGTGATGTCATGAACAGCCTCCCCTTGACAGCCTTGCCACCGACCAGTGACCAGTTTATTTGAATGGTATCCGGCAAGGTTCAATCCCTAAAGCCCGACTCCTGTAGGGCAGACCCCCAGCTCTCTGCTGAGCTAGCCTGGCCCAGGGGTGGACTTTTGAACCCCTGAAAGAGTAAAGAGGACATGCATCCTTAAAGCAAGTACAAACAGTATATCCCTCCTTTTGGCTGAGCTTGCCACAAAGGCAGAGGAGTGGTAAGCTGAAGGGTGTGCTGCCTGGCAGGCACCTGGGAGGTCACCAATATCTTCTTCCCCTTGTAAGATAAGACAGTCAAGTTGGGAGCAGGCATGGCTGCACCCTTGTGGAAGCTCAGGAGATTGGGGGCTTGCCTCTCTAGACTGCCATCCCACCCCCTCTCAAGAGGAGCCCAGGGGGTCTCACGGCTCCACCAGGTTTGTCTTTGGGAAGCGTGTGGAGTTGGCTCCATCGCACAAATATACGGTGATGGAGGCATCTGGGGTCTACTCCAAGACAGTCTAGCCTGAAAAATGTTTAACGCAGACGTAACCAGATATCCACCCCCACCCCCACCAATTCTGCCAAAAAAGAATTTGAGAATGTTTGCCCAGACGCCCCACTCTTCCTGGTGTGTCCCCTGGGTGCACTGCTTGGGAAATGAACTCCACTGTGACAGCATGAGGTGTGAAGCTGACGTTTGACAATCGGTTTATGTGGCTTTCAGAAGAGTTGCTCTATTTCCTTGCCCTGTGGCAATAATTAACAAAGAGAACCAACTGCCTATTGAGGCCTCGCCCAGAGCACTTATTCTCTAAACAGCTGCTCTGCAGAGCGAGGGTTCTGGAGCCAGAATCCAGCCCCACCCCTTCCTAGGTGGCAAATTACTTCAACTTGCTGAGTTTCAGCATCCTTATCTCTAAAGGGGAGATAATCATGTACCTGCTTCCCTAGGTTGTTGTGGGAAGTGCGTGAGTGGGCTTGCGCTAATCATAAACATTTACTATTATTATTATTTATGTGGGTGGTAGCATTTCTACCATCGAGTCCTTCCTTCTACCTTCTGCCCTCCAGACAAATCTCAATCCCTCTGTGACTCGACCCTCCAGGCCTTGAAATGCTTTCCTTGATTTGATACTGGCAGCAAGTCATTCCACCTCTTCATGGCAACACCAGCTCAGACAAACCATGCTTCAGTCTGGGCCTTAAGACAGTTTCCTGGGTCAGATGGTTTCCAGGGTTCTGGGGTTTGTGTCATTGAGCGGAGGTGGAGTGGGGGTTGGCAGCGCCAGGCCCCTCACCCCAGTGGCGGCTTTCTGAGAAGGGCATCCCCTTTTCCCTCACTCCTTCTCTCCCACTCTCCCCACCATCTCCAAGGGAGAGTGAAAATTGGGATTCAGTTAATCCTGAAGAAAACTTCCCTCAACTCTTTCTTTGGAAAAAGGGTCTGTGAGCTGAGAAGTCCTGGTTGCTGGATTGGCCAAGTTGTGTGGAATGAAACAAGTAATTTCTGAGGTGATAAGAGAGACTCACAGGCCTCTACAAAGAAGAAATAGGAAAGGCCTGCTGGATATTGTGGGGAGGATGCCCAGGGACCCTCGCTAAGCTCCCTTCTGCACACAGCTGGTCTGCCTGCATTAGCATGCCAGTGCTGAGGGCCGCTGGGAGCCACACTTTATGGATTATCTGGAGCTAAGAGTAATCCCAAAATTCACAAACACAGGCCCCAGGAATAACAGAGAGATGAAAATTGAGTGGGTAGGGTGAAGGGGCACTGACTCCTGGCAAGCAAATAATATTATGTTCCCATGAAAATATTCTCAAACTTTTAGGTTTCAGAACACGTTTTCACTCTTAAAAATTATTGAGAACTCAATAAAATAAAATAAAGAACTTTGTTTTTATGGGCTATATCTGTTGATATTTACTGCATTAGAAAGTAAAACTAAGAATATTTAAAATGTGTATTTATTTACACCAAGAATAGCCAAATAAGCCCATTACGTGTTAGTACAAATAGCATGTATTTATGAAAAATGACTATATTTTCCACAGCAAAAAAAAAAAAAAAGAAAAAATCAATGAGAAGAGTGGCATTGTTTTGCACTTTTGCAAATCTCTTCAGTGTCTGGCTTAATAGAAGACAGCTGGATTCTTCTACCTGCTTCTGTAGTCGGTCTTTCGTCATATTGCACATTGCGTAGCTTCTGGAAAACACCAGTGTATACTCCTGAGAGAATGAAAGTGAAAAAAACAAATAATATCTTAGTATTACTATGAAAATAATTTTGATCTCAGGCCCCCACCCCCACCCAGGGGTCTCCAAACCACACTTTGGGAACTGCTGTTCTAGTGAACTCTGGAAATAACTCTTCCACCCTTCAAAGATTCCAAAAGTTTCTTCTCACTTTGTAGCTTCCTTCCGTTTTATTCTTTCTCTAACCCTGGTCTGCATCCTAGACCGCTGGGCCATTGGAGAATCTCAGACAGGGAGGCTAAAGGCTGAGAATCAGGAGATTTGAACCACTGTCCAGGTGCCAGCTCCGTGTAGCCTGAGAAGTACCAGTGGTGGCTGGGATTCTGTAGCACCTCCAGTGAAGCACAGAGATGGCCTTGTTGGGACCCTCCCCGTATACTATGATGGGAGAAGACTCAGGACAGCACCAGACTGGAAGATGTGTGTTTTGCCTGAGTTCCTGGGCCAATCGGTAGCAGGACCAATATGAAAACTGACATTGGCTGGTCCTAGCACCTTATCTGCCAACCCGCATTACTCAGTTTCCCCACGTATAAAATGGAGATGATTGTGCTGTCCATTCCTAGAATTTGATTTTGCCCTTTTTTTGCCTGGGTCGTTGATCATCTGTTTCAATACCATTATTTTATAGATACTGAAATTGAGACCAGAGATCAAGTGACCCATCTAAACTCACATGGCCAGTACTCAAGCTCCTGGTTTCTGCACTAAGGCCAATTTTTTTTTTTTTTTTTTTTTTTTAGATGGAGTCTTGCTTTTTCGCCCAGGCTGGAGTGCAGTAGTGGCACAAGCTTGGCTCACCGCAACCTCCGCCTCCTGTGTTTAAGCGATTCTCCTGCCTCAGCCTCCTGAGTAGCTGGGATTACAGATGTGTGCCACCACACCCAGCTAGTTTTTTGTATTTTTAGTAGAGACAGGGTTTCACCATGTTGGCCAGGCTGGTCTTGAACTCCTGACCTCAAAGGATCCGTCGGCCCCAGCCTCCCAAAGTGCTAGGATTACAGGCGTGAACCAATGTGCCTGACCTTAAGGCCAGTATTTTTTTCACTGCCTGGCTCATGCCTGTAATCTCAGCACTTTGGGTGGCCGAGGTGGGCAGGTCGCTTGAGCTCAGCAGTTGGAGACAAGCCTGGGCAACATAGTGAAACCCTATGTCTACAAAATATACAAAAATTAGCTGGGCATGGTGGCACATGTCTGTGGTCAGAAGGCTGAGGTGGGAGGATCGCTTGGGTCTGGGAGGCAGAGGTTGCAGTGAGCGGAGATCACATCACTGCACTTCAGCCTGGGTGACCAAGTGAGATTCTGTCTCAAAGAAAAAAAAAAAAAGGGAAGAAAGAAAAGGAGGAACGGAGGGAGGGAGGGAATATAAAATGAGACAGTTGGACAAGAATAATCTTCAAGTCCTTTCCAGCTCTGGAGTTTAGCAAATCTCATTTAACTTGTGCTGAATGCTGGCCCAGTTTTCTGGAAAAGTTCTTGGTCATCGTGTCCTAAGTGAAGTGTTTGCTGCATGTTCTGTAGACAAAGCAGCTTCCCTCTGCGGATTTTTCACTGCATGATCCTAACAGAAGAACAGAGACCCCACAGATACTGCTAACAGTTACAGCACTTTCCGAAGATATGGCTGGGGGAAGCTTGAAAACTTCTCTGTAATGAAAAAAGAGCTAGAAAACGAGATACTTCCTTACCCCGGTGAGACCGTATGCCTCTCCACCACTGTTGTTTCTCTTTGTGCTGCTTCATACCTGCATCCGCGAGACTCAGGCAAGACCCCAGGAGTGGAGAAGGCTCCATAACGGCCCCTTCACATCTCCTGGTACAAGGTACAGGAGCACCTATGATCAAATGAGTAGTCAGTGGTACATAAAGGAGCAAAATAATACATTATATCCAAGAATAATCGGATCAAGCAAGTGGAGGGGGGAGATTAATGAATTAGGAACCAAATGAGAGTGGATGGAGAGCCTCAGAAGGCTGGAATGAGGCTGATTGAAAATCCATTTCCCATAAACCAACTGCCTTCTCTGCAGAGGCTCAAGGCTGTGTGGACAATAATATGTAGATTGGCGGGAAAGCTATCCTCCTTGCAAGCTGGAGAGAGACAGTGTTTTTTTGTGGCACTAGATAAGAAAGAGCGGCATGAAGAGAGAAACAGATCAACGGAACAGTAGGGGCCATTTGCTTTTCCACATCGTTCCGTCTGCTCTAGGTTCTGGGGTCTCTGATTAGCTCTGTGTCTTGCTGGGTGATTTAACAGATTTTTTTTTCTGACTTACTGACAAGGAAGCTCCAAACTTCCAATAAACCTGCCATGGAAGCCAGCTGGGACCCAAGGAGAGAGCCACAAGGGTGTTTTAAAAGCACCTGGCTCTCTGGGGAAGCTGCTGAGATGTAGGTGTTAGTAATTCTCTCTCCGACTGCTTCTTGCTGCAGGCTGGCCAGCCTTGGCTTACCCCAGAGGGCGACAGGGACTTTGGCCAGAAGAGTCAGGGAAGGAGACAGGGGTGCAAACTGGGTGAGACCAACCTTGATCACTGTAGGATCCCAAGCCCTCAGAGTGGGGCCAGGCCTCTGGGGTAGGCCCTCGGTCATGGGCCCAAGTTGCAGGAGGACTCACTTGTTATAGGACGCATCTGATTCTTCTGCAAGGGAGATTCGTGTCCAGAGGAGAGCCATAACTTGCTAGGGCTGGAGTCGATTCCCCGTCCACACCCACCTCCTCTTATATGTGTGTGATTCTTCAGCCACTGTTACATGGAAGCAGAGATGAAACATTGCCTCTGGTATGAGAATACAGGCCTTCTTACACTGCTGCAAAAGTATGAATTGGTAAACTCTGGTGGGGGTTAATTTGGCAATACATGACAAAAGCCTTAAACAGGCAATGCTTTCCCCCAACAACTGCATTTCCAAAAATATATTCACAGGAAATAATCAAACAGCATTTGAAAGTGAATGTACAAGGGTGCTTTTGTATTGTTGATTATCACAGCATCAGAACACTGGGAAAGCTCTCGACATCCACCAATAGCGTTGGTTAGTAACTGAGGGTATAACCATGCCTTGGAGTAGTAGATAACCATTCAGAATGATGCTGTGGTGCCATATGTGTTAACACGGACGCATATTTACAGCATGTTGGATTTTAAACGGCCAATTACAAAACAGCATTGCATGATGTCATTCCTCTTGTTTTAAACAAATAAATATCACACATATGCATGAAAACAGTCTGAAGGATACATATGACATGTTGACCGTGGCCATTCAACATGCTAGGGTTTCAGATGGTTGTTTTTCTTTTTGCATGCCCATTCTATATAATAAGGATATATTTACTTGTGCAGTGTTTAAAGGGTAAGCTGGGGAAAACCTGGGTCTATTGCTGGTCAGCTCCTAGCTCTGCTGTTCCTCATTGTTGAGCACAGGAAGGCAAGGCTTAATCCACCTTCCCGAAAGACCACCAGGAGACACAGTCTCATTACACAGTGCAGGCAGCTCTGGTAGAGGGACCAACCCAATTCCAGAAAATCCTCAGGGGCTCAGAACCATCCTCCCCTTTCCTCTAGAGATGGAAAAAGTCCACCAGGGCAGGGACCCTGAATCACTTGTCCCCCTGCCTTCAGAGGAAGCCCGGAAGCCCTCCCAGGCTCTCACCATGCTGCCCAGGTCATGGGTAGGGGAAATGTGGGAACAGCAGGAGGGAAATAGAGAATAAATGGCGTAAACTAAATTTGTCTGATGTTCCAGCAGAGAAAATCTTGTGATGAAGCCGACAAGCATTAAAAAAAAATTTTTGCATACAACAACAAAACATTTTGATCCCAGTGCCTGTTAACCTTTTCTTTCATCCACCAAGGAAAAACCAAGACAGAAGTCTTTAAGGCATCTCACCTTTTCACTTGTGATAATTTAGGGGACGTGCAGGATAAAATCATTGGTGAACAAATGTATAGTTCCTTTCCACATATATTGCATCTTTAGATTCTAAGCCTCCCAAGCATATTAGAGTAAATGCCTCCTTTCTGAGGTTCTGATGGACTAAAGAGCAGCCCAAGGACTAGTGACCAATTGTGAAACAAAGTGTGGCTTTAAGAGTCACTGGCCTGGGCTGGGTGCGGTGGCTCATGCCTGTAGTCTCAGAACTTTGGGAGGCCGAGGCGGGAAGATCACGACGTCAGGAGTTCGAGATGAGCCTGGCCAACATGGTGAAACCCCATCTCTACAAAAAATACAAAAGTTAGCCAGGCATGGTGGCCTGTGCAGAAGGATCACTTGAACCCAGGAGGTGGAGGTTGCAGTGAGCCAAGATTGTCAGCCTGGGCAACAGAGCGAGACTCCATCTCAAAAAAATAAAAAATAAAAAAATAAAAAATAGGAGAAGAAGAGACTCTGGGCCAATACTGGCTTCCCCCAAAACAGGGCTCTGATAAAAGCAGGGCTGGAGAACACGGCCTTAGACTTCCCATCAAAGTGTCAGCTGCTACTCCTTTTCCCCAAATCTCTGCCTATTCTTTCCGCAGAACCCAAGGATATGGTGCTAGGAAAGGCCAATTTGAAGCACATTTGCTAGAGAAAAAAAGAGCAAGCCAAGACAGTAAACCTGTCTATGCCTCCAAAGTGGAGCAGATAAGCCAGCTGGGCTACCCAAACCCCATGGTCAGGCAGAGGCAAGGCAGGGAGTGAAAGAGGAATGAGCAAAGTGGTCATGAATCTCTCATGTAGAGGGACAGTTCATCTCTGGCAGTCTTTCCTCCCCCTGTAGGGAGAGAGCCCGGACATGGGAGCATGAATGGTTTCGCAACACTCACCCCAGTGGGGAAGAGGGCTGAGAGAAGTTCTGTCCCCCATACAGACAGAGGCAGAAACAATGGGAGGAGAGGGACAAGTTTCCTCGCTCAACAGCAATGCCACAGCTGATGGAAAGAAAAGGACTGAAGGTCAGCCTTGAGACACCCTCATTCATCCCACCTTGTGTCCAGACCAGCCCTAATCTCTGCTTTTCTGATTGACCTGCCTTGACTTGGAGAGAACTTCCCAACGTCTTCTTCCTGCCTGTAGATCTGCTCAGCCTTGTCTCTCCATCTCCCTAGTTGACCTGTCTGTGCAGCAGGGACTCTGTAGCCACTCCCTGGGAAACCCTCAACTTGCTCAAAGAGACAATCGTCCTTGGTTGCCAGTCTTGTCACACTTCCTGAAGTGCTGATGAAAGACAGTGAGGGCCTAGGCGTGGTGGCTCACGCTTGTAATCCCAGCACTTTGGGAGACCAAGGCAGGCGGGCAACTTGAGACCAGGAGCTCACGACCAGCCTGGCGAACATGGCAAAACCTCGTCAATAATAACAATAATAATAATAATAATAATAATAATAAAATTAGTTAGGCTTGCTGGCACGTGCCTGTAATCCCAGCTACTCAGGAGGCTGAGGCACAAGAATTGCTTGAACCTAGGAGGCAGAGGTTGCAGTGAGCCAAGATCACATCACTGCACTCTAGCCTGGGCAACAGAGCCAAACTCCATCTCAAAAAAAAAAAAAAAAAAAAAAAAAAGAGAGAGAGAAAGAGAAGATCAGACAGGAGAGGAGACGAGGGGTTGGGCCAGAGGGATGAAATTTTGTTCCCAGGACACAGAACTAATCCCAAAATCAAGTTTCATAAATGACCTGCCCACTCTCTCCTTTAGACAATAAGCAATATAGATGATTTAATAAGGATCCCTAATAACCAACCAGAGGACTCCCTCCTATTTCAGAAAATGGCCTTAGTTATGAAATAGCCATAGATAACATATTTGGAGGGCCGGCCCCTTTTCTGGGAACTAAATTCTGCCCACAGTCCCTCTGCAGGGGCAGGTTTAGATGGCCATGACTTGCCTTAGGTTATTTTCCCCTCCCCTCCAGCTGCAGTTGATTGGACCAGGGGTGGTCACCTGATTTCAGAGAAGCTAATATAAGTTGGTGAGTTCAGCCAATCAGATTCTCCCTTGCATATGCAAAATGAGAGTATTTGGTGGTGGGCGTTTGAGAAAGGCCTCACAGAATGGGAGTTAGAGTTAATGACAGGGAAAACCCAAGCCACATGCAAGACAAAATTGGAGGGGAGAGGGTGGCCAGAGGAAGTGGAACAAGATGGTTTGCAAAGAGAATAAAGCAGACCAGGCGAGAAAAGCCAAGGTTGAGGAAAAATGGGAAGCGAGAAGAAGCGGGAAAGAGGATGGAAAGAAGGAAAGAGAAATGCAAAGAGACAGAGATATGGGAGGTGGTGGAGGAGGGAAAGAAATCTTCTTGGCTTCTTGTGGCTTCTCCATTACCAGCTTTAGTTTCTGAAAGGCATATCTTTATTTCTATTTCTGTAACCTGATTCCATGTCCTTTTAGTCATCATCTGTTTCTTTAAGTTTCTGTTTCTCACAACCATTGAGCTCTGACTCAAACTATGATCTTAGCCATTGTAGCAGGATGGGGCAACTTGAGAGAGTTGCAATCTGCCACTGGACATGCTCCATCAAGTGGAACAGGCACTGGAGCGACACAGCCAGTTGCAGGGACTAAACAAAATCAGGGGCAGGTTCCACATGGAAATCTGGGCAGATGAGCAATTGGCATCTGCAAAGAGATTGGCAGAGAACTGGGTCCTGGGCTGAGAGACAAGAAAGGGCAGGAAGGGAGAAGGGAACTGGTCAAGTCAAAGCTGGGTTCTAGTTCTGGACATACTGGGTAGGGATTCACCCAGATGGAGCCCATAACCAGAACCAGTGGCCAAGAGCTTGGGCGTTATCTTTTAAAGACCTTTATAGGAAAAAAAACTCTTAAAAAAAACAATAAATACCATTTTTGTAAGTGTCTCCAAAGGCACCACAGAGTTGGTGTCTTTATTTAAAGTGGTAGCTAATGCCAAGTCATTTCCTGCAAGCTTTGGAGGACTTGAACTCTAACTCCAAAGTGCCTGGGGCCTCTATCTCACTCCACAAATACTTTATCCTCTTGTAGTTTATTGTTGTTATTTGCAGTAGTTATGTTCTATAAAGTTGCCTCCAATGCTGAATTAGCAAACACTAAGCCATTGCTCCCAGGGGAAATATAGGGTTAGGTTCCTGCAAGCCTCTGGCCACATTTTCACCAACAGATCAATACATAACCTTATTTTGTGTGTGTTTTGCTTCAAGATGCCATATTTAGTATATATTGTTGCCTCATTAACAGTGAATTCACAGCCAACAGTGCAATAACTCATACCTGAACAGTTCATCTAATAAATGTATTTTCTTTAGAAGACCCCACTAGACAGCCCAACTGAACATTGAGGACCCCTGCCAATTTCTTGTACTCTCCTATGCTTCTGGGCCTTGCTACATGTTATTGCTGCTTCTCTAAGTATCTTTTCCAATCCTCCCTCCCCACAGACTCTTTCTACAACTTGCCCTGCCCCCTAATACCCTGACAGCTGGTGAACATCTACTCATTTTTCAGCCTTGGGTCCAGCACTACCTCCTCAGTGAAACTTTTGCTGAAAATCTAGAGTGTCAGAGGTTCTCCCTCACGATCTGTTTCTGTATTAGCACTAGAACTCTTACCATGCTAGTGGTATAATTCTTTACAAATGTGTAAAGAACTCTGATTCTTTTGGGGAAGAGAGCATTATGAATTATTAATTCTTGTAGCCATAGTGCGTAGCACAGTACCTGGCTCCTAAGAGTCACGCAATAAATATCTGATGAAAGAATCATCCAGGCTGGAAGGAAGCCCAGAGTCTGTGCTGGGCTAATAGCAATGGGGACTGTATCTGATTCTCAGCGAGCTTACCTGCTGATCAGACTTGGTCCTATCAGATGCTGAGCTTGCAGGAAGGGATCCAGCTGAGAAGAGAGGGGTCAACACCAGGTAGGGCCTGGGAGCATTCATCATTGCAGACAGGTGAGTACAGGTCACCATTAACTTTCAGTTGGAGGAGCGCTCATGTGCACTCACAATATGGGCAGCCAAGTTCTAGGCCTCGGAGGATCAGGCTGAATTGGTGGAGGGATCGAGATGTTGCAGCTGGAAATAAAAAGAGATACACGTATTATGCAATTGCACTTACTTACATAAAACTACTGAGAAATAATTTGCTTCATTACCATGCTACTAAAACTGCTAGTTGTAATGTTGGGTCAAATAAATAAGTTATACAAAAAGCCATATGTACAGATCATTGCTTTCCTAACTTTTTGTCTCCCTCCTTTTATTAGTTTACCCCCTGACCTCTATATTTTAAAAGATACTGTCATCCATCAGGGAAGTGGCATTTTTAGTAACTCTTTTTCCATTATTATTAGAGATACAGAACTGCCAATCAAGCTTCTGACCACCAAGAAATACCACTTGGATTTGCTCTATTCCAGCCAAAAGTAAAGAAGCTTGCTATTTACTCTCCTTAAGGTGGTTAAATATATTATTTCTACCTGGCTTTTAAAATATTGAAATACAGTTTGGGAGGTCGAGGCTGGCAGATCGCTTGAGCGAGCCCAGGAGTTTGAGACCAGCCTGAGTAATGTGGTGAAACCTCATCTCTACAAAAAAAAAAAAAAAAAAAATTTACTCTGGAGTGGCAGCATGCACCTGTAGTTTCAGCTACTCAGGAGGCTGAGGTGGGAGGATTGCTTGAGCCCAGGTGATAGAGGCTGCAGTGAGCTGAGATGGCACCACCGCACTCCAGCCTGGGCAACAGAGTGAGACCCTGTCTCAAAAAAAAAAAAAATTGGAATAACTTCCCTGTTACTCATTACTAAGAGTGTCATGGACCTCTTCAGAAACGCTGGGTTGAGAAAAACTGAAATCGATGTCTGAATTTGCTAGTGGTTCATGATGGTGGCAGAGATATGTGAAGACGCTACTTGGGTTTTTGCCCATGACTCACCCAGCCCAGGTTGAGGAAAACTGAAATCAACGTCTGAATTCGCCAGTGGCTCATGACAGCAGTGTAGATAAGTGAAGATGCGACTTAGGTTTTTGCCCATGACTCACCCAGCCCCGGTAAGGTGACTTTCAGCCTCTCTCCAGTGCTTTGTTCTCAATAGATCCAGATGATCCTCCTCAGCTGTCCCTACCCTTGGCATGGTGAGCTGTGAACTTTGGTTTTTCCTGTATTTTCCGCAGCCCCCTGCACAGTGGCAATCAATGTTGATTGAATGATCACATCTTCAATGGTGGCCCACAGCTCCCTGTGGTAAAGTGTAAAATTCTCTTGTCTAAGGTCCCTCTTGTGATGTTCCTAGGGTCTCTGGGCGCTTTTTGCTGAGAAGATGTACAAGAAACGGCCAACCCTGTGCTAGAGAGTTCAGAAAAAAAATTCCAGGAAAGCTGTGGGGCACAGCGGAGATGGAGCAGGCTGCCATCTCATCGTCAACTGCACCAGTTCGAAGAAGTAAATTACATAATTATATGTTTGAAAGCTTTCATAGGCACATAAGATGAAATTCCTTGGCAGACCACTGTTCCTATCCACAGGGAGAAGTTCCTGAGGTCCTTCTGCTTTGTGGTTGACACTTGCTAGTTGGACATTCCTGTTCCCTGAACTCCTTCTCTGTCACCTCCTCCCTGCTGCCCAGAGTAGCCTGTCAGCTCACCCAGGCTGGGCCTCTGAAGATCATGGAAACACCTTTGGCTGAGGTGCCAGTGAGGCCTGGGTGCTGATTCTAGACAGACAGAAAGCACTGAATTGGGAGGCAAGGCCCCAGGCTCTGCTTTAGCTCTGAAATTTACTTATCTGTGGGGCCTCAGTTTCTCCACCAAGGGTTGTCTGCTCTGGAGAAATGCAGTCCCCTCTTCCATGGTCCTGTGAATCTGGTTGGAGCAAAGCACATAGCCATGCTGACTGGCCTCACTTTCAACTCCTCACCATGAGTCTCAGGTGGGCGCTCAGCACTGTCTAGAAGTCCTCACACATTTCTCCACGGGAGTTCCTCTCCCTTCTTCCAAACGAGTGCCCCCTACCTTCTCTGCTCTTCTCAAACCTCAGATCCTTTCCCCTTGCTCATTAGTATCAGCTAATATATGGTTTATTTCACTGAAAAAAGTAGAAGCATCAAAAGGGAACCACCTTTCATCCTGTCACTGATCGGCCAACCCACCCACATCTGCGTCATCTGCTCGGCCTCCCCTGTCCCTGCAGCCCAGGTCTCTAAGGCTGAGCCTCCACTAGGGTGACCAATCATCTCAGTTTCCTTGGGTCTGAGGGGCTGTCTGGGAGGTGGGACTTTCAGTACAAAGAATGGGCAAGTCCTGGACAAATGGGGATGAGTTGGTCACCCTACCTTCCCCCGTACACTAGATTCCACCTCATCATGTAATCAGGGGCTCTGCTCCTGTAATTGTGTCTTCTCTTTCCTGCACTACCATTTTTTCTTTCTTGTCTTAATGAGTCTCATTAGCACATAGACATGCCGTGAATTTACCCATCTTTGGAAATCTTGGGAGAATCACTTGAGTCCAGGAGTTCGAGACCAGCCTGGGCAACAAAGGGAGACCCCGACTCTACAAAAAGTACAAAAGTTAGTTGGGCATGGTGGTGTGCACCTGTAGTCCCAGCTACTCAGGAGGATGAGGTGGGAGGATTGCCTGAGCCTGGGAGGTCGAGGCTGCAGTGAGCCATGATCAGGCCACTGGACTCCAGCCTGGGCAACAGAGTGAGGTGCCACTCTCTAAAACAAAAATAAAAATCCTTCCTAGGTCCCACTTTCCCCTCAGCTCCTGCTCCATCTCTCTGCTTGCCTTTAGAGCTAAACTAGCAGTTAGCCAGGTCCTACTTTCTCCACATACTGGCTTGTGGGCCTTCAGGGTTAGCGCTGTGAGCTGGGTGTCATGGGCCTTAACGCTGACTCATAATGTGAGCCAGTGCTTCCCATATTACAGCTAGGGGTGCCAGGGGCCTGATGAATTGGGGTCATTTGGTTATGTGTCAGTCCTTTTCACCTCTGGCTATGAACTCCTTGCCTGGGGCCTTGCTCTGCTCATCTCTGCATGCCCATTATCTAGGACATTGCCAGAGACGTAGTAGGAGCAAAATCAGTATCTGCTGAGTACATGACCAAACACGTAGATGAATTTCAGGCCCAGTTCAAAGTGTCTGACCACTTCGGTCACACAGGCCTTGCCTTCCTCTGAACTTCTGGAGCACTTCTTGCCCTGGCTAGGTAGGTGACACTTAGCCACAGTTCCGTGTCACATTTTCCCTATTCCTATGTGGCTGTTTATCTCCAATGGTGTACTAACTCGCAGGCGCCAGGCTTAGCCTTCCTGGATAAAGCTCGCTAGTGCCTTGTAGGCAGCCTGTGCCTTCCACGGCATCGACAGCAGTCAATAAATATATGTGGAATGGCGGAATGCATCCGTCCACTGATATAAATTGTGAAATATTCTAATTGGTACACTCTTCCAGGTACTGTGGGCCATTCCAACAAAAGACATGGCTATTTCTTGTAGGAGTTTGCACAATAAAAGAATGAGAGGTTGGATAAAGAATGACAGAGGCCTATTGTTGCCACATAGGAGCCCACCTTTTTTTTTTTTTAATTTTACTTGAAGTTCTGGGATACACGTGCAGAACGTGCAGGTTTGTTACATAGGTATACGTGTGCCATGGTGGTTTGCTGCACCTGTCAACACATCTTCTAGGTTTTAAGCCTCACGTGCATTAGCTATTTGTCCTGATGCTCTCCCTCTCCTTCCCCTGACCTGACAGGTCCCGGTGTGTGATGTTCCCCTCCCTGTGTCCATGTGTTCTTATTGTTCAGCTCCCACTTATGAGTGAGAACATGCGATATTTGGTTTTCTGTTCCTGTGGTAGTTTGCTGAGGATGGTGAGGATTCCACCTTTTGACCTATCCCAGGGCTCAGGAAAAACAGATATTTGGGGCTCTGGGGAGAGCCAGCAGCCTGCAGTGAAAAATCATTGAACAATGCTTGGGAGATGGGCTCATCAGGCTTCCTGGTATATCTTGGAAATATAATAAATCTGACCCCAGAATACATCACTTGGATGGGCCTGCTTTTAGCGCATTCCCCTAAAATGTCTTTTCCTCCTGTGATTGCAATGTTTGGTTGTGGTTATAACAGCAGATTTCCCACCAAAGAAACATTTCAGTCCTTGCCGGATGAGGTTGGTTGTCTCTAATTTCCTCTCTTAAAATGCTACCCTCTCCACCTGTGACTGCCTTCCTCCCCCCAGTCTCCAAAGAAATACCCACTGAGGCGCTTGGGTACCAGCCTCTGGCAGCCTTTTAGCTCTTCTCTTCCATGCCTTCCATTTTCTCCTCCCCTGGAAAGGCACCTGCAGCCCTAGCAGAAACGTGGAAGTCAATTTGTGTGGCTGGTGCAAGCGTTTTAGCATATTGAGTGGTCCAAATATTTAAATATCTATGATATAGGAAGCGTGGAGAACATTAAAAACCATTTTCTCCCTGCTGATTGCAAGAGAGGAAATACACACAGTCCTGCTCTCCTGCACAGTTGCAAAACTGCTGGCCTAATCATATTGCCTACGTAAAGAACCTCTCCCGCCTCCACGAATCTGGCTTTAGGTTGCATTTACTGTAAACAAAGATGTATTTGGGGGGGGCAGTTGGATTGAGTTTATTGTTTATGTAAATCTCTCAGAATGTGACATAGCAAGATAGCTTCCTATGTTGTGTTGATCCACATTTTAGGCCAACAGCCAGAGTATTTTATCTTTTCCTTCATTATAGTGATCTTCCAATTAGCCGTGGTCTGTAATACCCTGATTTTGGTGGCAGTGGTTTGGACAGGATTGTTTGATAGTTCTGCTCGAGAGGCAAAATAAGGGGCCTTATTATAGAAGTGCAGAGGTTGTGCAGGAGCTGAGTTCTGTTGCAAAGTTTGCCGATAAGGGGAAAACCGGCCCTTAAGCGTCCATTCTGTTCTGTATATTAACACTTCTAATCTGCACTGCTGATAAAACTGCAAGCCATTTGCCTTTGGAGGAATTAGTTCTGCCTCACTTGTGTAACCAGGCGATGGTGATTAACCTTTAAACTGTCCAATATTCCCAGCAGCCTCCTGCTCCAGATTAGAAACTATTTAGTTATGACCAACTAAATTAACAACACTCCCTTCTCTGAAGAATGAGATTTGGAAGGTGGATGCATTTTAAGGTGGAATTGTGTTTTGAATTGGTGATCCATCCTTCTAGGGTGTTTATTTCCTCATCCTTAAAGTTCAGGCTGCCACACTGGGCATGGAAGGCTCAGCTGGGGAGTGGGGAGGTAAGTAGAACGAGAGGGAGACCAGTTGTCCTGGTTGGATTTGTAGACACAAGGTTTTATGGGCACAAAAGAAACCTGCCTTGGGTTCAGATTTCCTTCCTTGTTATCATCCCAGGTGAAAAGGGGACATTAGCTCTTCTGCAAGACCCAAACCATGCTCACAGTGGGACTGAGCAGTTGTTGCTAATGGGGAGATTAAGGAATAAATAAAGTAGCTCCCTTACTCCCAATTTCTTCCTGGAGTTGAATGTCAGGAAAAGAGGCGCTAACTAACTTTCATGTTCCAGACATAGGGATATGCCCACCGCAGGTGGGTCTACCCAGTTGAGCTGCAGCCATGCTAACAATCCTGGTTCAGCCCTCTCCTATCTGCCCATTTCAAATGTGTAATTTATCAGTTGAAACATACCCTCGGTGGTGAGGGCCAGGCAATTATGTAATCGTGTCATGCCTTAAATCCCCAGATTGTTGGTCCTCCCTGGATAACAAATAAAATGGAGCAGCAATCCTCACCACCAGTACCCCACCACCACCCAATGCTGGTAGCGACCTTTTCTGTTTTACCAGTTTCATATTAGCTACCTCCTTAAGAACTGCTAATCTAGATACTGCATTAGCAGGATGTCAGTCAAGCCGTAGTCCACGGCAAAGCCTTCTTCATATACCAATTTAAATCATTCATGGTCTTTTCTTTGGCATTATTCAAAAGATCATAATAATTTTCTTGTGCCCACAGCACAAAAAAATCAATTATTTCCCCACAAAGACTTGAAAGTACTTAGCGAGTGCGGCAAGAAAAGCTGAGGGTGATATCAAATTGAAATTGCACTCATTACATACAACACAATTAGTTGCCACTAGCCTGGCCGGGCTTTAATTCTAAATGGCATATCTTTATTATTACAGAAACAAGCATGCAAATGGCATTGTTCAGGATTTGCCGAAATCAATAGGATATAGTGCTGTGTGTTTGGTGGCCACTGTCACTCACGCTGCTGTGGATGCGAGATAATGTGTGTGTTTGAATTAATGAAGGGAGCAGGCAACATCATAAGTGACACCCAAATAAAAGAAATGGGTACATGATATTTGTAATTATTCTACTTGTGTTTTTGTTGTAAATACTTGTACTTTTTGTTTTTTAATCAAAGGATTAATTGCATTTTAATAAGGCATTATGATTTGCAGAGCTTTAGTTAATTAAAACTTGTAGTATATAATTATGAAGTGATGCTGAGATTTTCTAAAGATCACCTATATGTTTAGAATATGTATAATTTTTCTGTTAAGCAGTGGCAACCTCCCCTCCACCCTTTTTTCCTTGGTCCCTCCCCCAGCAACGGAAGACATGGATGACTTACGTGAAATGTTGGTGAATTGACAATTCTAGGTGGATCTCTGTAAGTGACAAATAGAACCCAATTTAGGTTATTGCACAAACTAAAATGATTCTGAAGGAGCACTCATGTGATAAACTGTAGCAGAAAACTTTCTCCTTGACACTTGCCTTGTCGTTAATCTTCCTGAGATGTAGCACTATAGAAGCTTGGGGAGTTGATGTGAGTTTTAGAGTGCAAACATTGAGATTTTAGACCTGGGTGAGGTGATCTCACTGAGTTGGAATCTAATTGGTTCTCTGCAGCTAGGCCAAAACCCCGGTGGAGTCACTGAACCCCAGCTTGTCCTCTGTGACACTCAAGAGCTTATTTGGGAGGAATGGGATGGGGAGAGGGGATGCTGAAAGTCAAGGGAGCTTGGAATTCCCTAGTGTTAACACATTAGTAATTCACAGTGGAATCCAGCCCAGAGATGTGTAATTGCGTTTCCTGTAGGTGTGTATTATGTGAAGACTGATGGATTAATTGCTAGATAGATGGAATAGAGCTAAGGTAAAACATTATTAAAAAGTTTTAAAATCTTAATGTAACATTTTGAAGTTTGCTTTGGGGATTATTTTTCAACTCAGTCTCCTACTTTCCATTCTCTCTGGGATCAGGAGTGGTAGTTGTCTTTGCAGAAGGAGGGGTCCATTTGTTGAGAGCTTAGTATGTCCTTTGTGAAGGTCAGGTGGCCCTGTGAGGGCAGGTGGATGCGGGAGCTAGGAGCTGGATCTCGTGTGGCCAGTGATGTGACGGGATGAGCTGACTGCAAAAGCCTGGACTCCAGTTACCCTTTGGGGTATTGCCTGGACACCAAGGGCTAATTATTCCCTCCCTATAAACACCCAGATGCTGCAATGAGTAGTATCAAGAATCTCCCCCAACCCCCTGCAAGACAAAGTGAAAGATGAAGTTGAAGGGAACATCCCACGATGTTCATGTCCCAAGCCTGGTTCCCTGGGATGCCCACAACAGTGCTCTAAGTAGGGTGGCCCAAAGCTGATTTAAAATCTAATACTCTCAGGTTGGTCATGGCTTCCTACTTTCACTCTGAAAACCTAGAGCTTGAAAAGGTGGTTCATTCAAAGCTTGCTAAAATATTTGCTCAGCAGCACAATGGTGTGTGATGGAAAATAAGCTCTTGTGGCTTGCTTCATCCTATCAGCCGCGGCCTGCAGCAGGGAAAGAATGAGGGGAGGTCAGTCAATTATGTGTGGTAATCACCGTAAGCATATTATCTGAGACACAGATGTCTTCTATGACCCCACACGACATGGCTATTAACCTCGGAGCAATATAAAAATGGAGTGGGCTTTGGGGGAGGTGTGGAGGTAGGCCAGACTTTCAGGCTAGCCTTGTTCACAGGCTCAGAAAAACAAGTTCTGGACACGAAGACTATTTTCAGAAACCCATCCAACAAACTGACCCCGGCTCACTGTGGCCGGATCCTCTCACCCCACCTTGCTGGAGACCTTTCTGTAGGCCTAGTCATGTGCTTAAGGACTTGCCTCATCTGAAAATGAGACTGACAAATTGACTTGGGAGATATCTTGGACACACAATGGCTCTGGAATGCTACTTTCTGTTCACTAGAGAAAAGGAGAGAGAGGAAAGCAATTGGGGTGTTTGTGTGTGCGTTTAAATAAGTCCCCCTCCAGTTGTGGATGTGGGTGGTGAGGGAGGACAGTGGGGTCACCCAGGCACGTTGGGGGGACCCAGCAAGGCCGCCCAGGGGACACGGACTCTTGGAAGTCAGCGTTGTTGTGCCTAATGGGCTTTTACCCCATATCTAACCCTGATTCTGTGGTCTTTCCAAAGAAGTTCATGCTAGAGCCTGGCACGGGGCTGGGCACAAGGGGATATTCCTTGAACGCTGTTGCTGGTTTGGCGACTGGCCCCAGATGCACACATTTAGGTAAATGTTTGACCTCTTAAACACCCTGGAGCAGGTACTGAGGACTCAAAAATAAATAAACCTGCTTCCAGTGCCCCAGGAGCTTAGATTCTACAGGGGGGGGGATGGAGGAAAGCCTTGAACATAAATGAGTGTAAAAGACATGTTTCAGATGGTGGAAGAGGCCTGCCCAAAGGGTCCATGTAGAAAAGAAGAAAGGATTGTTCCAGCCAAGGGGCTTGGAAAATTTCCCTAGAGGAGATGATACTTGAGCTGGGATGCCTGAGTTGATAATAATAACCATCTTTCCGGAGAACTTGCTAGGAGCAGGGGACTGTCCTAGGCACGGCGCGATCTCGGCTCACTGCAAGCTCTGCCTCCCAGGTTCACGCCATTCTCCTCCCTCAGCCTCCCGTGTAGCTGGGACTTCAGCCACCTGCCCCAACGCCCGGCTAATTTTTTTTGTATTTTTAGTAGAGACGGGGTTTCACCGTGTTAGCCTGGATGGTCTCGATCTCCTGACCTTGTGATTCGCCCGCCTCAGTCTCCCAAAGTGCTGGGATTACAGGCATGAGCCACCGTGCCCGGCCCTGGTTCTCACAACAACTCTGCAAGCAGCATTGGACCAATCAGGAAGCTGAGGCTCCAGGGCGGGTAAAGCTACTTGCTCCAGGTGTCAAAGCTGGTGAGCAGTGTAGCTAAGATTAGAATTGGATCCAGTTGGATCCAAACTCCACTAAAAAGGACAATGTGTTTGCCTGTTGTGCAAGAGGGACAGCATTTGAGGTGAAGGGAGGAGTGTAGGTAAGAGTTGGAGGCATGTCCTAGGAAGTGCAGGAACCACTGAGGGTTCGAATAGGCAGTTGTGTGACCAGCAATCCAGCGAGGTAGTCAGAGCCAGTCGTGGGGCCATTGGCTTCATTCTGTCAGCAACAGAAGGACAGCATTGTCAGAAGCATGTTTCTAAAAGGGTTGAGAGTTGCAGGGCAAATGAATTGGAGGGGCTGAAGATTGGAGACCAGAAGCCAGTTGGGGAGCAATTGCAGCTAGTCCCACTGCAGGTTGTGAGCAGGATGATGATGGAGAGGCAGCGATGGAGGCCCCATGTGTTAGAGAGGGGCCAGGAGGGCTTGGCAGCTGACGGGATGTGGTGGGGAGGGAAAGGGAGGAGTCCAGGATGACTCAACCCCTTATGTGTCATTCAGTGGATGCTACTTTCACCTCTTTTTTTGTGATAAAGAAATCGAGGTTCAAAAATGTTGTCAATTGCTCAAAGTCAAGTAACTTGTCTTTTCTCCAAGTCAGGTTTGTAACGAAGCCTCTGGCTTTGCAGCTAAGGCTAGTTCTTGCCCACTATGCTCTTCTGTCCGTGTGTGTGTGTGTGTGTGTGTGTGTGTGTGTGTGTTTGGGGGCTGGGTGGGGGGCAGCAAATTACTCCTTTAATCCGTGACCTCCTGCCCTTTCATGTGCCTCCTTCTTTCTTCCCTTTCCCTAAACTTTCACTACTGAAAAAGAAGTTTGGTGGCATGTTATCAAAACTGCAGTGGCAACCCCAGCTACTTTTATATTTAAAAGCTGTTATGAGAAGGTGATATTGCCAAATGGGCTACCGAAGAGATTGTGTTGTAACATATTAGAAAAGAAACTTAAAATAGCTGAATGTGCCCCTGCCACGGTGAGCTTGACTTGTAAATGACCCTATTGAATTTGTTTTTACAAAGTCATAGCAGACATGCTAGGAGGTCATTTCAGCATCCTCTCTACTACTTTCCATCTTCCTAACAGAGATGATTTGGTTCAGATGTCCACCTGACTTAGTGTGGCCTTCTGCTTCTGGGGAAGCTGGCTCTGGTCTTAGCCTCAAAGGGCAAATCTTGATTGGTTCAAGCTAGTCATATGGTCCCCTGGGCCTGGGTGGGTGATGTAATGAAATGGTCAACGAAACATGGACAGATATGCTGGAAGCCTTCTGGGAAATGTTCCCTGTCTCCTGAGGAAATCCCTCTGTCTCAGTCAGTTTGAGCAGTTATTAAAAAATACCTTAGACTGGGTAACTTATAAACAATAGAAATGTATGGCTCACAGTTCTGGAGGCTGGGAAGTCGAAGACCAAGTTACCAGCAGATTCAGCCCATTCCTCATAGATGGTGCCTTCTATGTGTCCTCACGTAGAAGGGCAAAAGGGCACTAATTCTATTCATGAGGAGGCCCCATGACCTAATCACCTCCCCAAGGCCTCCCCTAATACATCACGTTGGGGTTTAGGTTTCTTTCTTTCTTTCCTTCTTTATTTGGAGATGGAGTCTGGAGTTCAGTGGTGCAATCACAGCTAGCTGAAGCCTCAAACTCCTAGGCTCAAGCAATCCTCCTGCCTCAGCTTTCTGAGAGCTGGAAATACAGATGCATGCCACCATGCCTGGCTAAATTAAAAAAAAATTTTTGGCCGGGTGCAGTGGCCCACGCCTGTAATCTCAGCACTTTCGGAGGCCAAGGCCGGCAGATCATCTGAGGTCAGGAGTTCGAGAGTAGCCTGGCTAACATGCCGATGCCACGTCTCTACTAAAAATACAAAAAAATTAGCCACGCATGGTGGTGTGCACCTGTAGTCCCAGCTACTCAGGAGGCTGAGGCAGGAGAGTCACTTGAACCTGGGAGGCAGAGGTTGCAATGAGCCGAGGTCAGGCCAACTGCACTCCAACATGGGCAATAGAGCGAGACTCCATCTAAAAAAAAAAATTTTTTTTAGAGATAGGGTCTCACTCTGTTGCCTAGGCTGGTCTCGAACTCATGGGCTTAAGTGATCCTCTCAAAGTGTTGGGATTACAGGTGTGAGCCATGGCCTAGGGGGTTAGGTTTCATCATAAGAATGTGGGGGGTGGGGGAATAAAATTCAGACCATAGCATCCTCTTTCCCCAGGAAAAAAGGGTCTCTTTTACCTCTATAATGTGTCACGTTTGGGTGTGGTGTGTACAAATGCAGTGTCCATCCTATGATCACAAGAAGAGCAAGATACACACTCAGCAAAGGCAGAGCAGAAAGATGAAATGACCTGAGTTGTCGATGATGTAGCCACCAAGCATAAACTATGCAGTTGGCCTACCTGTGGACCTTGTGTGAAGTGTGATTATTTTAAATTTCCTTGGTAAGTCATGTTTTGAAAAAATTGTGGTAAAATATAGATAACATAAATTTTACTATTTAGACCATTTTAAGTGTATAGTTCAGTGCTTTAGTAAGTACATTCACATTGTTGTACAACCATTACCACCATCCATCTTCAGAACCTCCACCTTCGAAAACTGTAATTCTGTACCCATTAAACACTAACTTCCTATTCCCCCTCGCCCCAGCCCCTGGCAACCACCATTCTACTTTCTCACACTGTGAATTTGACTACTCTAGGTCCCCCGGATAAAAGGAATCTTACAGTATTTGTTCCTTTGACTGGCTTGTTTCATTTAGCATCATGTCTTCCAGCTTCATCTATATTGTAGGATGTGTAAGTCACTTTGAGATGGGTTTTCTGATACTTGCAATTGAAGGCCTCACAAGTCATCAACCCATCAAATCAAGGTTTAAATTTGGTCTTGCCGTCACTGACTCTCAAGTGTAATGGTTAAGAGCATGGACTCTGGAGCCCAAGACCCTAGGCTTACATCCTCACTCTACCACTTACTAGCGGTGTGAACTCAGATGATGTGCTTACCTATCTGTGCTTCAGCTTTCCTAACTGTAAAATGTGAAAAATAAGATTTATTCTGGCACAGGGTTGCTGGAGAACTGAGTTATTACATATAAAGAACCAAGGGGGTGGTGGCTGGCACACAGTTCCTCCTCTCCTTTTTTTTTCTCCTCCTCTTTTTCCTCGTCCTCTTCCTTCTTCCTCCTCTTTCTTCTTCTTCCCCTTCCCCTTCTTCTTTGGCTTCTTCTTCCCCTCCTCCTTCTTCTTCTTTTTCCTTCTCCTTCCTGTTCTCCTTCTTCTTCCCCTTCTCCTTTTCCCCCTTCTTCTCCTTTGTCTTCTCTCTTCTTCTTTGCTATGAGCAGGCAGCCACTTTAGCAGCTTTCCCTGAATGTCCTGCATGAGTTTGTCCTACACCCAGCCTACCTTTAGCAGATGGAGGGTCTGGAATGGCTCACCTCCCCTGCCATCCATTGTTGCTCTGCCTGGAATGAAGATTCTGGGCCTTCTCAGTCTTTCTCTTACTTGAGTCTTTCTGCTCCCATCTGAGCAACATATCCAGCTTCCTCCTGTTCCCCATTCAATTCTGGAAGGACCAACCCAAAGGTCTCAGGTCCCAGAAGTCTAGAGGTGGCTGGTGCTGGAGACAGAAAGCTGGGTGGGCTCAAGGAGGGAGGTACTGGAGTCATGGTGTTGGACCTGGGCGCATGGATGGGAAAGAGCAGAGTGAGCCTGGCTCCTTGCCCCTCTGTCTGGGAATCTGAGGAGATGAGATGCAGCAAGAATCTGGTGGGTGAACTGAGGGAGGATCAGCGGCACAGAAAGCTCCACAGACTGGGGTGTAGACCCAGACACACTTGCTTTGCCTCCAGCAGCTCTGGTAAAGGGTCTAAACAGCCCACTGTTGTCATAGTGGCACTAGAGATGTGACTAACGAAGGAGGAGAGAATAAGGAAATTGCCTTAAAGAGTAGAGGGTAGGAGTCAAAGAAGCAACTCTAGAGGTAGAGATAGGGATGTGTGTGTGGGGGAGGGGTGGGGAGAGAGAGAGAGAGAGAGAGAAATGTGTCTCAATTTCCCCGTCTGCATCAAGGGGATTAAAAAAATGGCTGCCTTTCTTATATTAGGAAGATTTTTCCAAGAACAAATTAATGCATTAGAAAGCACGTTGCAGGCCAGGTGCAGTGGCTCACACCTATAATTCCAGCACTTTGGGAGGCTGAGGTGGGAGGATCACTTGAATCTAGAAATTTGAGACCAGCCTGGGCAATATAATGAGACCTCATCTCTACTAAAAATAAAAAAAATTACTCCGGTGCGGTGATGCATGCCTGTGGTCCCAGCTACTCGGGAGGCTGAGGCAGGAGGATTGCTTGAGCCCAGGAGGTCGAGGCTGCAGTGAGCCGAGATTGCACCACTGCACTCCAGCCTGGGTGACAGAGCAAGGCCCTGTATCAGAAAGAAAAAAGGTGCTTTGCAAAGAACAACATTTAAAGGACATCATTTGGACCTAACCTCACGATGACAGAAGGAAATCTGCACTTTGATGTGGTGAGGACACCACCTTGTTTGTGCCACATTTAGCTGCCAGTGGAGGGAGGCACAAAAAGGCATCTTAGGAGACCTACATGCTGATTTTTCACTATCTCCTCTACAGAAACACTCTTGTCTGCAGGGTAGGCTCTGGAGTGCCGGGTTGGGCTGTAACTCTTGGGAAACTCAGTTGTACAGAAGGGAAAACAAACTCAGATTTTATTAGTAGGAGGGAAGCCAAGAGGGGCAAGTGCCGCTAGATGCAGGGTGGCTGCCTGATAAACTGTATATTTGGTGGAGGGACAAGAAGGAGATAAAAGATTAAAAAATGTAATAGAAGATTTGCTTACACTTCTTGGAATGGTAATTAAATTTATTTATAGTTATGGAAACTTTGGGGAAGGGAGGAAAAGCAATTTAAATGCCGAGTTTTCACAGGGCAACTGCAAATGGCTTGCTTTAACGGTGCCTCGGAAGGTTAACAGAATGGCAGGGAGGTCAGACTGAAGTGCATATGATAAGTGACAAGTGTTAACATGGCAAATCATGTATTTAAAATTACTCTGAGCTTTATCAAATGTTTCCTCTCGAAAATAAACTATCCTGGAAGGAAAGGTTAACAGAGGAAAGAGTATTACTCTAATGTTCTCCTGATGACCTGGGGGAGGGGCTGGAGATTCTGTAATGTGGGAGAAGTGATGATAAATATAAATAGGTTGTTATGTTATTAACAGCAAAGAAACAAAAATATTCAACTTACAGTACACTATGAGGGAAGGCAAGTGAATGTTCCTTCCCCTCTTATTCTTCCCTGTCTACATTAGCTAAGCAGCTTCCCAGCCAACCCTTTGAGTGGAAAGGAGACACACAGCCAATGAGATACTAAAGAAAGAGTAATAGCCAGTGCCTCTGCAGCTGGAACTGTCCATGGGCAGCTTTGGCCATTAGGAGGAAGTCATCAGATTCTCTGAAGTCCTCCATCCACTGCTCCTCTCACCTGGTCTCCATCTGTCCCAGGATTCTCCCTGCCTCTGTCTGGAGGAAGGGCTAAGATGGGCAACAGAGCAAAGCAGAGGCATGCCTGCAACCCAACCTGGCCAATGGGACAAACTTATGGAGTGTTAATGAGGGTCATGGACTTTGCCACCATCTTTTCCTCTTAGCCTCAGTTTCTTCCAACTTATTGGAGCAAAACCTCAAGTGGTTGGATGAAGCAGTAGGAACAACCTCAGTAAAGTCAAAAATGAATCAGGGGCCGAGTGTGACATCTCATGCCTATAATCCCAGCACTTTGGGAGGCCAAGGAGGGTGGATCACTTGAGGTCAGGAGTTTGAGACCAGCTTGGTCAACGTGGTGAAATCCCGTCTCTGCTAAAAATACAAAAATTAACTGGGCACGGTGGTGCGCACCTGTAGTCCTAGCTACTTGCAAGGCTGAGGCAGGAGAATCGCTTGAACCTGGGAGGTGGAGGTTGCAGTGAGCCAAGCTGGTGCCACTGCACTCCAGCCTGGGCAACAGTGTGAGAACTCTGTCACAAACAAACAAACAAACCAACACAAGTCAGGAATGGTCTTTTTGATTGCTATTAGTTAATACTGTCCTGGAAGAACCGTCCAGCACAATGAGACAAGAAATAAATGAAATTATCATTTGTTTTACTTACGATGTTACTTTTTTTTACAAGAGGGAATAAACCAATAAGAGAATCAACTAAAAAACTGCTACAATTCAGTAACATGGCCGGGTATAAAGTTAATGTAAAGAAATTTATGGTATTTCTAAATAAAAGTTAGAGATAATGCAAGAAATGATACTATGAACAAACGAAGGAAGGTTCAAGAGATGGATCATTTAAAATGCTAATGAATGGCAACATAAATCAAAAAAGATGTGAACAGACAAACCCCATATTCTTGTAAGGAAAGATTCAACATCATAAAGATGTTAATATTCCCTAAATTAATCTGTAAATCCCAATGACTTTTTTTTTTTTTTGGCTAGGGCAAGGAGAGTATCAGAGAAGCAGACACTAAATTTCACATGGAAAAATAATCAAGTGAAAATAGCCAGAAAAAATTATAAAAGTGATGAGGGGAACTGGCCCAGCCAGATATTAAAATATATTATAAAGCTGCAAAATTAAAGCAGTCAAGTACTGGCACATAGACAGACCAATGAAACTATGTATAAAAATTAATTTGTACTCCTGTCTTGTATCTTATGCTTAAAGATCCAGATACCCAGATAGGTCAAAGATCTTACAAATGAAATTTAAAGGAGCAAGAAGGAAACAAGAAAAGTTTTTTAATGACCCTGGAGTGAGAAAAGCATCTCTAGGTATGCCATAAGACCCAGACACTGTAAAAAGAGAAAAAATGATAAATGTATAAAAATTGAAGTTTATGCATGGGAAGAGACACCATAAACAATGTCAAAAACAAACAGAAAGCTGGAAAAAAAATTTGCAATCCATATCTTCTAAACAAAGGACAAATTACCTTTTTTGTTCTTACTGTTATTTGCTTTTAGAGATGGGGTCTTGCTATGTTGCCCAGTCTGGTCTTGAACTCCTGGCTTCAAGTGATCCTCCCACCTTGGCCTTTCAAAGTGCTGGGATAACAGGCATGTGCCACCAGGTTCCACCAGCTAATTACCTTAATATGAAAAGTTTCCATAAGTCAGAGAGCAGAAGACCAACTAACAAAAAATAAAACATAAATAATTTTTTAAAGTGAAAAGAGACCTAATGGCTCTCATAATAGAAGAGATATGAAATAAAACGACCATAAATTACCATTTTTCACTTATCAAATAGGAAAAAAGTTGAAAATGTATTGGAAAAAGTTTAAGGAAATAGAAACTCTGCTGATGGGAGTAAAAGTTAATATAATCCTTATGAAGAGCAAGTTGGAAATGTCTATAAAGAGTAAAAATTGAACATTCTCTTTGACTGAGGAATTTAGTATCTAGGAATTTATTCTATTGATTTCTTTGCACAAGTACATATAAGAATATTTATTGAAGCATATTTGTAATAGCCAAAATGGGAAATAACCTAAATGCTCATCCCTGACATTGATTGAATAAATTATTGTTCTTTCATGCAGTGCTATGAAACAATCTCCAAACTATATTTGTAAGTGAAAAAGAGTGAAGTGCATTCTATTCAACGTAAATGAATCCTAAAACTATAATATTCTGCAAAAATTTAAAAAGTAAGACCAAAAAGAATACACAAATATGATTCCATTAATATAAGCTTCGAAACCAGATACGGCTAAACTTTATTGTTTAGAGATACAGTTAGAGGAGGCAAAGCTGTAGGGAAAAGCAAGGAAATTAATATCACAAAAGTCAAGATAAGGCTCTCTCTGCAAGGAAGGAACCGATGATGAAGGAAGAGCAAACAGGAAGCTTGTGGAGTGCTGACAATGTTCTGCTTCTTGATCTGGGTGCTAGCTACATAGATGTACAGTTTTTAGTTATTAACTAAACTCTACATACATGTTTTTTTGCATTTTATGTGCGCATTATTTTCCCCAATAACTTTTGTCCCAAAAAGTAGGTGCAGAACTATGTATATTGTATTATATCATTCATTTTCTAAAATAAGATATACATATTTGCTTGCCTATGCATAAAATAACCCCGAAAGACAGACACACAACTGATAGCAGAATTTGCTTCTGGGGAACTGAGCTACTTGAGGACAGAGATCTTTCTATAGAAAGCAGGGAAATCTACTTTCCATTGTGTACCTGTTAGTGTCTTTTGAATGCTTGACAGGTGCATCTATTACCTTTTCAAAAACAGTTTTAAAAGCACTGAATAAACTTTAAGATGATCCATACTAAAGATTGGTAAACATTTTTAAGTGGGCTTTTACAGAAAGGAAACTAAAAACATAATGTACCCTGATTCTAGGGAAATAGCCATAAAAACAATTTAGTCTATTGGTTAGGGCATTGTAGGGAACGGAATTCACTGTAGCAAGTTCAATAGAAAGGAGTTTCTTGGAGGGTATTAAATACCTCACAGGATCATTGCACTAAAGAAACAGACTCGAGGTTGAGCTTTCAGAAACAGTCCCCAAAGTCACCCTAAATTGGGCCACCAAGATAGCTGCTGCCTCTTACATGATCTGAAGCCACCATGATCAGGAAGCTGCCCCTTTGGTTTACACCAGCCAAATGGATGCCCTGTACCCTGAAGACAAGGGACCAGACCCTGGGACCCCTGATAATGCTGCTGCAGAAAACAAATGCCTCCATTTGTTGTAATGCTGCTAGCTAGCAGGTGCAACAGACCCATGGCCTCTGCCTTACTTCCCCTTCCAGATTTCACATAAGTGCATCTTATTGGCAGAATCAGATCATATCTGGAACCCTAGATGCAAGAAAAGCTGAAAAATACACCAAATATATGTAAGTTGTACCACCACTAGGTATACCAATTTTGTAATATCTAATAAAGTTGAAATTGTGCCTACCTTAAGACAAAGAAATACTACTTCAAAGTAAATATTCTTTTTTTTTTTTTTTTTTTTTTTTTTTGAGATAGGGTTTCACTCCCATCAGCCAGGTTGGGGAACAATGGCACAATCTTGGTTCACTGCAACCTCCACCTCCCAGTCTCAAGCGATTCTCCTTCCTTAGCCTCCTGAGTAGCTGGGACTACAGGTGCATGCCACCACACCTGACTAACTTTTTGTATTTCTTGTAGAGATGAGGTTCCACCACGTTGGCCAGGCTGGTCTCAAACTCCTGAGCTCAAGCAATCTGCCCGCCTTGACCTCCCAAAATGCTAGGATCACTGGTGTGAGCCACTGTGCCCAGCCAAAGTAAATATTCTAAAGAAACTCATACACATTTGCCCAAGGATCTACATATAAGAAAATGTATTCCAATGGTATTTGTGACAGTAAAACATTGGAAACAACCAAATATCCATCAACAAGAGAATGGATTGTGGCACGTTTACTCAATGGATACTATATAGCAATTAAAGATAGGATCTAGCGCCATACAGGCTAAAATAAATAAATCTCAACATAATGATATTGAAAACAATGTTGTAGAATTACACATATATCATTTATATAAAAGTTCTAAAACCACAAAGCAACATTATATATGAGTCATGGCAACATACATATGTCACATGGATGGAAATCATAAATGCCAGATTCAGATTAGTTCTTGCCTCTGGAGAGAAAGAGAGATGTGGGACCAGAGTTGGGTACATAGAGTTTTTAGCCACTCAGTAATACTTTATTTCATTATAAAATATCTGAGGCAAACATGGCCAAATGTTACATTCAATAAAACTAAATAATTACATTGATGAGTGTATTATTGAGTATATGTACAACTGTCCATGCATTTTAAATATTTTAAATATTTCATAATAAAAAATTTAAATTTATGAGTAATCATTACAACACTGAAAACATGTCATTTCCAAATTAGCAGAGAAAACAAAAATAGTTGGGATGAAGGAAATGTCATCAATCAAATAGTGGACAGAAAAAGAATAGAAAAATAACCCAAGGGAAAACATGGAGAAAAGGAAAATAAAAAGTACATAGAAATAATTCCACATGTCAGTTATAATCATAAATATAAGCAGTCTAAACTCGAACTATAAAAAACATGAGACTGTTACATTTTATAAATCCAAATATGTGCCCCCTACAAGTACAACCCAAACCAAAATGATAGAAATATTGAAACCAAATGGACGGCAAAAGGTATACAAGACAAATACTAATCAAAATAACCATATCAGACAAAATATTAATTTAAGACAAGAAGCATAAATATGATGAAGTGGGACGTTGCATAATGGAAAGAACAATTCACAAATAAGATAACGTTTATCATAGAATTGAATGTGCATAATAAGATAGCCTCATATAAATATGTAAATTATTATATATCAATAAAAGAGAAAAAAGCCTCAAAATATATAAAGTAAAAAAGGTCAGACATAGTTACAATGAAAAATAAATCCAAAATTGCAGTGGGAAATTTTAGTACGCCTCTATCAGATGAATAGATTAAGCAGAAAATAGAGTATTTAAATAATAATATAGGGTGGTAAAAGAGGACGTAACTACAGATGTAGTGGAAATGTTAAAATCATAATCTATTGGCAATTTATGCCATTAAATTAGAAAACTTAGATAAATAAAAAATTATCGAAACTGGACTAAGCATGGTGGCTCACACCTGTAATCCCAGCACTTTGGGAGGCTGAGGTGGGTGGGTCATCTGAGGTCAGGAGTTCGAGACCAGCCTGGCCAGCATGGTAAAACCCTGTCTCTACTAAAAACACACAAAAATTAGCCGGGCATGGTGGCACTTGCCTGTAGTCCCAGCTACTCAGGAGCTGAGGTAGGAGAATTGCTTGAACCCAGGAGGTGGAGGTTGCAGTGAGCCGAGAATGCGCCACTTGCACTGCAGCCTGGGTGACAGAGCAAGACTCCGTCTTAAAAAAAAAAAAAAAAAAAAAATCAAAACTGACTTAGGAAAAATTGATCATTTTCAGGGACTTGTAATCATAATCATTGTTAAATAAATTAAAGCAGTACCTAAGTCCATTATCAAAACAAACTGTACGAGAAAACAGAAAATTAGGAAAAGCTAACTCATTGAAGAAAGTTAGTTTCACCTTGGTGCTAAACCTGGACAAGGATAGTGGGTTAATAGAAAAATTATATGATAATGTTACTTATGAACGTAGATGTAAAACACTAAATTAAATTAAGCTCAGAGTTTTTTAAAGCTAATAATATGTCCTGACCAAGTAGAATTCTTCCCAGGAATCTAAGTATCACTCATTAGCAGAAAATAAATCAATGTAATTGACCACTTATCAGATTAAAGGAGAAAAAACATATGCTCATCTCAGTAGATGCAGAAAATATTTGATAAAATACACTACTCTTTCATAACTAAAAGAAAAGAAAGAAAAATGCTTATTTAACTAGAAGTAGAAGGGACTTTTTGATTTGATAAAGAGTAGGATCTAAAAATCTACAGTAATGTCTTTCTTAATGGTATTTTTTTTTTTTTTTTGAAACAGAGTCTTACTCTGTCACCCAGGCTGGAGTACAGTGGTGCAATCTCTGCTCATTGCACCCTCCGCCTCCCAAGTTCAAGCAATTCTCCTGTTTCAGCCTCCCGAGCAGCTTGGATTACAGGCGCCCACCACCACGCATGCCCAGCTGATTTTTTGTATTTTTAGTAGAAACGGGGTTTCACCATGTTGGCCAGCATGGTCTGGAACTCCTGGCCTCAAGTGATCTGCCCACCTTGGCCTCCCAAAGTGCTGAGATTACAAGCGTGAGCCACCGTGCCTGGCCGTTAATGTTTAAATTTTAGCAAGATTTCCTTTGAAGTCAAGAACAAGATATGAATGCCCATTATTACTCCTCTTACACAAGATTATACTGGAGGTCCTAGAGTATGCAATAACACAAGGAAAAAGTAGATAGAAGGAAGGAAAGAAAAAAATATTATTTGCAGAAAACATAATTATCTACATAGAAAATCCAAAAACATAGCCGGGCATGGTGGCATGTGCCTGTAATACCAGCTACTCAGGAGGCTGAGGCAGGAGAATCGCTTGAACCTGGGCGGCAGAGGTTGCAGTGAGCCAAGATGGTGCCACTGCACTCCAACCTGGGTGATAGAGTGAGACTCCATCTCAAAAAAAAAAAAGAAGGTGGCATCCAGCAGGGCACAGGGTGTATACAGCTGAGAACCCATGACAAACTGGAAAGCAGAGTTTGGAGCCCAAGCCACCCAGAAGCACACACCACACTGAGAGCTTTTCCCAGGCATCACATACAGCCTTCCGTGTGAATAAAGACCCCTTTCCCCACAAAAAAAAAGAAAGAAAGAAAGAAAGAAAATCCAAAAACCAAACTCTTAAAACTAATCAGAGCATTTGGCAAGGCTGCTGGGTACAGCACCAATATACAAAAATTCTAGACACAAATAATAACCTATTAGCCAATACTTGATATTCAATGTAATTTCAAACAAAGTTCAAGAGGATTTTTTACAGAACTTAATCTGATTAAAACATAAAAGTATAAGGGCATAAGTAACCAAGATAAATCTGAAAAAGAGGAAAGATAAACAATTTACTCTATAAACTATCAAGACATATCATGAAGTTGACCAGTTCACCAAACACCAATTTGTCAAATGGCCAATTCCATGAATGGCCAGTTTGACAAAGGCCAATTTCCCAAAAGTCAGTTTGCTAATGAATTAACTTCACAAATGACTGATTCACAGAATTTACAAGATGTACTGAATAGCTACAAATGTGTTTTAAGAAATATTGACTTCTAGTTTTTCTTTAGTCAAAATTCTAAGAAAGAATATATTCGACATAATAGATAGCCAAGGATCTATTCAAGACTATATACTTCAAAATATATTCTTCATGAATATAGTAATGTGCCATATAATGACGTTTCAGTCAATGATGGACCACATAAAATCACAATACCATATTTTTACTGTACCTTTTATTGTTTAGATATGTTAGATACAGAAATACTTAGCATTGTGTTACAATTGCTTACAGTATGCAGAGCAGTAGCATGCTGTACTGGTTTGTAGCCTAGGAACAGTTTGGTATTGCCCATAGCCCAGGTATGTAGTAGGCTATACCACCTAGGTTTGGGTACGTACACTCTATGGGTTTGCACAAGGATGAAATTGACTAATGATTCATTTCTCAGAACTTATCCTCATCATTAAGCAACACATGACTGTATAACCAATGACTTCATAATAAGACAGTCTTTATTAACATATTCTTATAAGCAATATACATGAGAAAAGATCAAATATATACATGAATATATTCGAGACTACATTAAATATATTCTGAAACATACTTTTCATAACTCAACCTTTGATAAATTATTTGTTCAGTGCTGCTAAGAAAAATGCAAGTTAGAATATATATAACCTATTTGTGAATATAGGCTTAAGAATATTGTCATACTTCTAACATATTTGAGAAGGCTGTGTCTTAAAATTTTTGATATGTTAGTAAATTTAATAACTTTAGCAAATTGAACATTAGATGGAGTGACTTAAAACTGGCTTTTACAGACGCAAAAGACCACATAGTGTGCGATTCCATTTATACGATTTGTCTAAAAAAGGCCAATTTATAGAGATGAAAAGCAGATCAGTTGTTGCTTAGGGCTGGGGGAGGGGTGAGAGGAGTGGAGATTAACTGCAAAAGGGCATGGAGGAACTTTATGGGGTGATGGAAATGCTCTAAAACTGAATTGTAGCAATTGCAAAACTCTATAAATTTACTAAAATCATTGAATTGCACATGTGCAATGGATGAATTTTATGGTGTGTAAATTATAACTCAATAAAGCTGTTAAGAAGGGAAAAATTGGCTTTCAGTAAATTGATTGCCAGCATATTAACCTAGGACTATTATTACAAAAATAAAGTAATTAAGACAGTGTGATGTTTGTACAGGAGTAGATGAAAAGAACAATAGGGTAGAATAGAAAGCTCAGAAACAGACTCAAGTGTGTGTAGGATCTTGATCTATTAACGAGATAGCATTAAACAATAAGTGGGGAAAGAATAGACTATTCAATAATTGGTATTGTACCACTTGGCTAACCATATAAAAATAAAATAAAATTTTATATCTTTATTTCATTAGACACAAAATTAAGCTCTAGATTTATTAAAAAGCTAAATGTTAAAAATAAAACTAGACTTCCAGTTTATAGCCTAGTATATAAAGAGGCTAGAAGTCTTTACTTTATCCTAACATAAAGTAAAAACTTAATGAAATATCAACAGCTCTTTTTAGATCTGTCAGAGAAGTGAGGTCACAGGGCAACCACTGCTCCCAAAATTGGAAAGACAGACAGGTGGATACAGAAAATCACAACTTACTTGAGCCAAAATTTATGAGTGGGAACTTCTGTGGGAACCAGTACTGGGATAGAAACACATTAGTTGTAATTGACAAATTGCTGGAGGCTCAGTGTGGACAAGCTTAAGAGAGAAAAACTCCAGGTGGACCCAGTCAGTCACAGGGGGAGCTGCGCACTATTGAGTTTTGCTTGCAAGAGCTCTCCCAGCTCCTTATAGTAAATAGAGAAAAATCTCTTTGTGCTTCTGGCAGCGGGGAGAGGAAAAGGAATCATTTTGAAATATGCCAGCACATTCTGTTCTTTGTAACAAGACCTGCCCTCAAGAGAAATTATTTTAACAGAGCCTAACCTGCTGGAAAAGGAAGATATTCAAATCCAGGTGACTCTAACCTTCCACATGGTGCAAGAGAAAGCCCCAACTGTAGCTCCCTCTAGGCTTCCACGTAGGGGAGGAGAGTACACAACTCTAGTCCCCTTCTGCTATCTGTCTCAGCTATGTAGGGAGTACTGAGGAGCACTAGTGAAGTTGGCAGTCCAGGGGCATAGGCTCACCAAAAGACTGGGACCCAATTATATGCATATAAAACACTTTTTCTTCCCTAACACCTTACCGTTTCATTACTAAAAGCCTGCTTACTAATTTTGTTTTCCTAGTACATCCTGTCTGCCTTTCAAGAAAAGATTACAAGGCATATTAAAAGGCAAAAACACAGCTTGAAGAGACTTAACAAGCATCAGAGTCAGATATGGCAGCAATGTTGGATTTTTCAGACCAGGAATTATAGCAATTTATGATTACTATGTTAAGGGCTATACTGGAAAAAATAGGCAACATGCAAAGAGATGGATAATGTAAGCAGAGAAATGGAAATTCTAAGAAAGATTAAAGAGAAATGCTAGAAATCCCAAACACTGTAACAGAAATGAAGAAAGCCTTTGATGGGCTTATTAGTCGATTGGATAGAGTTGATGATATGACAATAGAAACTCCCAAAACTGAAAAGCTAAGAGAACGATGACTGAATGAAAACAGAAAAGGCTATCCAAGAACTGTGGGAAAACTACAAAAGGTGTAATGTATGCATGATGAGAAACTCAGAAGAAGGAGAAAGAGAGAAAGGAACAAAAGCAATATTCCAAGCAATAATGATTGAGAGTTTCTCCAACTACTGTCAGACATCAAACCACAAATTCAGGAAGCTCAGAGAACACCAAGTAGAGTAAATGCAAAGAAACCAACAAACAAAACCAAAAACTACACATAGGCATATCGTATTTCATATGGTTTGGATATGTGTTCCCTCTAAATCTCAGGTTGAATTGTAATCCCCAATGTTGGAGGTGGGGCCTGGTGGGAGGTAATTAGATCAAGGGGTGGATTTCTCATGAATGATTAACATGATCCCCTTGGTGCTGTCCTCATGACAGTGAGTGAGTTCTTGTGAGATCCGGTTGTTGTAAAGTGTGGCACCTCCTTTCCCACTCTCTTTCTTGCTCCCATTCTTAACCATGTGAGATGCCTGCTCTCCCTTTGCCTTCCACCATGATTATAAGCTTCCTGAAGCCTCCCCAGAAGACAAGCAGATGCCAGTACCATACTTCCTGTAAAGCCTGCAGAACCATAAGCCAATTAAACCTCTTTTCTTTATAAATTACCCAGTCTCAGGTATTTCTTTATAGCAATGCACGACAATATTCAAAGTTAAGAAAATCAAAGATAAACAATCTTGAAAGAAGTAAAAAAGCACCTTACTTATAGGAGAGAAAATAATTAAATCCAACTTCTCCTCAGAAACCAGGTAAACAAGAATAGAGCAGGGTGAAATAGTTAAAGTATTGAGATTAAAAAACCACCAGCCTAGAATTCTGTACCCAGCAAAATCATCCTTTAAAAGTGAAGGAAAAATAAAAGACTCTCATACAAGCAAAAGTTGAGGAAATTTGTTGCCAGTAGACCTGCCTTGCAAGAAATGTTAAAGTAAGTTCTTCAGAGAGAAGGAACATGATATAGGTCAGAAACTCAGATCTACATAAAGAAAGGAAGAGCATCAGAGAATGAATAAGTGAAGGTATAATACAAATATTTTGTCATTCTTAATCTAACATATAACAGTTTGTTCAAAATAATGATAACAGTGTCTTTGATTATACTCATGTATACATATATACTTATGTATGCTTATGTATAAGTGAAATGATTGATGGCAATGATAACAAAAGAGGGGAGGAAAGAATTAGAATTATTTTGTTATTATAAGGTACTTGCACTACCTGAAAACAGCGTAGTGTTATTTGAAAGTGAACTTAGTTGTAAATGTATGTTGCAAATTCTAGGACAATGAATTAGAAAGTGAAAAAGGAAATACAATTGATATGCTAAGAAAGGAGATAAAAAAGAATCATATAAAATGCTCAATTAAAACCACAAAAGGCAGAAAAAGTGTAAAAGACAAAAATAAGAACAAGGAGAACCAATACAAAACAGTAACAAATCTGGTAGATATTAATTCAAGTATATTAATAATCCCCTTAAATGTCAAGGTTCTACATATACCAATTAAAAGGCAGAGACTGTCAGTGGATCAAAATCAAGACCCAACTGTATGTTGTCTATAAGAAATCCACTTTAAATATAAAGACACATATAGATTAAAAATAAATGAATGGAGAAAGATATACCACTCTAACATCAATGAAAAGAAAGTAGGTGTAGGTATATTAATTTCAGACAGAGGATTTCAGAGCAAGGAAATTTATCAGGGATAAAGAGGAACAATATGTAATAATAAAGGAGTCAGTACTCCATGAAGACATAATAATCCTTAATGTGTATACATCTAACAACAGAGCATCGAAACACATGAGGCAAAAACTTGACAGAATTGCAAGAAGTAAATGAATTCACTATTATAACTGGAGACTTAAAACATTCCTCTATCAGAAATAGACAGATCTAGCCGACAGATCATCAGTAAGGACGTAATTGAACTCAACACCACCGCCAATCAACTGGATATAATTGACATCTATTGATTACTTTATCCAATAATAGCAGAACACACATTCTTCTTAAGTTCACCTGGAACATTTACCCAGATAAACCACATTTTGCGTGATAAAACATCTTAACACATTTGAAATAATAGAAATCATACAGTGTCTGCTCTTAGAACACAATGGAATTCAACTAGAAATCAATAACAGAAAGAAAGCTGGAAAATCACCATATAGTTGGAGATAAAATAGCACACTGCTAATCAACATATGGGTCAAAGAAGAAATCCCAAGAGAAATTTTAAAATATTTGAACTAAATAGAAATGAAAATAAAACTTATCAAAGTTTGTGAGATGCAGTGAAAGCAGTGCATAGAGGGAAATTTATGGCATTGAAAACATGTATTAGAAAAGAAGAAAGATCTAAAATCAATGGTCTAAACTTCTACCGTAGGAAACTAGAAAAAGAATTAAATGCAAAGTGAGCAGAAGAAAAATAATAATTAGATTAGAAATTTATACAATTGGAAACAGGAAATCAATAGAGAAAATCAACAAAACCAAAAGCTGTTTCTTCAAAAAGATCAGTGAAACTGGTAAGACTATACCAGCATAAGAAAAAAAATTGAAGGACGCCACTGCACTCCAGCCTGGATGACAGAGTGAGATCCTGTCTCCAAAAATAAAGAAAAAAAAGACATGAATTATTCCTATCAGAAATGAAAGAGTAGACATCACTATAGATCCCATGGACATTAAAAGGATAATAAAGGAATATTATGAACAACTCTATACTCACAAATTTCATAACTTAATAAAATGGAACAATTCCTTAAAACACACAGTCTGCCAAAAATGCACACAAGAGGACATAGACAATCTGAATAGGCCTATTTCTATTAAATAAATTGAATCAGTAACTAATAACTTTGTAAAACAGAAAGCATCATGCCTACATGTGTTCAGTGGTGTATTCTACCAAAAATTTAAAGGAGAAATTATACCAGTTCTCTACAATCACTTCCAGAAGATAGAATCAGAGGGAGTACTCCCTAACTCATTCTGTGAGCCAAGACATTATAAGAAGGGAAAACTACAGATCAATATCTCTCATGAACATAAATGTAAAAATCCTGAATAAAATATTAGCAAACTGAATCCAGTGACATATAAAAAGAATTATATACCACAACCAATTGGGATTTATCCCAGGTGTGCAGGGCTGGTTCAACATTCAAAAATCAATTAATGTAATTCACCACATTAGCAGATAAAAGAAGAAAAGTCTCATGATCTCATCAATAGATACATAAAAAGCATTTGACAAAAATCCAGCACCCATAGGTGATTTTTAAAACTCTCAGAAAACTAAGAATGGAGGAGAACTTTCTCAATTTTATGGAGAACATGTACAAAAACCCTACAGTTAAAATCACACTTAATAGTGAGAAACTTGAAGCTTTCCTGCTAAGATCAGGAACAAGAAAAGGATGTTCCCTCTCACCGCTACTTTTCAACATTATACTAGAAGTTCTAGCTAATGCAACAAGACAAAAAAGAAGGAAATAGAAGGTATACAGATTGGGAACAGATGGTATGATTGATTGTCTCTGTAGAAAATCTGAAAGAATCAATTTTTAAAACTCCTACAACTAATAAGAGATGATAGCAAGGTTTCAGGGTGCAAAATTAATATATGAAAGTCAATCACTTTCCTGTATACCAGCAATAAACAAGTGGAATTTGAAATTAAAAATGCATTACGATTTATATTAGCATCCCTCAAAATGACATACTTACATATAAATCTAATAAAATATGAACAAGATCTATATGAGGAAAACTACAAAACTCTAATTAAAGATATCAAAGAACAACAGAATACATGGGAGAGATATTCCATGATCATGGATAGGAAGACTCAATATTGTTAAAATTTCAGTTTTTCCCAATTTGATCTATAGATTCAGCACAACCCCGATCAAAATCCCAGCAAGCTATTTTGTAGATATTGATGAACTGATTCTAAAGTTTATATAGAGAGGGAAAAGACCCAGAACAGCCAACACAATATTGAAGGAAAAGAACGAAGTTGGAGGACTGACACTACTTGACTTCAGGACTTACTATAAAGCTACAGTAATCAAGACAGTGTGGTGAAAAAAAATAGACTAATAGATTAATGGGGCCTAATAGCCCAGAAATAGACCCATGTGAACATAGTCTACTGATCTTTGACAAAAGAGCAAAGGAAATACAATGGAAAAAAGACTGTCTTTTTCAACCAATGATACTGGAATAACTGAACATCCACAGGCAAAATTAATAATAATAATAATAATAATAATAAGGAATCTAGACACAGACCTTACAAAATTTATCTCAAGATGAATCACAGACCTAAATGTAAAATACAAAACTATAAAACTTTTAGAAGATAATATAAGAGAAAATCTAGATGACCTTGGGTATGGTGGTGACTTTTTGGATATAACACCAAAAGCACAATCCATGAAAGAAATAATCCTGAACTTCATTAAATAAGCTGAACTTCATTAAAATTAAAACCTTCTGCTCTGTGAATGGCAATGTCAAGAGAATAAGATAAGCCACAGAATGGGAGAAAATATTTTGTAAAAAATATCTGATATAGAACTGTTATTCAAAATGTACCAAGAACTATTAAAACTCAAAAATAGGAAAATAAATAACCTAATTAAAAAATGAACAGATACCTAAACAGATACCTCGGCAAAGAAGATATACAGATGTTAAGTATATTAAAAGATATTCCGCATTATTTGTCATTAGGGAATTAAAAATTCAAACAGCAAAAAGGTACCGCTACACACCTATTAGAATGGCCAAAATTCCAAACACTGACAACACCAAATGCAGGTGAGGATGTGGAGCAATGGGAACTCTCATTCATTGCTGATGGGAATGCCAGATGGTATAGCCATTTTGGAAGACAGCTTGGCTGTCTTACATAACTAACATACTCTTAGCATATAATCCAGCAATCATACTTTTTGGTGTTTACCCAAATGAACTGAAAACTTATGTCCACACAAAAACCTGCATGTAGATGTTTATAGCAGCTTTATTCATAATTGTCAAAATTCGGAAGCAATCAAGATGTCCTTCAGCAGGTGAACGGATAAATTGTAATATGTCCAGACTATGAAATATTACTCAGCACTAAAAAGAAATGAGCTATCAAGCCATGAAAAGACATTGAAGAAACTAAATGCATATTACTAAGTGAAATAAGCCAGCTTGAAAAGGCTACACACTGTGTGATTCCAAAAACATGACATTCCATAAAAGGCAGAACTATGGAGACTGTAAAAAAGATCAGTGGTTTCCAAGAGTTAGGAGGAGGGAGGGATGAATAGACATAGCATAGGGGATTTTTAGAGCAGTGAAATTATTCTATATGAAACTACAATGGTGGGTACGTGCCACACATTTGTCATAACCCATAGAATGCACAACAGCAACAGTGAATCCTAATGTAGTCTATGGACACTGGGTGATAATAATGTGTCAATATAGGTTTGATTGCGATATATGTACCATTCTGGTGCAGGATGTTAATCCTAAATGAGGTCGTGGGTGTGTGGGGACAAGGGAGTTATGAGAACTTCGTACATTTTGTTCAATTTTGCCATAGACCTAAAGCTGATCTAAAAAATAGTTTATTAATAAAAAATAAAATAGAACACATTTTTAATTATTTAAAGAAAATATAGAAAAATACATTTATTATTCCCAAATAAGGAGTGATTATTTTCAGATGAGATCTGGTGCGTTCAGGGTGGTATGAAGGTAGGCAGGAGTGATTATTTTCAAAGACACACACACACACACACACACACACACACACCATGAATGGAGAAATCATAAAAGAAATCATAAAAGAGAGATTGCAAAAAAAAACCCATCAAAATTGAAAGCTCTGTGGAATAAAAGACACCATAAACAAAATTAATAGCCAAGCGGTAGACTGGGAGAAGGTATTTACATCATATGTAACAATCAAAAGATTACCATTCAGAATGAAGCATTACTAACAACCAAACAGGAAAATGTGTGATTCATGTAAGAAGAAACTTGGAGAGCCTAAAAACACATTTTAAAAAGCTTGGTTTCCCTAGAATCAAGGCAGCACTAATTAAATTCACAATGAGAGATCATTTCACACACATAAGATTAGCAGAAAATAAATTCTGATTGTTGAAAAGGATATTGGGAAACAGAAGTCTTGCACAATGCTGGTGGGAATGCAAATTGGCATAACCACTTTGGAGATCAACTAGGCAATATCTAGCAAAATGCATAATATGCATATCCTATGCCCCAGCAGATCTATCTCTAGTCAAAAACCCTAGAAAAACACTCGCACATGCATTCAAGAAGATGTCACAAGCACAGGTGTTCAAGATGTTATAAGAATGTTCATTTCAGCATTGTTTGTAATAGCAAAAAACCAGAAACAATCCAAATGTCCATTAATAGAAAAAGGAATAAATAAATTGTACTATGTTTAAACTACTATGTATAATGGGGCCAAAATTCATTGACTGTATTTAAAGGTATCAACATGGATAGAAAAAAATATAGAGGAGAAAAGAATCTTGCAGAACACTACAAACCATATGCTTTCATTTAAGTAAATTTTTAAAAATATAAATCAATATGATACTGGTTATGACTTTACATGTGTGTAATAAAACATACAATTATTGTGGATATCCTGTCAGTTAGGATCTTTTAAATACAAGTAAAATAATCCCCAGCTCAAGATGGCTTCAATAATCAAGAGATTTATTATCTTGACATAACAAGAGATCCAGAAGTAGGACAGTTCCAAGGTATTTAATCCAGCAGTTTAAACATCTTACCAAGGACTTAGGATTGTCCATATTTTCATTCAGCAATTTAAAATGTGTTCTCCTCAGCCTAACCCTTCTTTTGGACACCATATGGCTACCATAATCCCAGGCACCACATGTGGAAACAACAAGATCCAATGAAAGAGAAAAGAGCACGTCTTTGCTGTACATCTCTATCATAAAGCAAAGATCTCTTAACCAGACCACCCAGTAGACTTCCCCTCCAGACATCTCCATTGGCCAGAACTCTGTCTCCCAAACCAATTACAAGGGAAATAGGATCACCAGGACTGGCTTAGATCATTGGGTTACATTGGGGAAAGGTCAGCAGAACAAAATTGGGGCTCCTCATAGAAGAAGGGGGAAATTTGGATGCATAGGCAATGATATCGGCCAAAGATTAGGAAACAAAATCTATTGTAGAGAAATAGGTGCTTATGAAATCTCTGGAGGGTTGAGGGAGCAGGCTATGGGTTGAGCCTCTAATGACTTCTAGAACATCATAGTCCAGTTGCTACTATCTCTGGCATAAAAAGAAAAGCAGGGCATCAGGCAGCCACCGGGGAGCTCTTGATTCAAGAATACACAGCCATAGCTATGATCCAGGATTTGGGAAGCTTGTATCCAGAAACACTGCCATAGTCACAACTGCCAGCTGTCACCAACTTTGCAAATATCTTTCAGTACTGCCCCCACCACCACACACACACACACACACACACACACACACACACACACACACACATTGGATACTGGACCTTGGGATCTCTACAACCTTGCTTGCCATGAGAAAAGAGCCAAAACAGCTTGGAAAATGGGTGCTGTTGCAGGATTATTTTCTAAATATCACGTTAAGTGCATGTAATTGGTAGAACTTAATTTTCATGCAGAACCCTAACTGCAAAACAGTCCTGGAGATTTAGTTTTAACTTTCCAGCCTTTGCAGTAGAGGATGGCATGTGGGAAGAGGTGAGGATGGATGCTGTGTGTCAATTGATTAGTCCTTCACGGCAAGAAATAATGTCTACTACAGTCCATCCCTTTGCCTACCCTCACATTCAGCATAAAAAATGCTCATACCTACATAAAATACATTCATCCCCCTCACAAGAAAGAGATGACTCAAAATCTCCTTCAGTTACGGCATCCAGATCCAGGTCCAGGATCTCTGAGTGGGGTAAATTCTTGTCCATCAAGTCCCAGTATGGTGGGACCAGATGGTGCTGGGCGAGAGGAGATTGGAAAACATTTGCAAAGTAGGTTGCATCTGAATAGTATCTACCTTCCAAACAGTTGTGACTATGGTCCAGTGATAGCCATGTTCAAAATACCCAAAATAGAATAAAAACTCCCAATCAGAAAAGGAGGGGGAAAGGTAGACACACATGCACACACACAGTAATCACTGATCCATGTTCCACAGCATATATCATCAAGGTCTGCTGGGCTCTACGTCCTGTAAATGTTGTAAGATCCTTTGTCAGCTAGTCTGGCAGCCCTCAGTTCTGCTCCCTTGGAGAATCTCTCTTGTTCTTCATCCTTATGGCCACATCTGAGATGGGCATTAGGGAGAGTATCTCTTCATTTGGGGCCGCACAGTTTTAAGAACACATTACTTTTGGTGCCAGATCAGGAGCTGAGAGATTGCCTTAGAGGCTGAACTGTCATGGGTTGCTGTGAGTAGTCTTGGCATTTCTTTGGCAATACAGTTCTTTTAGCAGGTTTCTCATGTTTTTGCTTCAGGGAGTTATATGGGCTAATAATCTTAAGCCAAAATCTTGTCTGGATACAATCTTTGGTCCTGATAATACCTTCTCCTAGCCATGTCCAACCCCTGTCCTTCGATCTATTGGCCTCTGTCTTAATTGTCTTAAGGCAATTCTAAACAGTCCTGAGTGCCAAGACCCAGTGTGTCAGGAGAGGACTGGGAGCTTTCTGACACTTGCTGAGTCTTCCTCTTTTCTCTGCTACAGGGATGCCTGTGGCCATCTATATCCCGGAGGACTTTACCAAAAGCAGTAAGCAGTAGCAACACACATACCACAATTCTGAATTTTTTCCTAATACTACAGCCCCTATACGTATGTGGCCTAAATCCCAAGGAACAGGGAGGGACACTTGTTATGAATCAAGGGTCCCCAACTTCCCAGCCTCCTCTTTCCTACCACCTCCACTCAGCCAATTCCATGTTTTAGAGTCTGATACTTGCAGCACCCACTTCCTAATAAAAAAAAAGGGAAATTATTTTGGCATAGGCCAATAAAACACACACACATACACACACACAAATTATAAAAACATTAACTGGATACAAACCAAATTCATTATAGTAGTTGCCTATGGGGAGGACGAAACTGGAGAAGGACATAGGAGAATCAATGTTATCTGTAAAAAATTCATCTTATTAAAAAAGATCTAATGTGGAAAAAATACAAAATATTTTACTGTTTGGGGTGACATGTACCATCACTGCAATGAATGACAGAGCATTTGTTATATTATCCTCTATGCTTTGCTGTGTATTTTATGGGCAAGTTGGACAGAGCCTATGACCCATGGGAAAAAATTCAGCAAAGTGCTTAGTCTGGCACAACAAGCAAGCAGCTGGCAGCCAAGAAGTTGTGCCCTCTGCTCTGCCTATCTAAATCCTGGTTATCTTTTCAGGCTCTGCTGAAGTCCCACTCCTCAAGGAAGCCTACCCGGACTATTCCAGCTCACAGTCACCTCTCCCTCTACTGAACTATCAGAACCCCTCGAGCCACTACTCCCCCAGTGTGTCACTAATTCTTCATTTCATGAGTTTTAGGATGGGGACTGCATGGTAAATGCATAGTCTTACTTAGCTGGGGAACACTGAGGAGAGTTACTATTTCTGATTGGGCCTGACTTTTTCCTGTTCCCCACCAGTGAGTATGTCCAGGGCCTCCCTCTTGCTCCCCAAACCACAAACCATTACTGGCAGGCAGCCTCAGACGTCACCTGGCTGAGAACGTGCAGCTGGCAGAAACAGGCCCATTTGTCACAATTCATCAGGTCCAGCTCTCAGCTCGGAGGAGCCCCGATCCCCTCAGAACGCATTTTCCTTTTGTGTGATGTATGTAAAACACTCCTAATGTGAGGATCCTCAGAGAGAGCTCACACTGCCTGGCTAAGTGTTTTTTAAAGAATCAAGCTCTTACTTTTTAAAATTACACCAGGGTGGTATTGTTCAAATATGTAAGACTGACTACTCCAGAAAGCGGCAACAACAGGATACAATGCACTAATTTTACCCCACTTTGACTTAGAAAATATAATCGGTACTTAGAAAAATTGTAAATACTAAAGAATCAAGGGAATAGGATTATTCTAAAATAGGGCGCTAATACAGCAAGCAAAATAGCTTTCCCTAGTCTTAACTGAGGGCCATTATCTATCAGAGAAGATACACCTCTGGCCTGTAATGTAAAGAAACACAAATGACTAAAGAAGCTTGCCAATATTTCTAGGAGGAGGAAGAGAGGAAAGAGTCTGTAACAAGACAGAAACTTGGAAAAGCCAAGAGATGCAACAGGGTAGGCAAACAGCCTCCAGTGTGCCTGAGAGGGGGAAAACCCAGGCCTGGTTCAATTCCCATCATTTCCATGGAGTCTTTTTCCTTCTCCTCTCTGAACTGCTGTGGCTTTCACACAATCCCAGGACTTCCTTATCCTTGGTGGTGGTGTCCAGTCATTGCATGTATCTCCCCAACTAAAATACAGCCCCTCAGGGTAGAAACTGTACCCTATATTTCTCTCCTATATCAGCTCATATCATCCTACTTTCTGACCAGCAAACCTAGCACAGATTGGCCATCCAGTAGCCTTGAGCCTCAGGGCATAACCTACTTTCTTCCTCTTCCCGCCTCCCTTTCTGTGATAAATGGAGAGGATTTTGAGACAATCCTCCCTACAGCCCTGGTAGCCAATGTGGTAGCCACATTGTGTTCCCGCAGGTACGCAGAGATTAGTAGGAGGCATTTAGCTTGGACAAAATTTCAAGATAGAAAGGTGGGATATTCTAAATAGAAAAGATTTCAGCTGCCAAGCGCTACTGAGGTAGAGTGAAGATTTTGTGTTTAGAAGATACTAGTTTAATTACAGTGGGGATCAAAACTGTTGGAGAGTTGATGGACAAGTGTGAGGAGAAGAGAGCCCAATCTTCTTGTTGGAAACTAGAGGCTCATTGGTAATGACCAAGCAATGCACAGCGTGTCCATTTTTATTAGTATCCTTACTCGTATGGGCACCACCCAATCTCCTCAGTGGCCACAAAATCCATCCCCCTGATGCTACACCTAAACTTAGTTGCAAGAACACGAGGTGGAGCAAATCATTACCCATCATACTTTTTGTGCTTCTAACTTTTTGTGTGATTCTCAGTGGAGGAATAAAAAACGAGTAGAGGAAGCTTTCATTTCATATTGCATTTGTATTATATGTGTGTGTGTCTCTCTCTGTCTCTCTCTCTCTCTCTCTCTGTGTGTGTGTGTGTGTGTGTGTGTGTGTATGAGTATATGAGAGAATTCCTCTTATTTTTGTTCTCTATACCAAATCCAGTTCATTTTTATCCATGCGCATCTGGATAGGTCTACATGTTTTCTTTTCAACAATCAAATGCAAAACATATTTATTAGCTCTTGATTCTAAAAGAACGCCAAAGCCACATGTGGTGGGCTCATGCCTGTAATCCCAGCACTTTCGGAAGCTGAGGTGGGAGGATTATTTGAGCCCAGGAGTTTAAGACCAGCCTGGGCAATACAGTGAAACCCCATCTCTACAAAATATTTTTAAAAATTAGCTGGGCATGGGGGCACCCACCTTTTGTCCCAGCTACTTGGGAGGCTGAGGCTGAGGATCCCTCGAGCCCAGGAAGTTGAGTCTGCAGTGAGCTGTGATTGTGCCACTGCACTCCAGCCTGGGTGACAGAATAAGACCCTGTCTCAAAAAAAAAAAAAAAAAAAAAAAAAAAAAAGAGAGAAAGAAAAAACCCCACAAAATCAAAATAAATATTTGCTAGATTAAATATCTATGTCATATTTCTTATTTGTCATTGTTAAATTTGCTATTCATAAAATATTATATTTGAAAATAATTCATAAAATAGATTTGCCCCTTTCCAGAATTCCTGAGTAGACACCATATTGCCAGACATAATTGACATATTAATTGTCATTTATGACTTAATTGAGTTATTCTTAGCCAGATAATTTTAAAGGCAAAAGTTTAAAAGTATAAAAAAAGATTTGTGAAAAATGTTTCATACACAAAACACACGTGTAACGTGAGTAAAACTGCATTTTAATATGCTGGATATGATGTGTGGTGGGACTCCAAATTAAAATTGTCTTTTGTCTATGATGGTTTTAGGGTGACTGATGGTGCCAGCTTGGTCTCTATGAAAAATTGCTGTCTTGGTTCCAATGAAAGACTTAATGTTTCCATTTACTTTGTGTGTGTGTGTGTGTGTGTAAAACATATGTAAGATAAAATGTGTAATTTTAGCCATTTCATTTACTTTTTAAATAAATACAAAATAGTATTTATGTTGCCTGTATCATTCTTTTGGGCATGTGATCATTCCTGTTCTAGGTTGTTCTGTAACAGGTGTTTCTAGTCTTTCCTCTAAGATGGTAAGCTTTTCAAGATAGAGTAAGTGGCTTCTTTCTTTCATGAGTTATAGGGTTAAGAACAGAACTGAGTACTTAAATGGAATTCAAAAAATAGCAACTGAGTGAATGAATATGTGAATAAATGACAGAAATTTGATGACACACTTGATTCAAGGCTGTGCGGTGCCCCACTGGTTTTCAAACTCTGTTTCGTAAGGGAAAAGCCAATGTATCTAACTGATTACAATGGAGAAGCTCTGAACCAGGATGATCCAGGATGGAGAAACTGATACCACCTCTGCCTCTAAGTTTCTGGAAGCCTCCCTAAATCATTCCAGACTGGAGCATGTGTTCTAGGATCCAAACCCCCCTAAGAAATTCACAGGACTCTCCCTGGCTACCGGGAACGTCTGCTTGTCTAACTTCCATCTATGTCCCTATAGTAAAGAGATGACCACAAATCATAAGACACTCCCTTTCCTAGGACAAGTAATTCCCATTCATTTACCTTTCCCCTTGATGTTCATCTTAAAACCATTAATAGACATTGTCCCTCTCCTAACTCCTTCCCTGGTTCTCACCATCTGTTTACATTCTGGGACCTGCATAAATGCACAGATAAAGACTGAACTGAACTCATGACTCAGCATCAAGTACCTAGAGTCAAAATTCTAGCTCAGGCACTAGCTGTGTGACCTTGGACAAGTTACTTAACTTCTCTGACCTTCAGTTTCCTCCTTTGCCACCTGGGATTGGTAATATAACTCACAACTTATGGATTAAGTGAGATAATGTACTTGAAATCACTTGGCACACAGTAGATGCTCAATCATGGTTGTATTTCTTTTTTTTTTTTTTGAGATGGAATTTCACTCTTGTTGCCCAGGCTGGAGTGCAATGGTGTGATCTCGGCTCACCGCAACATCTGCCTCCTGGGTTCAAGTGATTCTCCTGCCTCAGCCTTCCTGAGTAGCTGGGATTACGGGCATGCGCCACCATGCCCGGCTAATTTTGTGTGTTTAGTAGAGACAGGGTTTCTCCATGTTGGTCAGGCTGGTCTCGAACTCCCGACCTCAGATGACCCACCCGCCTCGGCCTCCCAAAGTGCTGGGATTACAGGTGTGAGCCACCGCGCCTGGCCCATGGTTGTATCTCTTAATGTAACTTAGTTATTGCTTCTGTTTCTTGTTCTTCTGCTTTCGTCAGTCCCTTCTGGTTCCGCATGATTCTTGCTGAACACACTGGTAGTCCCTGGTCATTTCATTAACTGCTGCACATAGTTTTGAAATATTTATTTATCTATTTGTTGCCTCTTTAGTGATAGAATTAGAGGTGGTATTTAGATTTATGCCATCTTCCAAAGAACTCCTTATGAACAAGCTGTAAAATTAACTTGTCTGACTCGGGAACATGTTGTTTTTGCCTCGTCAGTTGCTCTCAACGGAGTCCTCCCTTTCTTCTCTGTGTCAGAAGTAACATAATGGCAGATATGCATGAGTTCTCTGGAGAACAAAGAGGGACTTCACAGAGCTCAATTTGGGAGAATACACAAGTGTTGTCATAGAGTGATAGTCTCATCACACTTGCAAGTAGAAAATGAACTGGATACCAGATGAAGTGAGGGAATTTGGGGGGAGATAAACTTTCCTCCAAAGTGAACAAAATGAAAAGGCCTGCAGCCAGGCAGAACTGGGCAGAGAATTCTATAGATGCGGTGTGCAAGTTAATTAACCATCCACCCCCAACTTCTGCCACTGCCACCTTGGCCACCACTGTAGATGATTACTCTGAACTCCTGAGGGCAAGGTTAGTTTACTGGGAACTTATTTTCTTTTCCTTGTCTTTTTTACTTCTTTTTTTCTCTCTTTTTTGGTTTAATTTAGGGGTGGGAGTCATAAGTACCTCAGTCCTTGAGATCTCTAATAGCTTTTTAGGGATCAATAATTCTTCATTCAACAAACATGTATTGAGTAACTGTATGAAATAGACAGATCCTGGTTCACCCAAGTAGTCAGCCTTGCGGGTGACAAACTGATTCCCTGATGGGTTGCAGGGAAACTCTTTTCTTCTACTTTTAACCTTATCGACTTTTTTTTTCTTCAGGTACTATGGTGAATACATCAGTTCCAAATTCCAAGTCGGTCCAATTCAATTCCAAATCTTGTGTGAGTGTATCTAGTTAGGCAGAACCTAATTCAAATCCAGAACTGGGCCAGGCACAGTGGCTCATCCTGTAATCCCAACATTTTGGGAGGCCAAGGTGGGCAGATTACTTGAGCCCAGGAGTTTGAGACTAGCCTGGGCAACATAGTGAAACCCCATCCCTACAAAAAAAAAATACAAAAAATTAGCCAGGCGTGAAGGCACACACCTATAGTCCCAGCTACTGGGGAGGGTGAGGTGGGAGGATTACCTGAACCCAGGAATTCAAAGGCTGCAGTGAGCCATGATGGTACCACTGCATTCCAGCTTGGGCAACAGAGTAAGACCCTGTCTCAAAACAAAAACAAAAACAAATCCAGAACTCTACTAGCAAGAAAATTCAGAAATCAATTTTTAGCTTTTGAGTCTCTCAAGCTACAAGGAGGCTGGAGGGAAGGCTGAGTGAGCCATTCCAGAGTGTATGGCACATTAGTGTACCCTAGTCATATGAAGAAGATGGGCTTTGAAATAGGCCTCCGAAATGTGTAGGATTTGTTTTAAGAGGGACTCTTTTAGGGAAGAGAATTCCTGGTGGGTAGAGAGGAAAATTAAATAGAGATAATAAGAATAGCTTAGCTGAACTGGACTGGAGTGGGCATGCTGGGAAGGCATGAGGTGGTTGGGAACCGAGAGGACTCTTTAGGGGAGACTGAACTTGATCTTCTAGGCAGGGGAGTGGAGGAGACATTGAAGTTCATTAAGCATGGGAGTTTGAAGACTGTAAGTTAATGCTACCATTCCTATTATCTTAATCAGTCTATACCTATTAAGTGGTGATCTCTACCGTTCAACTTTTCTCTAGTTCTTTAAATCTATCAGTAAGTTACTACTATGATAATCACTGATATGAGTTTCCTGGATGAATATATTGAGTTTACTGGTGTAATATATTTAGAATTAGTATGCAATCCTGAGAAATAGAGAAATGCTTGAAAAAGCTAGAGGATAATGATTTCTACCCTAGAATTCTATACCTAGCCAAACTATCAATCAAGTATATAGGCAGAATAATGACATTTTCATTCATATGAGAGCTCAAAAAAAAATTCACCTCCCCCTTATCTTACATATATTTTTACCATGATGCTTCTGAAAAAATAAACCAAGAAAAAAGAAGACATTGGTTGCCAAAAACAGGGAATCTAATACAAGAGAAAAGCTGATAGAATCACCAGAATAATCCCAGGAACAATTCCAGGACAATAACTCTACAATAGGTTAGGAAATAACCTGCCCAGATTGAAGCAGGAGCAGAGAGAGCTATGAGATGCAAGTCTCTAGGAAAAAAAAAAATAAAATGGATAAAATATTTTGAACATACTGAGAGAAGATTTACAACGTTTAGGGTTGAATTAGTGTTAAGTATGTCAGAAAACTGAGCAAAAGGGAGAGAATTATTAACTCTACTGGAAACAAAGAAAGGAAATACGAGAAAGGAAATATAATCATAGACTACACACAGCTCCACAGGAAATGATATTTTCATAATCATAGCAATATAAATGATAAATATTGACTCTATGGGAAATTAGGATACAACTATGTTGTAAGCACCAGGCCAGAGAGGGTGTTGGTAGAGAGGGAGCAGAGGTGAATGGGGTGGTAAGGGGATGTAAGAAAGCCAGCTCCTCATCTTCCTGAGTAGGAAGCTAGTAGACAGTGTCTAAAATAGGAAATTCTAGAAATAACAGCACAAGCATGTCATTTAGCAATATGGAAGTAAATAATAGAAGAAGCTGCTAAAAATGTGAAGTGGTGGCCTCTGGAAAATGTGAAAAGGGAGTTGGGTAAATCCTTCTAGAATCATATTTTTAAAAAACTTTTTAAACTATGTACTGTTTAACTTTGATAAAAAATAATGTTTTGCAAAGGTTTACAGTAAATGCTCAAGCTTAATTCTCCAATCACAGTTTTCCTGTCACCAATCCCTGCGAGTCCCGAGACCTGTCTATCTACTAGCTACCAGCTACTTGCTGGCCATTTCTATCAAACCACAGCCTCCCGCTGGCAAATGGGTAGCTCAAACTTTGTTGAATTCTGTATTTGCTGCAAAATCAGAAGCTTCAGGAATCTCTTAAAACATGACTATTACCAGTGACCTTAGCTTGTTGCGTGCAGCCAAGGGACGACAAAAAATGGCATGAAGAAAGCAAGCCCACAGTAGTAACAGATGTTTTTCTTTTAAAGAGCCGCTTGGGTCATTATATACCTTAGCTGGGGACAAAGCATCTTAAAAACATTGTAAATGTGGGAGGAACAAAGATATAACACATTCTATAAATTAATTTTAGTCCGTGGCATAAAATTATGCATCCTATCCCTTCAAAACAGGCTGCAAAAATAATGGGTAATTGCTCAAGGAAACCAATAAATAGCTGCTCCTGGGCGAAAAATCAGGAAAACTGTGTCATATTGTCAAACCTTCCTCTAGCTGTGTTCTATCTTTCTGTAGTTCCCTTGGATGGCGTGACTTTGGGAAGAGGGGGAGATAATCATTGTTGTTCAGGAGGGAGGGAAAGCTATTTGTTCAATATCAGAAATTTAGAAAAAGTGTTTCATTTTCTGAGCTCCTCATTACTAATGTATTAAATTCTCTGAAAAATTCCCTTCATCATTTTCTGCGATTTTTAAAATGCAGCATAAAGCTCCAGTAGAAGGCAAAGATGTTTCCTTGTCTGAATTACTGCCACCGTGAAATAGATTGAAAAAAATATATCATTTTGTATCAACCAGTAGCATCCCCGTCCACGGAGGGGTGTCTCCTAAAGCCATCGAGATAGCATCAGGGTATTAATCATTTCTGGGACAGTGAGAGCCCCAACACCAGCCAGCACCCACAAAGACTGCAACCCCAGGGCCAGCTGCAGCCATCCGTGACAATCTCAGAGCTCTGTGACCATGAGCACATGGTGACTGACTCCTGATATTTGACTAAAAGGCTACTGCCAGGCACTGCGGCTGAGTGGGACCCAACTCCTCAAAGCTGGAGACTCACAAAGCCCTGGTCATTGCTAACTGTCAGGAAGGCTGGAAATGGAGTGGGACAGACACGTGGGATTGCTGCAAAGATACCCATATACCATACCAGTGTGCGCTAAATCTGCATAATCAAATATCTCTTTTGTGGATACACACTATGTGCAGGCTGGCCTCACGTGAAGCTGTAAGGCATAGTGGTTAAGAGCGCAGCTTTAGGGTGAGAGTGGTTTCAACAGTCAGCTGACAGTTCCTTAACTTCTCGAAGCCCGTTTTCTCATCAGTAAAATAGGGATAATAATACTGCTCACCTCTGAGGGTCTTGTGAAGATTAAATGAAGACCTGATGCCCCGAATAAAAGTGATTCAAGTAGAGGAATATCTGATTGAATTGTTTCATTTCCATGGGGGAAATCTTCAGTGTTCCACTCTCCCTGCCTCCTTCTAGCCCCAGGGAAGATTCTGGAAGAACCCTCCCAATTCATTCAGAGCCCAACCATGGTTCCCTGAGGTAGTGCTCTCTTGCCTGCCTGCAGCTCACTGTGTGACCAGAGCTCAGGGGCCAGTGGTGTAGGGTGAGAGATTTTCTTTTTTGTGCCAGCCAATGAAACAGACTTTAGAATCCAGCAGCCCCTGGGAGGAGGTAGTGATTTACCATCAAGTCGGAAGTCTTTCTCATCCTTCGTTACCACGGAATCCCTACATCCCACACTTTGCGGGTAGGGGTTATTGGCCTCATTGTACATAGGAGGTTAGGGTTACGGGATATAAGGTGACACAAACTAGTTAAGGCTATGCAATCTCTCAGCTTCTTGGCTAGGGGTTTTCCCACCACTTGGACCAAGATATGCATCCAGACCCTTTCCCATCACAGGCAGTCTGGGCTGGGATTGTAAAATGAATTCACATGTAGTTCCTGCTATCAGGCAGTTTGCAGTCCCCAGGTGAAATAAAACACACATATGTTAAAAGGTAGCTGACCAATTATTACTCAGTAAATCATTGGAGTCTCACATGAATGATGTGTCGCTGGGGATACAACAAGGTGCCACTCCTCTGCCCTCGGGAGCTTATGTTCTAAATTATCCAAAGAAGGCCGCAGGCAAGTGTGAAAAGAGGGTTAGATGGTGGACAGGACAGGGCACAGACAGGGCTTGCAGGGGCTGGGGGAGTCAGGAGACAGCACAGTTTGAACTGGGCTTGGACTAACAGCTGAGTGGAAAGAGGCCTTCTGGGGTTCCAGACGGGAAGAAGATAAGCGGGTGTGGTGAGCCACGGGTCCACCTTCCGGGACCAGAAGGGTCCTGTGAGGAAGAAGTGGACGATGAGTGAGGAAAGGTAGTTGGGGCCAGACTATGGAAGTAATAGAGAGGGTCTTGATGTTTGCCAACATGAGAGTGGAGTAGGAGGAGGACTCAGAAGGTGATGGCAGCACAGAGGCCAGGTGTGAAATGATGTCAGAGGAAGGAGTTGACGAGGCCCTGGCCAAGCAAGAGCCGTGGTACAGTGGAAGTAAAGGAGAGGTGAGTTTATGCTTGGTAATCAAGAGATAGACCCGAGTGGCAACCCCAGGTGTGATCCTGGGCAAGTTACTTTACCCCAGGCGTGATCCCAGGCAAGTTACACTCTGAACCAGGTACATACCTGCCTCAGAGGGCTGCTGTGACACTTACGTGGGATAAAGCATACCGAATGCTTAGGACAGTGCCTGGCCTGTTGCAGCTATTATGACTATTGCCAGTACCACTGCTATTGTTATTATTATTTTTGTTAATGTGAGGACAGACAGAGGTTAATGACATGAGACTAAGGATCTGTGAGACTGAGAAATAGGAGATTCATAGACAGGATGGTGGCTGGGGCAGAGATGGACAGCCTCAGTGTGCCCTGTGGGGAGGTTTGGTGGGGTTGAATATTCCCCAGGCCAGAGCCCTTGGGGGCTCCTCTGCAGAGCAGAAGCCCCTCCCTGGTCTCAAGCCCTCCTTTCCTCCCTCCCACATCCCACCTGCCTCCTGCTTTTAGAAATCAGGCTTCGTTCCCTGTGGGATGAGCATGTGTCTTCCTGGGGAAATCGAATTCTACCCAGAAAGGCTTCACCCTTTCTAACTCCTTCTCCCCACTCGAGACTAAGGGAGCGAGAGGATCGATGAAACAACCTGCATACTCAGAACCAAGGCAGCCCCTCGCTCAGCAGCGCCGCGCTCAGAGGCAGCTGGAGCGCCAGGCCGAGGGCTTTCCCTGTGAGAATCAGTTTCAAATATGAGGTTGATTTTATTTTCCCCGGTTGCAATTAACTGAAAAAAATATTTCAAAGCTGTATAATTAAAGGCCGGCATTTTATTAGGGTTTAAAATAGTCGCTATGAAATTTGCTCCTGCCATTGGTAATTACAACGTACATCTTAATATCCCCCTGCTTGCCAGCCCCGAGATAACAGCGCTGTGTGTGCTGCATTTGGCTTTGCAGAGAAGGTAAAATCCTTATCTTATCTCCATCTGCACACAACAACCAGCCTCTCTTCCAATTCAACCCTAATCTTCTTAGTAAATAATACTGATATTTTTCACCATAACAAAATGGAGCTGGTGCCAGATTCTCACTGATAACACCTCTCGTTTACACACCATTCTCTGTCAAAATCGGCCCGATTTTTCTTAATCTCTTTAACTTATCAAAAAAAATACTTTTTACATTTGGCCATAGTAAGTTCTTTTCTACCAAATAATAATATTATAAATAAATCCCTTTGCCTACAGCTGACTCATTGAAAAGATACTCAGCCTCCTCATTTTCTTCATGAATGGAAATTGTTCTGCTCTTCAATTTTCCTCCCAAGTTTGGGGTCCACACCAAGGGAATTGTTCCCAGGCAGGCCCTGAGCCATCTTTGTATCTTGCAGGGGGTCATCTTGGTCCAGGATGTGCATGCTTCTCTTTATTTTCATTGTCCTGGACATGGTGGGCTTCCTATAACCCCCACCTACATCCACCTCTAACTCTTGCCGCCCAGGGAAAATGCAGAGATTTAAGGCAAATCCTGGCAGGCTCTTCCCCCACCCTGTAGACCCCCCCACACACACTGGGACAGGCTTTTGCTCACTGTAGACCCCCCCACACACAGAGACAGGCTTTTGCTCGGCGCCCCATCTTGGCAGAAACCAGGAGCAACCGCCTTCTCCTGCCGCCTTTCAATGTGAATTGCAGAATTGTCACACAACCAGGGCAGGGAAAGCTGAGAAGTGTTCAGCACACAGCACGTATTTATTTGACCAGCCTTAGCCTGGTAGGGATTCCAGAGATGGAAAGCACAGTTGTGGCTGGCCAGGACCACATCACATATAGGTTCGCTCCAGGCGTGAAGAGAACTTCCAATGGAGGAGGACTGAGGTTTAAGGGATTTAAGATGTTACAGGAAGAATAGGATCGGGACAAGGAGATTGACAATGAACCCTTGGAAGCCTTTTGAATATTTGTGTAATCACTAAGACAAAGCAGAAAGAAGACAGTAACAAAGACACTATCAATAACATTTTACACAGTTCAAATTAATAATCATCAGCACTGTACCGGGAGATTCCAATTTCCATTTCCAATTTCCTTGTTCACTAGAAACTTTCTATGATTTCCCTCTCCTGCAGTTTCCATAATATGCTTGTAAATTTACTTGACTTTGTTGCAGATAATGCACACCTAGGAGGGGTTTTATTTTCTGCATCTGTCCTCCTTCCAAATGTCCCGCGCTTTCCTATTTGAGGACTCTCCAGTCCTTGGCAGCTGCCTCCTATCTCCGGGGCCTTGACTCCCCTGAGGCAGGAGTTCTTCTCCCTCCCGCAAGACCCCAGTGGATCCAGATGCTTGAAACAGGAAAGGCAGGGAGTGGGGGGGGGTGTACCCTGTGTTTAAGCATTTCTTAACTCCACTTGGCTCCTAAATACTCAGAACTATCAAATGTGGACTCTTCGTGGTATCATCTTGCCAAAGCACATGGCACCAGCTCCTTTGACGCGTGTGCGTCCTGCCCTTGCCTTGCAAGCTAAGGATGTGTGTTTCTGCAGCTGTGTTTATTCCCCTTATCTTCCTTTATCTTTCACAAGGTACCAGTAAAAACCCTTCCATTCTTTCCTTATCCATCTGACTTATATGCCTTTTTTATTCCCAGTACCCAATTGCCTCATTATCTAGGGGGCAGGAGGATGTAGTTATTAAGAATCAGAATCAGACAAACCTGAATTTTAGTCCTAACTCTGCCACTTGACTGCTGTGTGACTTTGATCAAGTTACTTAACCTCTCTGAGTCTGTTTCCTTATCTGCAAAAATGGACATAATAATGGGATCTATTTCATTGGACCAATGTAAAGTATTTTATGAGATTATTTAATAATCTGTCTATATACCTGATCATAGTAAAGGCTCAATAAATGATAGCTATGTTAACAAAGCTGTTAATTGAAACTCAGAGAAGAGAGATATCAGTGTGAATATCCTTGGTTGGGAATCTATCCATAGTGAAAGAGCATCTGTGAGAGCTGATCATAGAAGACTAGGCTAGTTGTTTAAAGAGGCCTCTTGGCATTTTGGTTTGGAAACATCTTCAGAAGCTTGGTGTTTTCTGGACCCACTCACCTCTCAGGAACAGCATGAAGAACACAGACAGTTCAATAAACAACTTTGTGCCTCAGCTGATAATAATAAAGACAAAAAAGGTACAAAATTTGTTTTTTGAAATGAAGTTCTTCCTAAGCGTTCCAGGAAGTCAGTTTAACCCAAAGCTTATCTACAAAACTCTCCAGGGTCTTGAAGCTGCTGCTTACACGCACCTCTCAAGCAGTTGTTGTGCAAAAACAACTAAATAGAGATGAATCATAGTGCCAGACCTGCCCCCTTCCTCATCTTCCTGGGACACTCATCCTACAGACCAGTTGCTCTTGTATTTCCACTTCCAAAGCCCTTTCCAGCTGCTCCTCTGAGATTCCTTCCTCCTCTCCTTGCACCAACAAGGTTTAAGCAGGAGATAATCCAATGTGTCAGTCACTCACTAGCAGTCCTGTTGGGATGTGTAATAAGTGCTCTCTCTATCCCAGGCACTATGCTAGACTCTTCACATATGCTAGACTGTTCACCTCATTCAATCATCCAACAACCCTGTTAGGCAGGTACCCTTATATTATCCCATTTTACTGGTAAGAAAACTGAGACTTAGGAAGATTAAGTAATTTGCCCAAGGTTACGGGGCTAGTACTGACAAGCAAGTTCAAAACCAGTTTACTGCAGCAAAGACGGAGCCTCTATTTGAGGGGTAAAAAAGGAAAAAGATTAAAGCAAACAAACAGGAAAACTTAAAGAGATAACATTATATACTTTCAAGGTGACATCTTACCAGAACACTGCACTCAAAGATGCAAAAGCTTGCTTAACGAATTGATTTTCAAGGAAAATGTCCTCAGGTCACCCAGGCCATAAGAAAGTCCCATAAGGAAGACCTTAGCAGCATTGTGGGAACCTCTTAGGGGTGCCCTCTGTCAAGGGGGAAGCCGCCGCCCTCATGGCAGCCCTGTCTCCATGCTGCTGCCGGGCTGGGAATCATCTTGTCTACCCCTTCAATGGGAACCTACATGGTTCCTTTGCTGTCCTTTAAAAGTCTCACTCCTCAGCCTGGCTTGGTGCCTCTCTATGTGACATCTCACTCCTCCCCCAGTACCTGCTGGCCTCACTGCCCCGCTGTCCTCACCATGCCCCCAACCCTCATCGAGCATGTCCATCTTAACTCAGCCTTCCACTGGTCCTCTCCGGAGATTTTTCTCCATCTTTGAAGACCCCACCATGTCCCATGGACTGGAGCAAAGCATTTTAGACCTTCTTCAATCACCATGGTGTCTCCCTCCCTGACCTCAGGTCACTGTGACATTGTTATTTCATTGAGAGGTATGTGTTGTGCTTTTGTTCCTGCAAGATTTTGAGGCCCCCTTGAGCACAGATCAACTGTGGAATCATAGACCACTAGGGCTAGCAGTCTTGTCAGGCATGATTCATCCAACACCTCATTTTGTAGATGAGGACACCAAAGGCAGTCCAGGTGGAATATGTTTTCTTTTGTATCCCCTGTGACTTCCTGCATAGGACGGGTACTTAGTAAATGCTCAATAAATACCGAGCCCATCTGTTTGGATCCAGCCCTGCTCCATAATTTACTATGAAATCTGTGATACAAGCTTTTGTCAAGAACTCATTTTAATTGACCGTATTAACAATAAACACAACATAAGAGAAATTCCACTTTAAGAAACTCTAATATGCTAGCTTCCTAAACCAGATGAACTAACATGAATTATTCATTTTAAAAGCTGAGCTCCTTTAAATAGCTCCTATAGTTATGATAAGATTGGATTTGAACACTTTGAATGTAAATTGAACTTTTCGGCCACATTATGAAACTGTAGAGAATAGGGTGCTCTTGTACCTCACTTGCCTTGCAAACAAAATGGATCCTTTTAGGAGCTCAGAGGCCAACAGATTTGTCTCTGAATCTGAACTGTACTTGAAGAGTCATCATCAAACCCAGGCTGGCCAGAAGCATGGGCAGCTAGAGGCAGGGATGTGGACCTGAACGCTGGGGAGCTGGGTCTCCAGATAAAAAGGTGGGAGGCAGCTGGGTCAGAATGGGGCCCTACTCAGCTGGGGTACTGCTCACACACTTGCTCAAGCATTGCAGCAACAGGATTGCCTCCTCAAGGGAGGCTCCGGCTGAACACGCTCCCCTCTTCTTTCCTTGCCTGTCTCTTGCCTATCCTGGTCTTTCCTGGTGTCCTCCTCTCTCTATTCCCAGGCTCTGTTCTCTTTTCTTTTCCCTCTCCCTCGTACCCTCCTCTCCCTCACCCTCTCTCTGTGACTATGTATGGGAGATGGGAAATAACCATGTAACAGTGTTTAACATAGATTTTCTATTAGTTGGGCGGTTTTTAAATGTTCATATATGTATTTTAAAGGCCCCGGCTCCTTTAAGAAGTCAGTAGGTAAATAATGGAAGCTCTTGAAGCACAGATAAGGCAATTCTGAGAAGATTAATTAGAAGTAAACTGCTGACACAGGGATATTCAGTGCCTCTGTGAATTTCCTACCCTTCTCAATCATCCACCCTGGGAGAAAGCCTATTCTATTGGGCCGAAGTTACCATAAATAGTCCCCACTGTTGACCTGATTGTTGGAGCCACAGGGAATAAATCTGCCCCAGAGGAACCCCAACCTTTGCCAGTGCCTGGAAATGACCAGCACCCTTTAGGATCTGAAACAGAAATTCTTATGTGAAACCTGCCTCTTCCAGGCAGCGTTTGTTGCTCAGCCCCACTTTCTCTCTGTGAACCTCCTCGCATACGAATGTTTTAATGCCTTGCATTTAATCCGCACCTGACTGTTTTGCATTTGCTGCCATGTTGTTCTGTGATTATTCCCTCCTCTTTCATGTGGTTATATTTCATTTACTTACCCAACTAGACCATGAGCTTAAGAATAAGAAGAACAAACGTTTATTAAGTGACTCTAACGAACCACCCACTGTGCTTAGCACTTGGCAAATATAATATTATTTAATTCTCAGACAATTCAGAAGGTAAAGATGATGCTCTCGTTTTACAGATGAGGAAACGGAAGTTTAGAGAAGGTAAATAAATGTCTGAGCCTGACACTACACCTTTGTCCCAGCTTTCTTCACTTGCCTTTGACCCTGGACTGTGCACATCACACTCATTTTGCAAGTGCCACCAACTGGGAGTCAGGGTCCCCATCCCCAGCTTCCAGTCCTGGGGCCTCCAAGCCCAAGTTCATGAATATTGAGATGTGTCTTTCATGGCCGTGTTGGGGAACTCGGCACCTGGGCATCCCTCCCCCCTACTCCTTGCTTACTTGCCTGCTGCAAGTTCTGGGGTAGTTAGGCTTATTGTACGATAAAGTGGCAGCCCAAACATGCCTGGAAAGTGACGTCTGCTCACACGGAAGAAGCAGTTTCCAAAATGTGAGACTGAAAAATGGCTGGAGTTGTGGCTGTTGTCTCGGTGGCAGAAGCAGCTGTAGCAGCCCCAGCCTGGGAATGCTGGTGAGGGTGCTGGGGACACTCTCCAAGTCAAGGGCAAAACCTTCTCAGCGTGGCTTTCCCTGCCAAGTACGGACCCGCCCTGCATGTGGCAGCCTTAGTTGGACCCTCGTTTATTATTGTAATGAGGATCCCTTTTCTAACGTGTTTTCCTAGCCCTCATGTGGCTGAACTGTTATTTTTCTCACTTGACTTTTTGCCTGTGAAATGTTTTGGATAAATATGCAGCTGAAATGGCTTGTTACTAACTGTGTACATTTTTGGTTGAATGAAAAGTAAAGAAATACAGCATTTCGCATGTAAAATATTCTGTTAATGTTATATAATTTGGCTGTGGAGTATCATTTTGCTTTTATGAAAGGGTCTGGTGAAACCCTCAGGAATAGCAGATGGCTAACATGTAGTAATTATCGGTTACTAAATATCACTTATATCACACTGATCTATTCATACAAGTATAACCACATTAAATGTATATTTTTTGAAAAGACAATATGTAATGTGAGTGCTTGAAACAATGGTGGGACCTAAGTAAAATGGAGGAACTAGTCTAAGGTGTAAGTGATTTTAGGAGCCTTGTTTCAGCGACAGTGCCCTCCTTTCCCCCAACCCTCGCCCCATCTCACTTTGCCCTCTGCTCTAGGTTTTCACAGGGAGCTGGTCTCTGCCTGCCGACAGACAGCTGGGCAGGGCGGGAATATGAGGAATGCAGTGTGGAGGTCAGCACTTGAGCAGATGTTTTGAATTCTCTGCCTGGAAGCTGATGTTTAGGACTGGCCATGACTGCCGTTCTTGGCATCATTTCTATTTGGCTGTGAGTCGTCCGCTTGATGCGTGGTCCACAGCTGATTTTCATGCCCCAAACAATCCCCATCGAAGGTCACACAACGTCCAGTTCTCCTGCCCTTCTCTGTCACTCTGTTCCCAGAAAATGAAGCCCCAGTCTAGATAAGTCACTACCATGTTGGGAAAGCCACATTGCTCCATACAGTAAGTGCCTGATCAGTGGTTGCTGCCTCATTGTCACAGGGAAGGGACTTCAAAGCTACATCAAAGTGGTTTTAAGTTGCCTGCTGATTTCAGATGAGCAAATCGCAGGGTGGCAAGTAGGTTTTAAATCTTGGACCAGTTTGGATCAATCAGGAGGGACTTCTTGGAGTACTCTTCTTGAGGAATCTGAAGTTGAGTCCTGATTGGAGAAAAGGGGTGCCATAATCAGTTAGGGATTTCTGCTATGGAAATGGGCATGAGGGAACAGCAATATATTGAGAATGCAGCTCTGCTTATCCTTAAATCTCACCTCAATGGTCACCTGCTCGGGAAGGCCTTCCCTGACTTCTCAGCAACATAGCCTGGGTTTTGAGAGCACAGGATCAGGGTCCACCATCAAGGCTTGAATTTTGACCCTGCTACTCACTGGCTTTCTGACCTTGAGGAAAACATTTCACTTCTTTGTGCAGCAGTTTCCTTATCTGCAAAATGGGACCAAAAATAGCACCACTTCATGGGACTATTGTGAATATTAAACACGTCGAGACATTGATTAATGTCACCTACAATAGTCAGACACAGAGGTAGGCCCTCCTTAAGATGTACCTAGCTAGTATTACTTCCAGGCTAGCCCAGGGGCCACTGTTGTCCTGTTGACAGAGTTCTCTCTCCTTGATTGTACTAACCCAGTGGTATTTTTACATTTGTAGTGTGAGTATTGGTTAATGTCTGCTTCTAGTCATCATTGTATGGCCAGTGCCTGGCACCAAGCAGTGTCCAGTAAATATGTGTTGAATGAATGGATGGTCTCCTGGGCTGGTTGACTCATCCAGCAAGGGAGAAAGAACTGATGGCTTCTGGGGGCACCCTAAGCCTTCCTCAAGATGATTCTCTATTCTAACTTAAGATTGTGCCAACATTGCTGCAGGAGAAAGATCTCAAGATCTTTCCCCACAAGATGGTAGGGAAAGAAATGAGGTAGTGGGGAGGAGGAGGAGGAAGAGGGGGAACAATCTGTAGAAGTGAGAAAAGAAAGCTAGAGACGGAGAGGAAGGAAAGGAAGAAAAAGAGGGGACCACCTTTTAAAATACGGGAAACAAGAAGGATGAGAAAATTAAATAAATGAGAAGAGGGGAAAGGAATAGAAGGAAAATTACCAAATGCCTAAGGCAGGCAAATCTGTTGATGAAGGTGACATACCGGCCCAGGGAACAGGCAACCAGAAGCTTCCAGCAGACTGAGAATCTCCTTGGCCTTGGGACCAGTTCTCTCTGGAGGGACCTGCTTAGAGGGTCTGTACTTAGATACCTGAGTATGAATCCTGACACCCCCACATACTGCCTGAGTAATGCTGGTCAAGCCACTTATCTGAGCCTTGGTTTTCCCTCCGATCAAACTCTGATGAAAATTGCCTATTTTATAAAATCATTGTATTATCGAGATAATCCATGTCAAAATTCTTAAGTTATTGGCACACAGTAAGCTCACAATGAATAATAATAATTGCTATTATTGGAAAATGCCAGGTGGGCAGGAGTGCCTCTAGTCAATCCTCCCTGCTTTATGGTTTGACCTCCTAGCCATGCTTTGGCTAGGATCCCTGGAGCACTAAGCTTGCAGCACCAGTGGCTAGCTCATATCAGCACCTTTTATTGAGGACCCTTTGGTGTCAAGTTCCATCATGGGCCCTGGGGATACAGGAAAGGCACCAGGGACCACTTTGGACCCTTGGCAGGTCCTGAAGCCCATTCTTAGCTTCCATCTCCCTGGTGACATTGGGCCTTCTCATTCTCAGGATAAGTCTTCACCTCCAAAGTGGAAGGTGAGGGTCAGAAGCTGTGAACTGACTGTCAGACAGAGGAGAGCCCAGGAGAAGGAGGGAAACAGGCTCACAATCAGAACGCCCCGATTCCAGCCCCAGCACCTCCCTGATACTACCATGAGACCTTGAGAGAATCTGTTAACCTCTCTGAGCCTCACTTGGTTTGCACTTTTGTAAATGGAGGAAATAATGCCTGCTGTAGCCTACTTCATAGGATCACAAAGACTGTGAAAATAGCAGGATTCACTCAATGCCCAAGATTTTTATTATTGTAATAATGATCTGTTCTCAAAAAGATGCTAAAATTTCGAGCCAGGATAGAACAATCTTTTTGAAGAGCTTTTTTTGGGGGTGGGTAGATGGGGGATAGAGGCCTTGACTGTCATGGAAAAACACTACAAAGGGGGCTCAGGTGGGTGGAGGGAATGAACTCACAGGGGAGACGTGCTTGGGGCACAAGGGGGTGGCCGGATGGTCTGTAAATGTTGAGACTGGATTGAACCTTTGCCCCTCTCTGAACTTCCTCCTTTAGGGACTGGACAGGAAGACAAGATCCTGAAATACCATAAGAATGGTGTTTCTCATTCCTCTCCAGTCCAAACAAGGAAGCTGGGAAATCTTGCAAGGGCACGCTTTAGTTCAAAGGCCTCAAGTCCAAAGAGCAGAGTAAGTTCAGCTGGAGTCAGGAGCCAAGGCCTGGAATGCTTGAATAGTCTTGCCCTAGGCCTCTGGGTCTTCCCAGACACCTTAGCTTCTGAGAAGCTGTTTAATCTGAACCACTAATATTTTGATTGACTCAAGTGTCAATCAAAGTAGTGGCTGGTCAGCAAATGACTTGTCTCACTATAAAGTTATATGAATAATTAAAAAGCATTCATTCATTTGTTCTTTCAACAACTATCTGCCAATAAAGGTCATAGAATTTTAGAGGCTAATGATTGAATGGATATTAATAAGAATACTGGACTTCTCTCACAGCCTATGCTCATGTGGCTACAGTGAAATGTTTCTTTAAATATGGAATCACAGAACTAGAGGGACTGTTTGGCTAGTTTAAATTTATTCCATTTCCAAATTACTTTTCAGAAAGGCAATCATATTTATAATTCAGTCCCACGAAAGCTTCCCTCATGTACCCTTCCAGTCGATACTGCCCCTCACCACAAAAAGGTGACCTCTATCACCAAGAATTCATTTTTTCTGTTCTTGAGATTCACATAAGTAGAATTGCACAGTATGTACTCTTTTTGTGTCTGCTTACTTTCACTTAACAGTTTGTCATTGGATATATCAGTAGTTCTTTTTTATTGCTGTGTAATACTCCATTGTGTGAATACATCACCTTTTATTTACCCTTTCTACTGTTGATGGGCATGTGGGTTGTTTCCAATTTGAGACCACTATGAATACAGTTGCTATAAGTATTCTCATGCATGTCTTCTTGTTCGCATAAGAACTCATTTATGTCAAGTGTGTTTACTCACTCAATGTTAACTTTATCAATCTGAAATGGGCCTTTGTGGCCACTTAATTCAAGCAATGCCTATATTCCCAGGTGAAGGCAAATACCTTTGGATTCCACAAGTTTTACAATCTAGTACCTGAGCAGCCGTTCTGCTCAAAGACTTCCCATGTTTCTTCTATTCTATTCCATATATCTGAAACCACAACCAATTTTTCTTAGGCATAATAGTGCCCAGCATATACTCAGGAAATGTATAGTCTGCCTCACACAGTCATATTCAGGATTCTGAGTCTCTGTGCTGTATCAGACTCAGAGCCATTTAAAAATCAGGGCAGAAAGTCATTTTTCACACTGAGATTTAACTGGCCTGCTAAAACCAACTTTTGAATGTGACCCACAAAATCCTGGGTAGATAAAAGGAGATCAAAGCTGAACAAACCCTCACTAAGTTGATGTAGGTGGAGAGCGAGGTGAAAGTGTTGGTCGACCTTCTACCCCCTGGAGCAAGGCCCTCTTTTATGTTTTATCGTTATTAGTGAACTCATTGTGGTCACTGTCCTAAGCAATTTTCCTAAGCAGAGGCCTCATGAACAGCCTAATGCCCCTGTATTTTCTGGTCTGTAGTATCCAAGGGCAGATGCCTCATGAACAGCCTAATGCTCCTGTATTATCTGGTCTGTAGTACCTAACATTAGTTGATATGAAAAATCTTTAATTATTAATTATAGACATGTCATTGTCATTTTTCTTCTCTGCTAGTGAGAAGAGGGAATTTGGACCAGAGTTTGAGAGATGAGTAACAGTAGTATGAAAGCACCATCTTTTACTAAGCATGGTCACTATGTAAAGCATCTCACATTGCTTACCTGCAGTCTTGTAGCTCCATTCTCACAAATGTGGAAACTCAGGCTCAGAAAGGCTAAGTAGCTTGCCAAGGGCCAAACTGTTAGTGTGTTAGTCTGTTCTCACACTGCTATAAGCACTTACTTGAGACTGGGTAATTTATAAAGGAAAGAGGGTTTAACTGACTCACAGTTCCACGTGGCTGAGGAGACATCAGATCTCATGAGAGCTCACTCACTATCATGAGAAGAGCATGGGGTAACTGCCCCCATGATTCAATTACCTTCCACCAGGTCCCTCCCATGACACATGAGGATTATGGGAACTACAGTTTGAGATGAGATTTGGGTGGGGACACAGCCAAACAATATAGTTCTGTCCCTGGCCTCTCCCAGATCTCATGTCCTCACGTTTCAAAACACAATCATGTCTTCCCAACAGTCCCCAAAAGTCTTAACTAATTCCAGCATTAACCCAAAAGTCCAAGTCCAAAGTCTCATCTGAGATAAGGCAAGTCCCTTCCACCTATGAGCCTGTAAAATCAAAAGCAAGTTAATTACTTCCTAGATATAATGGAGGTACAGGCATTGGGTAAATACATCCATTCCAAATGGGAGAAATTGGCCAAAACAAAGGGGTCTACAGGGCCCATGCAAGTCCAAAATCCAATACGGCAGCCATTAAACCTTAAAGTTGCAAAATGATCTCCTTTGACTCCATGCCTCACATCCAGGTCACACTGATGCAAGAGGTGGGCTCCCATGGCCTTGAGCAGCCTCCACCCCTGTGGCTTTGCAGGGTACAGCCCCCTCCCTGCCCCAGCTGCTTTCATGAGGTGGTGTTGAGTGTCTGTGGCTTTTCCAGGAACACAGTGCAAGCTGTCAATGGATCTGCCATTCTGGGGTCTGGAGGATAGTGGCCCTCTTCTCACAGCTCCACTGTGTTGAGGCTCCAACACCACATTTCCCTTCTGTACTGCCCTAGCAGAGGTTCTCCATGAGGGCTCTGCCCTGCAGTAAACTTCTGCCTGGACATCCAGGAATTTCCGTACATCCTCTGAAAATCTAGGTTGAGGTTCCCCAACCTCAATTCTTGACTTCTGTGCATCCTCAGGCCCAATACCATGTGTAAACCACCAAGGCTTGGGGCTTGCACCCTCTAAAGCCATGGTCTGAGCCGTACATTGACCCTGAGTTGTATGTTGCTCCTTTTAGTCATGGCTGGGACACAGGGCACCAAGTCCCAAGACTGCACAAAGCAGCAAGGCCCTGGGCCTGGCCCACAAAACCATTTTTTCCTTCTAGGCCTCCATGCCTATGATGGGAGGGGCTGCCGTGAAGGTCTATGACATGCCCTGGAGACATTTTCCACATAGTCTTTGTGATTAACATTTGACTCCTCATTACTTATGCAAATTTCTGTAGCTGGCTTGAATTTCTCCTCAGAAAATGGGTTTTTATTTTCTGTCACATCGTCAGGCTGCAAATTTTTCCAACTTTTATGCTCTGCTTTCCTTTTAAACTAAGTTCCAATTCCAAACTATATTTTGTGAATGCATAAAACTGAAAGCCTTTAATAGCACTCAAGTCATTGTGATCACTGTCCTAAGCAGTTTTCTAAGGGCAGAATGCTTTGCTGCTTAGAAATTTCTTCTGCCAGATACCCTATATCATCTTTCTCAAGTTCAAAGTTCCACAGATCTCTAGGGCAGGGGCAAAATGTTGCATCTTTTTGCTAAAGCATAGCAAGCATCACCTTTATTCCAGTTCCCAAGAAGTTCCTCATCTCTACCTGAGACCACTTCAGTCTGGACTTCATTGTCCATATTACCATCAGCATTTTGGTCAAAGCCATTCAACAAGTCTCTAGGAAGTTCCAAACTGTCCCACATCTTCTCTTCTTCTGAGCACTCCAAACTATTCCAACCTCTGCCTGCTACCTAGTTCCAAAGTTGCTTCCACATTTTTGGGTATCTTTATAGCTACACCCCACTCTCTGTGGTACTAATTTACTGTATTAGTCCATTCTTATGCTGCCATAAGGATATAACCGAGACTGGGTAATTTATGAAGGAAAGAGGTTTAATTGACTCACAGTTCTGCATGGCTGGGGAGGCCTCAGGAAACTTACAATCATGAGAGAAGGGGAGGCAAACACGTCCTTCTTCACATGGCAGCAGGAGAGAGAAGTGCCAAGCAAAGGGGGAAAAGCCCCTTATAAAACCATCAGCTCTCATGAGAACTCACTCACTGTCATGAGAAAAGCATGGGGGTAACCACTCCCATGATTCAGTTACCTCCCCCTGGGTCCCTGCCACAACATGTGGGGAGTATGGGAACTACAATTCAAGATGAAATTTGGGTGGGGACAAAACCAAACCATATCAGTTAGTAATCTGCCACCCCGGGATTGAGGCCCAAAGTGCCTCCTAAAAAACCCAAGCTCTCTCTACCTCAAGCTGCATTTATGTGTTACTTTCCAATTTGCCAAGCACTTTTTTAGACATTTGTGTCATTTAATTTTCATTATAAAAGATATTGTGTCATTTTAATTTTCATTACAAACACTTAATAGTGTCACACAGCTGGTAGGTGGCAGAGTCAAGATTTGAACCCAGGTTGCCTGGCACCAAATCCCGCTCCTTTTCTACTATACCACAACTACCTTCCCAAAAAAACCTTCTTCCAAAGTTCCTAAAACAAGTATCGTTTCAACACACTGCATTTGATGACAATCCAAGTTACCTAGAAAGTAAGGACAGAAATTTCTTGCTTTAAGAGTATGGCGCCTTAAGAAAATTTTAGGCTCGCAGCTGTGTTGAGGGTTGATGGGTGAATATCTTCACTGAGGTCAAGGAAAACAGAGTACTGGCATAATCAAAAGGACCAGGCCTGGAAGTAAATGAGGTGATCAACAGAATAGATTTCCCTTCCTCAAGAGAGATGCTGAACTGGTAAGAAAGAAAGCCCAGGATGCACGTATTGCTACCCAGTCTCCTTACCCCAATCAAAAATTATTCCTCTGACACACTGTTCTGTTCTCATTCTTTGAAAGATATTATGTGTTGCTCATTGAAAGGTGCTTGCTCTTTGAAAAGTGCAATGTTCCACATAAATGCAGGGCAGTGGTGTCTTTATTGTTATCGTGATTATTTCTGCAGGGGAAGAAGAGGAGGAGCCAGGGGAGCTGAGGTTCTTTCCCCAGAGCCCTCCCTCCTGCCGCGTCTGCTGACTGATCGGCAGGATGCCTCTGCTAGGTGTCGATAGAAGAGTCAGACTGAAAGTATTGTCTGAGGACATCACGAATAACGCAGGCAGAATGAATCAAAGAGAAATCAATGGTCCTAAAAATAGCAAAGAGACGTTCCCAGAATAAAGTCTTAATGGGAAAAAAAGGGGGTTGAATGATGTGTTATATTGTAAAAAGTCAAATGTTTTAAAAATGTCTATATAGAAAGATGAGTGATCAGCTTATAACAGAGTGACATCCAGGCTGAGAAGGTCCTGGAATCCAGCCTGGGAAGGGCCCACTGGGAGAGAACTTGCCCTTCTTCTGTTAGCTGCAACTTCTTTCTAGTACCTTGGGGGAAGAAAACCATGGGGAAGGTGGTCATCTTCTGATAATAAAAATCACCTAGGGCCCGGGCTCAGTGGCTCACATGTGTAATCCTTGCACTTTGGGAGGCCGAGGTGGGTGGATCACCTGAGGTCAGGAGTTTGAGGCCAGCCTGGCCAACATGGTGAAACCCCATCACTACTTAAAAAAAAAAAAAAAAAAAAAGAATTAGCCGGGCATGGTGGCAGGCACCTGTAATCCCAGATACTCAGGAGGCTGAAGCAGGAGAATTGCTTGAACCTGGGAGGTGGAGGTTGCAGTGAGCTGAGATCACGCCATTGCACTCCAGCCTGGGTGACAAGAGCTAAACTTCATCAAAAAGAAAAAAAAATCACCCAGGTAATAAGGAGCATGCAGCCATGACAAGGTTTATTTGTGCACACACACACACATACACGCTCACCTGCTCTAGTTTTTATTGTTGGGTCCGTTGTATTGTGTTACACTGTGTTGCATTGAATTGTGTGGGTTTGGTTGGATTTCATTGAACTGTGCTGAATTTGAGATTGTACTCTGTGTGGGTGTAAAGCAGGTGAATATTCCCATTTTCAACCAAAGAGTGTGAATCTTTAGATAAGAATCTTGAAATTTGAAGAAGAGCCAGTTTGCCAGGGTTCTTTAGAATTCTTTCTGGCCTTGCTCTCTTGGGTAATGACTCAGAAGCTTAGAGAAAACATTAGCAAGAAAGTTATCTTACTCCTGAAGATAATATTATTGTTGCCAAGCTAGCTAAAGTAATGGACCTTTACTGGCATTAGTAACCTAATGACCAAACACGGTTGGCAGGTTTTATTGGCAACGTACAGTGTATGTGGAGGCCCATATGGAGAGTTTTTAAGGTGTAACATGGGAGACCTTCATACCCATTAGTAAGCTTTCAACTTCAAGTAACAGAAGATCTAGCAGTAGTTTAATGATAACAATGTTTATTGTTTATTCAAAATAAGTCCAGAGGTTGGTGGTCTAGGGGTTGGTTTAACAACCCAGTACTGTCATCAGGGACCAGGCTTTTGGCATCCCTTATTTCATTGTCTTGAATATCTTGGTTTTTGTCCTCAAGTTATTGCCTCATCGTTACAAGATGGCTGCCACTGCTTCTTAAGACGTGCAAGGAAAGGAAAGAAGGGGGCAAAAAGGTTTCTTCCTTGTGCTGTTCTTTTGCCAGGGAGGGAATATTTTCCCAGAAGCCCCCCTAGATTTTCCTCCACATCTAGAGACAGGGGAGAGGACAGAAGTTCTGAGGTCAGACTCATATCCAGGTTCTTACACTTATCACCTGTGTGAACCTGAGCAAGTTCTCTGCACCCAAAAAAATGTCAAAATAATAGTGCCTATCTCTAAGGTTGCCATGAGAATTAAAGGGTCAATATACATAAAGGTCTCAGAACAGTGCCTGGTATATAGCACATATACAATACGTGTCAGCTATTATTTTTAGTAACATTGTCACCATTCTCATTTTATTGGCTAGATCTGGGTTGTAGGTACAAGAGTGTCTCTCAACTCAGAGGCTATGAGGGTAGATATATCAACAAGGATTCAAATCTTTCAACCAAAAATCACAGGCAAAGAACACCTTAAGTATTTGACTTCTGATACTTTATTTTATTTTTTTCTGAGATGGAGTCTCACTCTGTCACCCAGGCTGGAGTGCAGTGGTGCGATCTCAGCTCACTGCAAGCTCTGCCTCCTGGGTTCACGCCATTCTCCTGCCTCAGCCTCCTGAGTAGCTGGGACTACAGGCGCCCACAACCATGCCTGACTAATTTTTATATTTTTAGTAGAGACCGGGTTGCGCCGTGTTAGCTGGGATGGTCTCGATCTCCTGACCTCGTGATCCACCCGCCTCGGCCTCCCAAAGTGTCGGGATTACAGGCGTGAGCCACTGTGCCCGGCAACTTCTGATACTTCAGTCCAAGAATTTGATGCTCAAATAATTTTCCTAGTTAGCAGCTCACTGGGAACTAGGCTGGAGGAAAACAGATGAAAGAGAAGCCCCCAGGAGGCAGAGAGCTGAGGGCAGGGGATCTCAAACAAAAGCCATGCGGTCAAACTTGGCCAGCTTTACAGTTCTGTCCAGTGTGAAGGAAGTATTCAAAGGATATACTGTTATCGACTTCACATATGACTATCCTCTGCAGAGTTACAAGGACAGTACAATTCTAACCTTGACATTGACCCAGAAGATTATGGAGGCCAGGGAGACCCAAAGACAGGATTCCCTGGAGCCTCACTGACATAAATCTTATTATGCCAACCAAGCTGAGTTCCTTCAAAGCAAAGACCATTGATTTCTCATTCTTCTGCCATCCCTACAGCACCTTAAATAGATATAATAGTGTTCAATATTTACCAGTTGCTCAGTGTCCAATATTTACCATATTCCTCCAAATAAGAGCAGGTGTCCTGTATTTCTAAGGGAGGGTAACTGGTGCATTAAAGGCAGCCAAATAATGTGAACTAGGTTGGCACCCATCTGGATCCCTTGGAGAGTTGAGGAGGAGAGATGGCTAAGAAACAACCAATATGCCAAACACTCTTCCAGGTCGTCTGTGACCATTATTTGTTTATTTCTCACAGCAATCTTATGAGCTAGGTACCATGATCCCCCTTTGTAGATAAGGAAACTGAGGCTTAGGAAACTTGTTATTTTGTAATTAGGCTATGAGGGTAGATACATCAACAAGGATTCAAGCCTTAAGTGGCTGTGTCACTTAAGAGATTGAAGACTTAACCTCAGTCTACCTTGCTACAAACACATACCTTCTCTATGCTGTTTCTTGCAGGTAATCCTGGGTGAAAAGGGAAGGCATCTCAAGTTTAACATTGGGGTGCTGCACATAAATCGAAACCTGTGCTCCTGTGCCCTGATGTCGTATGTGTTTCTGGCAGATGGTGGCCAGGAGACAAACTGTCTAGGAACCCCATGAACTTAACTTTTGACTCTGCCTCCCAAAACCAGCTTTATCCATGAACAGTAGATGGCAGTCCTTCCCCTGATGCCCACGCACACGTCTGTAGTTGTTCATGTTAGGCTCAATGTGCGGTTAATGTGCAGGTTGGTTCCCAGGCCTGCAAGGTTAAACCCAGCCATTGTCCCTGCAAGTGCAATGCACTGAGTTGCATTCACATCCAAATTCCACCCCTCCCCAATGGGTGGCAAACAAACAGATTGGGTGAAGTTGACTGCGTCCGCAGCACAAGGAGTTCAGAGGACAGCAGGCCTAGGTCAGACCTCAACAGTTGGTTAGGAAGTGATTCAATCAGAGAGAAATTCAGAACCTTTGAGTGGTAAAAGCTACCCTTTCCTTTCCCTGGAGTGAATGAAGAGTATATTGCCTTCTTTGTTTCTGCAGACATCTTGTGGCTATCAGGGTAGCCAGCCCGTATACCACACCCACACACAGAGAAGGATAAAGCCCAGAGAAATGCAGAGAAATGGGATTGAAGCCCTAATCAAAGAATATCTAGGCCGGGTGCAGTGCCTCACACCTGTAATCCCAGCACTTTGGGAGACCAAGGTGGCGGACACCTGAGGTCAGGAGTTTGAGACCAGCCTGGCCAACATGGAGGAACCCCATCTCTACTAAAAATACAAAAAGAATTAGCCAGACTTGGTGGCAGGTGCCTGTAATCCCAGCTTCTTGGGAGGCTGAGGCAGGAGAATCACTTGAACCTGGGAGGCAGACGTTGCAGTGAGCCGAGATCACACCACTGCACTCCAGCCTAGGTGACAGAGCTAGACTCCGTCTCAAAACAAACAAACAAACAAACAAACCAAAAAGCAAACAAACATAGAAATCAAAGAACATCTAAAGCTCACCCGCTCTAAGCTTTACATTAGACAATAAATCCAAGTCATTTTTAAGCTAGTTCTATTGGCTTATTTTTTCCACTGGCAACCAAAAGCATCCTAGCTGATATACCCCAGCTTCCTATGCACTTACTTCTGGGTTTCATCTGAAGGATGGGTCATTTCTGGTGGGCAACACCTGAGGAAGAAGCATAGCTATCCTATGGAAAATTGAAGAGATGGGCCCTACTTGGAAATGTGAATGAGAAAGCTATGTTGGCCGTTTAGCACTTTGGGAGGCTGAGGCGGGTGGATCACCTGAGGTCAGGAGTTTGAGGCCAGCCCGGCCAACATGGTGAAACCCCATCTCTACTAAAAATATAAAAATTAGCTGGGCATGGTGACATGCACCTATAGTCCCAGCTACTCGGGAGGCTAAGGCAGGAGAGTCCCTTGAACCTGGGAGGTGGAGGTTGCAGTGAGCCAAGATTGCGCCACTGCACTCCAGCCTGGCGACAGAGAGAGACTCCATCTCAAAAAAAATAAATAAATAAATAAAAGAAAGAAAAAAAGAAAGCTATGTTGGCTGTTTTAGTTCCTTACACTTTCTATGTTAATTTTCATTTGGTCCTCTTCAAATTTACTAAAGTCTTTAGGGTGCTTCCCTGACTCAGATATGCTGAGGCATAGAACATGAAGATATATGGTGAATTGCACAGCATCCATTCCTATTTCTTTCTTCACAAACTGGAGAGGCTGGAAAACCAAAAACAACAGATTTCTTTGCACTTGGGGTTCTAGGTGTCAATTTCTTTCTGCCAGTTATGTGCACTGTCGTGAGACACAGAAGATGAAGTGGCAGAGGGGCATCTTCCCTCCTTCTGGCACTAGCAGGAGAGTGAGAGGCAGCTGGGTCGGAGGGTGCTCCCTGATTCCTGGATCACACCTTGGTGACATGTTCTGTGCTGATTCTGGTGCTGGCTGCCAGATCCTCCCCCCTCCTGATGTGCAGAAGCAGCAGCTCCTTGGTGGATCAGTTCTGTGATGGTGTTCTGGGAATTGATCCTGGAGTCCAGGGTAGTGCCAGCTCCTGTAGCCCTTCTCATGGTTTCACAAGTGCTTTGTGTCAAGTACTCTGCTTAAAATATATAAAATGTCTTATTTCTTGGGTAACTCAACTCTGCATGATAGAGGAAGTAAAGGTGAACATAATGTTTCTGCTGAAGACAGCATCAAAGGACAGAAGCATTCCTCAGAGCCTACAATGAATTCAGCAGGAGAGAATTAGTGTTGTGAGATCAGCTGGCAGATTTTCCTTCCTAGACAACATCCATGGAAGGTCTGGACTTTGTTTACTAAAATCAGCATCCCCTTACAGACAATAGTGACATGATTTTATGCACTTTACCATTTGTGTGGCATTTCATCTGCATGTCCTCAGTCAATCATCATATTCTGTAACTCTGACAGAAGTTAAGACACAAGCCTGTTGTTACAATCCCCATTTTACCAATTAAGACACCAGTCTTCAGAGAGTGTGATCCAAGGGAACCTGACAAATATCTCACCAGAGTCCAAAACGTCAGATCTTTCAGTGTCTACCAATTCCACCATTAGAGGCTCATTCCTCTGGCTTACGCACGGATCTCTACAGGTTCTTCTAAAACCAATTTTCTAGGTTCAAGGGCCATACATTGAGTTCCTAATAGGCCACTATAAATGAGTTTATGATCTTGTCCTTGATAAAAGGGATGTGGCATCATAGAAGCACTCAATGCCTACAGAGTAGGGGTGGGGTGAGTTTGAGAAGACTCTTGCTGAGAAATTTCTATGCCATATTTCTTGGACACTCTTCATAACTTTTCTAAGGGCAAATCCTGCTGTCATTCATCTCCCTTCTTCAGGATGGAGAATGTCATGGATCTGCTGGAGGGACAGTTACGGCAGCTGGGGTAGAGGACTCAGGGGTGGATGTGAGAGTGTGAACTGGCACAGGAACCTGGCACCTTCCTTTGCCAGGAAGCTTGGCAGAATTAGGCCCCTAGAAAACCCTGTGTGGTCAAGGACTTGCCAGGGACCCTGGAGCTAGAAACAGCAAAATTACCAGACTAGGTAAAGAGGCAACGGCTGGGGAGGATCGACTTGTCAGCAGTTTGTTGGAAGATTTCCCCATCCTCAGACCAGGTGTCCTTGGGAGCAGCCTCGTCCATCTCCAGCAGGCCTCTCCTTTCTGGCAACCTGCAAAGCAGCAGTGCCTGTGGTCACTTCCTACTATCCTGGCTGACAAAGAGAACTCACGGGGGCCAGCCCACTGCCAACCGGTAGATGCTGCCTCAGGAAGATGTAACTGCAGACAACACTGCCTGAGTGAAGCCAGCTAAAACTTCATTTCCCCCTTTATTAACGTTTTCCAAAGAAGGCTCCTGACTCAGGGGTGGCTCACAGAGGAATTTGATAGGAAGATGTGACACCTCATCTTAAATTTCTTCACCACATTTCTGAAGTTGACGGGAGTGTCGGGAAGTGAGGCTGATAAAGTCTGCTGTCCCCTCCAAGTAGACTAATCAGACGTGAGGTCTTGGCAAGAGATAACCAGATTATAAGAGAGCCAAAATGACATCGCATCAACTCCATTTCAGATCCTGTACACACCAGTGCCTATCACCGCTCCAGGTGGCTGGCATCTTTGATGCACAAGAGGTATTTTCAGACCAGGATGTCTGTCCCCCATTACCCTATAGCTGTCACTCACCGGTATGCTGGGAACCTGTTTGTCACTATGTGTAAAGCCACACACATTAAGGGGTGGCCACTCTGTAGGTGAAGGCTGCTTTGTACTGCCCTCCCCCCTGCCCAGGCATTTGTGACAGAAAGACCTTGCCCTGGGCATCCAAGACAGAGACCAGGGGTTGTACCTTCCTGAGTCCACACACCCAGATAGTAGGACAGGCTTTCTCTCTGAAGAGTTATTCACATCAATAATGAATTTTGAATAATTTATTCACGTCAGGAGTAAGTGGTTGGCATACAATCCTTGCCACTGGTTTGTGGAGATAATTGATTTCATGTAGTTTAAAGATGGGGAAAAGAAACAAATGACAACTGGAACAGGTTTGGAGGCAATTGTGAATGCCATATCAGTTTAATTATAGCTCCATCTTTAGCTGACATGGGTTCTTTCCTCTTCAAATTAAAATATCCAAGCAACTTGAAATGTAACAGTGATGAATTTTTCATGTTCTGCTCCCTACCTTGCATCCTGGCTCAGGGCACTGTTACAAGCACACTTCGAGCTTTTTTCAATAGATAGTTAACGTGACATGGAAGAGTCGTCTGCGTGACATAGATAACTCAGGGGAACAGCACAAAGTAAATGAGATGCATTAGTGTCTGGATGGGAACTGAAGATAGAAGTTCTCAGAACTTCTTGTTTAATTTATAGAAACGGATTTTCCTCCTGTGCTTAAGATTTCAAAATAGTAATCATATTCTGAAGAGGAGATGTTCCCACTCCAGGTACGAATATCAATATGTAAAAGAAAATCATTAACTGGATGTACCTCTCAGCAGCACCTATTATATGTCAACAAGCTAACTGAGGTGATAAAACAAACTGTTAGTGGAAATTTAATTACTAGCCATTGAGATTTGGGCAAGGAATGGGGATTCTAGATTCATTACTCTGGCACCAGAGGCTGCTGGAAGCAACCATCTGCCCGGAACAAACATTTTTAATAGGTGTTTTCCTTCCCTCTCAAAAATCAGAGCACCAAAGGCCAATCAGGAACTTTTCAAATTCGGTTCCTTGGGGAAGGCAAGGGCAATGTGGAAATGGAGGCTTATGTAAAAAATAAAAGAAAATGAAACTGCTTCCAACCACAAATCTTGTCAACTCTGGGGATGCTTGGGGGCCTTTGAGTTCATTTTGTAAGTGATTTCTGCACATTTAATTATGTCAGATTCCTGGCCGATAGCCACTTTTCAAGCTGGCGTGATTTATGATTTATAGTGTGATATAAAATGGGGTCCTGCCCTCTGTGAAGCTAGCTGAGCCTGTTTCCCTTCTCCGGAGGCCCCATCTGTGCAAGCCTAGCCACCACCAGTCCTGCCCCTACCCCAGTGAAGCGCTTAAGAGTACCTTCTCTGCAGTAACTTTGTACTCTCCGCCACCCCCACAATCTTCATCCCCAAAGGAAATGAGGGTGGGCACAAAGTCTGACAAGTAGCAGGTGTCCAATAAAAGGCTGAGTGTGTGATGGATGTCAGTAGTGTTACCAATTGAGGGTAGCTGTGCAGATTCTTGGCGTTTTAAACAAAGAATTGGACAAAAGACACAAAACAAAACAAGACAGTGAAAGCAGACATTTATTTTAAAGGAAAGTGCACTCCACAGGGTGGGAGCAGGCTGGAGCAAGCCACTCAAGAGCCTTGGTTACAGAATTTTCTGGGATTTAAATACCTTCTAGAGGTTTCCCATTGGCCCACGACCAGTTTTATTGGTTGTGGGAGGGGACCAATCAGAGGTACTTTCATTTTTCAACTACCACACAGAAAAAGGAGGGGTTGCAACTGCCAGCAGCAACAGCCCTGCAGAAAAAGAAGGTGCTGAAAAGTGGAGAGCCTCTGATATCTAGTCAGCATGAATCAGCCTTAGGTTCCCTTCCTCCAGACCTTTTTCTCCTTCCTCAGTAGGGCTCAGCTGTCACCTGGAGCTGCCTTGCTCCAAGGTCTAAGATAATCATGGCATCAAACCACACCAGTTCCACCAACTCCAAAGCCCTCTTACAAGATATCTGCAAATTCGTGGGGAGCTTATCATCTCAAGGAGCCTTCAGCCTCTAGAGATTTGCTAGTATCCCGCACTCTTTCAACCCTGGAATGAAACTCACCTGTCCAGTTTTCCAAAGGAAAAAAGTTATTCGTATCAGGTATTTTTGAATTAATGAACTTCCGTGAAATTAGGAGGGTCCTTAAACTGTACACTTCTATGGCGGGACCACAGGCCCCATCCTCTACTGTTTTGTCTCTTCACTCCCTTAGCTCCTTCCTGTTCTCTTTCCTGAAATGCCTGGAAGCTCATCCCTCCTTCCATTATGCAGAAGAACTGAACCAATGTGGGTGGGCAATAATAGGGTGACCAACCTTCCTTATTTGGCTGGGACTGAGAAGTTTCCTGCGGCATAGGATTTTCCATGCTAAAACTGGGACAACAAACTGGATTGGGGTCACCTGAGAGGTGACTATCCCAGCACAGATAGTGCAAGTTATCAAAGAGATGATGTTGTCTCCCCCATGTAATATCAGCGTCTTCCTCCCTTGCTCACCTGGGAGAGTCCTTTAGAAATCATTGCTCTCAACCTTAGATGTACCTTAGAATCATCTGTGAAGATTTAAATCATCTCAGTGTCCGGTACTCATCCTGGAACAATTGAATCAGGCTCTGTGGAGGCAGGAACTAAGCAGCAGTGCTTTATAAATTTCTCAAGGTGATTCCAATGTGTTCCCGGGGTTGAGGACCAATGCATTGGAGAAGGGATTTCAAGGAGCTCTTAAGGTTGGGCTCCTTTTGGGCGTGTCTGTTCAGCAGCCTGAGCTATCTTGGGTGCTTCAAAAGAAGTCTGTGTTTTGGTAAAATGAATGATGTAAAAATGTGCTGTTTCTTTTTTCTTTTTTCTTTTTGAGATGGAGTCTCTCTGTCGCCCAGGCTGGTGTGCAGTGGCATGATCTCAGCTCACCGCAAGCTCCACCTCCTGGGTTCACGCCATTCTTCTGCTTCAGCCTCCCCAGTAGCTGGGACTACAGGCACCCGCCACCATGCCCGGCTAATTTTTTATTGTATTTTTAGTAGACACGGGGTTTCACCATGTTAGCCAGGATGATCTCAATCTCGACCTCGTGATCCACCCACCTCGGCCTCCCAAAGTGCTGGGATTACAAGCGTGAGCCACCGTGCCCGGCCAAAAATGTGCTGTGTTTCTAACTGAATCTACTGACTGCATTTTTAAGGCCTCATTAAGATAACTAGACTCGTTTTATCGCTCCCTTTTCCCCTCCTTAAAGAAAAAAAAAAAAGTCTTTGGCTTCTAACTTTCTTGGCGGGTGGCTAGAACTGATTGACATCTTAGGCAATCCAAATGCAAATGACATGAAACCCTGAGGCCCTGCCACAGGGGACCTTTTGTAAGGGGAGGTAGGTGATGGCCGCCCTAAAAATAATTACCTAGCTACCTGGATGACCTTGACAAGCCCAGGTAGCTCTCAAACCAAGGCCAAAGTCTTGTCAGTCTCTTCCTGTGCAGAACTTCTGAGGTCTGGGGTCTGTAAATTCTCTTTAGGAAATCCTACTCAGATCCTAAGACTGGAAATCCCTGACTAAGACTTTTTAAGCAGAGAGAAATGTCTACTTTTGTGTCTGTTTCTGAAAATTTGATTGATGCTTCTGCTGCTGCTGTGGATATAGGTACCAAGAGACTTTCCCAGTTAAATCAAATGAGTCTGGGTGGAGACTGTAAGTCTGTTAAATTCTCTGTGCCTCAGTTTTCTCACCTGATATATGTTAGGATGCTAGTAATGAATGTGCCCACTTGGAAGCAGAGTTTGAGGAGAAGGGTTGTGATGGAGATAAGGCTGTCTTTCACATGTGAATTCCACAAACATGCATTGCAACTTTAGTATGTAAATAAACATGAGTAAGAAATTGTCCCTGCCTTCAAGAGTCTTACAATCTAGTAAATGTCTAGTAAGAGCTATAAAAGTACTCGGCACAGTGGAATGTGCCATATTAAGTTGAGATAGTGGTGTCCTTGAAAGGAGACCTTAGGAAGCTGATGTAGCAACTAGAACAATTGAGTTTAATCCAGGTGAATAGATTAGATTGGCTTACCCTTTTGCTATCTTGGTAGTATCGTTTAAAATAGGATATATTTAATATTCACTAAGTGCCTAAAGAACCTGAAACCCCTTGCTGATATGGTTGGATAGCATATCTCTAGCACTTTGCAACTCTTCAGGGGGCCCACAGTCAAAAGTGTCTATAGGCCGGGTGAGGTGGTTCACACCTGTAATCCGAGCACTTTGGGAGGCTGAGGCGGGTGGATCACCTGAGGTCAGGAGTTCAATACCAGCCCAACCAACATGGTGAAACCCCATCTCTACTAAAAATACAAAAATTAGCCAGGCATGGTGGTGGGTGCCTGTAGTACCAGCTACTTGGGAGGCTGAGGCAGGAGAATCGCTTGAACCCAGGAGGCGGATGTTACAGTGAGCCGAGATTGCACTGCTGCACTACAGCCTGGGCAACAGAGCAAGACTCCGTCTCAAAAAAAAAAAAAAAAAAAGTGTCTGTAACAGTGACTGACAACCATTGTGTCAATTTCATAGATGGGCACACTGAACCAGGAGTAAAGAAAAGGTGGTAGCCTGGGAAAAGAGCTCCAGAAATAAGTTCTAGCTTTTCAGGCCAATATCTCCGTGCTTCACAAGAAAACATCTTCCTTAGCTCCTTTTTTTCAATCCCCAGAGACCAGAAAGACCCATAGCACTATTAACTTGCTGTCGTTTTACATTTGCACCTCGCTCTTCCTTCATTTTTCTGCCTCTTCTTGACATTCAAGCAATTTCTTGATATTCAGGTCTTAGCTTAGCTCAGATATCACCTGCTCACCTGTTTCCAGGCTCAAGTAGCCTTCCTGGTTTCTCTCTATCAAATCATTCTGTTTTATTGTTTCCAGAGCACACACTATTGTCTGAAGTTATCTTGTCCATTTACTTGTGTATTGTCTTCTTCTCCTAAGAAAATGGAACCTCATGGCTGGGCATGGTGGCTCACATCCATAATCCCAGCATTTTGGGAGGCAGAGGCTGGTGGATCACTGGAGCTCAGGAGTTTGAGACCAGCCTGTGCAACATAGTGAAATCCCATCTTTAAAAAAAATGCAAAGATTAATCGGATGTGGTGGTGCATGCCTGTAGTTCCAGCTACTCAGGAGGCTGAGGTGAGAGGATTGCTTGAGCCCAGGAGGTAAAGGCTGCACTGAGCTGAGACTACACCACTGCACTCCAACCTGGGCAACAGAGTGAGACCCTGTCTCAAAAACAAACAAACAAACAACAACAATGAAAGAAAGAAGGAAAGAAGAGAAAAGAAAAGGAAAAAAAGAAAAGGGAACCACTACAAGATTAGGACTTTGTCTCATTCACTGCTGTATCCACAAATGGCTGGTACATAGTAGATGCCCATTAAAAATTTGTTAAATTATTTAGTATGTTCATACTCTCTGAGATGCCGATGACAGGAAGGTCAGCGAAAAGAGAAGGGAAGTGTTTGTCCCAGCCACTACAGCGAGGAAGTCTGCAGCCAGTCTGTGCCTCAGCTTTCTTGCCTGTAAAATCGGACCCAGCAGAGGATCTGAGAAAAGAGGTTCTGAGGACCAAATGAGAAAATGGTGGTGAAAGTACTTTGACAAGTGAAAATGCAAGTTAAGTGGGAGATGTTATTATCTTCCGCTATCTGCTTTACTTTAATCTTTTTTCCTCTGTAAGCGGACCTATTGATTGTAGCTTGCTGAAGGAAGCTCTCACTGTCTAATTACTGCCCCAGCTCAGCCTGTCACTGTGTCCTCTGCAGTCAGCACGTCCTGACACTGACCCCTGATGCCTCAGCCCTTTGCAGAGCAGCCAGCCCTGGCACTTTGCACCCAGCACAGAGGGGCAGATCTCCTCGGCGCCGTGGGAGGGCTGCTCTCCTCTCCAGGGAGCTGAAACCCCAGAAAGGCGGACAGCCCAGCTAAGGAGATGCAAGGACACAGGTGCTGCTGCAGCCAGAGACGGCAGGAATGCGATTCTTCCCTGGAGCCAGAGCCTGCGGCCAGACAGGGATGTGTCCTGTGATGACACACGGTTTTGAGCATTCTCAGACCGTGGCTTCCAAGATAATAATCCCTGCACATTTTTTTCTGGCCTGGGATATCATGAGTGGGGGAGAGGTTGAGAATAAGTCATTTGTTTTTCCTTTCTTTTTGAGATGGAGTTTCGCTCTTTTGCCTAGGCTGGAGTGCAGGGGCGTGATCTCGGCTCACTGCAGCCTCCGCCTCCTGGATTCAATTGATTCTCCTGCCACAACCTCCTGAGTAGCTGGGATTACAGGTGTGCACCACCACGCCTGGCTAATTTTTTTATTTTTTGTATTTTTAGTAGAGATGGGGTTTCATTATGTTGGCCAGGCTGGTCTTGAACTCCTGACCTCAGGTGAGCTGCCTGCTTTGGCCTCTCAAAGTGCCTGGATTACAGGTGTGAGCCACCATGCCAGGCCGAGAATAAATCATTTGTAATACTGGGCAATAATAATTCCCTGCCGTCAAATTGTAGAAAGTTTCCAAATTTCCACGGTATTCTCATCTGCATTACCTCACCTGACCCTCACAATACTCCTGTGATTAATATTCCCGCTTTGTAGGAATGGGATGTGTGGTCTTTGGAGCTGAGGGGTGTGACTTTCCCAAGTTCAAATATCCAAGTGGAGAGGGGAATTAGAATGCAGGTTTCCTCTCAGTCTACACTGTTTAAAAATGCTAAAGGAACTAAGGCTTTTTTAACCAGCGAGGGAAATGAGGATGTGCTAGAAAATATATGTTAGTTTTATGTCAGTCCTTTAGAAGAAAGAAAAAGGCTGTATAAGCAAACAGCACAAGATTTATTTTTATAAGTTTAAATAAACCATAATTTTGTATTGAATTCAACACCTCTGGAAACAATTGAACCAAGTAACCCCAGGCTAGGGAAGTGCTATGTAGAACATGCTTGGCAAATCCTTGTTGAGAGAATGACTGAATATTGACCTGAATTATAAATCTCCTTTGCTGGCTTTTTTCACTCATCTTAATGAAGAAGAAAATATATTTTAACGTGATACAGTTTCACAAAACGCTCTAATATTGGTATACTGCTATACTTTTTAGTTTAAGAGATCTTTCCTTTGGGAGGCTGAGGTGGGCAGATCATGAGGTCAGGAGTTCAAGACCAGACTGACCAACGTGGTGAAACCCCATCTCTACTAAAAATACAAAAATTAGCCAGACGTGGTGGCGGGCACTTGTAATCCCAGCTACTCAGGAGGCTGAGTCAGGAGAATCGCTCGAACCTGGGAGTCGGAGGTTGTAGTGAGCCAAGATCACGCCACTGCACTCCAGCCTGGGAGACAGAGAAAGACTCCGTCTCAAAAAAAAAAAAAAAAATCTTTCATGTGGAGCATCTCAGTTGATCCTCAAATGACCCTCCAAAATAGACAATTTTATAGGTGAGAAGACTGACGTTTGGAGAGATCAATTGTTTGCCCAGGGTCAGAAACATAGTAGGCAAAAGAACATTTTTAAATGTGCTAATAAATTGGAAAGAAACTAAGAAATACTCAGAATCCAGAAACCAGAGGAAAGTGAAAATCCACAGAAATAAGTGGAGCACTAAAGTTTGCTTTGGTCTTGAGGATATTTGCCAAATCAGGTAAACTTTAGTTTTTAGTTTTCACAAGTTCACAAGGCCAGAGGGAAAGGAGAAAAAGCCTACTATGTACCCAAGCGGGGGAGTATAGCTGATATTCCCTATCCATAAAGCTGACACTGGCCGGGCATGGTGGCTCATACCTATTATCCCAGCACTTTGGGAGGCAGAGGTGGGAGGATAGCTTGAGCTCAGGAGTTTGAGACCAGCCTGGGCAATACAGGGAGACTACTCTCTCTACAAAAAATACAAAAATTAGACAGACTTGGTGGCATGCACCTGTAGTTCCAGCTACTTGGGAGGCTGAAGTGGGAGGATCATTTGAGCCTGGGAGGTTGAGGCTGCATTGAGCCATGTTAGTGTCACTGCACTCCAGCATGAGGGATAAGACAAGACCCTGTTGGCCAGGCGCAGTGGCTCATGCCTGTAATCCTAGCACTTTGGGAGGCTGAGGCAGGTGGATCGCCTGAGGTCAGGAGTTTGAGACCAGCCTGGCCAACATAGTGAAACCCCGTCTCTACTTAAAATGCAAACAATTAGCTGGGTGTGGTGGCAGTCACCTATAATCCCAGCTACTAGGGAGGCTGAGGCAGGAGAATTGCTTGAACCCAGGAGGCGGAGGTTGCAGTGAGCCGAGATTGCACCATTGCATGGCAGCCTGGACAACAAGAGCAAAACTCTGTCTCAAAAAACAAAACAAAATGAAACCCTGTCTCAAAAAAAATAAATAAAATAAAAATAAATAATAAAAATAAAGCTGATATCCAAAGTTATTGCACCATCAGTGTAAAGATGGAGGAGAAATAAACCAGACTGTACTCTCACAACAGGGACTATAAAAAAAATCATGCCTCTCTGACTTTGACCCTAAATAGAGGAAGATAATTATTCTGAGAATTTATAACCATAAACCAGGCCTTCCTTGGGTTTGTGCTCATTTCATACTCCCTGGGTCTAAGAGGCCTCAAATTAAGAATTTGAGAAAGAATCTCTAAGTTAATAGTAGCCCCAGGCATCTAGGGGATAATGTGCTATCTCTCTGAAGGAACTTTAATCCAAACCTCAAAGAGTTCCCACAGATAAAATTTCAAAGATATAACTCATAGTCAAATATCCTAAAGGACTCAAGGAAGCAAAGCACCATGAGCAAGAGCCAGCAGACAGCAGAATTGGATCCACAATAATGTTAGATATTGAAAGTATCAGGTATAAATATAAAATAATATGTTTAAAATAAATTTAAAGAAATAAAAGGATTAAAACTATGACTAAGAAAAGTCTATTGAGCTGGGCACGGTAGCTCATGCCTGTAATCCCAGCTGTTAGGGAGGCAGAGGTGGGAGGATAGCTTGAGCCCAGGAGATTGGAAAATGATTCAAATGGAGCTTTCATTATTAAAAAATATATAATCATTGAAATTAAAAATTCAATACATGGCTTCAACAGGAGATTGGACATAACTGAAAGGAGAATGAACTAGAATATAGATCTGAAAAAGAAAATCCAGAATGCAGCTCTCAGAAAGACAAAGAGAGGGAAAATGTGAAAGAAATGTTAAGAAGCATGTAGGATAGAGTGAACATATCTTACATGCATCTCAAGAAGATTACAGGGGAGAGGAGAGGAAGAATAGGGCAGAGGTAATGTTTTAAAAATAAGAATTTTTCACAGATTCTGAAAGCCTCCAGAATGCCAAGAGGGATAAATGAAAGATAAAATTAGATGGCAGAGTAGGCCCTACAAGTTAGTATGACTTACAGAGATATTTGGGTTCTGACCTTGTTCTAGTCTTACATCACAAGTTTAAGACCAAACCGAGAGTGATGAATAAGAATTGTGTTCATGCACAAGAAGACTATATTATACTGTACTGAACTTTGTGGTCATGTTACATATTGTATAGCACCAAAATTGTACACAAAATTGGTCTTAGAAGGGGAAGGTGTTTTTCTAGAAAGTCTGATATGACCTTTGCTCACTTAGAAATTGTCATCTACAACAGTGTACTCCTTTGTGAAAATTTGGTTCCAGAATGTATTAGTCCATTCTCACACTGCTATAAAGAACTACCTGAGACTGCATAATTTATGAAGAAAAGAGGTTTAATTGATGCACAGTTCCACAGGTTTAACAGGAAGCGTGACTGGGAGGCCTCAGGAAACTTACAATCGTGGTGGAAGGGCAAAGGGGAAGGAAGCAGTGTCTTCACATGGTGGCAGGAGGGGAAGGGGAAGTGCCACACACTTTTAAACCATCAGATCTTGTGAGAACTCACTCCCTATCATAAGAACAGCATGGGGGAAATCTGCCCACATGATCCAATCACCTCCTACCAGGTCCCTCCCGCAACACAGGGAATTACAATTCAACGTGAGATTTGGGCGGGGACACAGAGCCCAGCCACATCACAGAAGCTTACACCTCTGTCTTTCTCTGCTGTGTACTCACTATGCTGACTCCTATCTGTATCATATAGATAAGCAAACCTCATCTGAATTATCTGTGTGATGTACGTGTCTGGTTTTTCTACCAATTTGAACCTACTGCTGATGTTTTCAATTCAGGGGCCATGCACATGCCCATACACATCACAGTGCAATTGCAGAACACAAAAGACAAAGAGAAAATCTCAAAGACAGCCAGAGAAGGCTTGGTGCAGTGGCTAATGCCTGTAATCCTAGCACTTTGGGAGGCCAAAGAGGGCAGATCACCTCGGGTCAAGAGTTTGAGAACAGCCTGGCCAAAATGGTGAAACCCTATCTCTACTAAAAATACAAAAATTAGCTGGCCGTGGTAGTGCACACCTGTAATTCCAGCTACTTGGTAGGCTGAGACAGGAGAACTGCTTGAACCCAGGAGGCGGAGGTTGCAGTGAGCTGAGATTGCATCACTGTACTCCAGCGTGGGCAACAAAGCAAGACTCTGTCTCAAAAAAAAAAAAGCAGCCGGAGAGAAAAAAGTATTATTTTCAAAGGAATGATAATTAGAGTAGTGACTGCCTTCCCAGCAGCAACAATGGAAGCCAGAAGATAATGGAAAAAATAGTATCTTCAATGTGCTGAAAGAAAACGCCTGGCAACCTGAAAGTCTATACTTAGAAAAAGTATATTTCAATGCATTTCCAGACAAACAAATTTTTATTTCAACAGACTCTCACTAAGGAAAATTAGAAAATCCTGAAAGATAAACTTCTACATCTCAAAAATTGTGGGACACAGCCAAGGCAGTTCTTAGGAGGAAAATTCTAACCTGACATGATCATATTAGAAATGAGCTAAGCTTCTGACTCAAGGAGGTGGGCAAAGCCAGGGATCTGACCTCAGCCTGAGTCCTTGCCACAATCTGAGGTAATTATGTCTGAGAGTGAATTGCATCTAAGAGCACTTAGAGGGGTTGGAGCATAAGTAGCGATGAACTGATGGAAGCCCACACAGTAAGAGATGACACTGTATTTTCATGTTCCCAAAGATTTTGGTTCTGGGAATTGGAGTGGCAAGGATGGACATAAGGAGAACCTGAACTTGAAAAATGGGGGCAGAAGTAGAGCCCTCTTGCTCTTCCCTCAGGGTGAGGGGCTCTTATATTCTTCCTGTGTCCTGGCCTCTCTGAGCCCAGGTATCCTGCTCTGCAGGAGCCAGCAGAGGCCCATGAGAGTGGAGGCAGAATGATTCAGAACACTCACTAAATGCAGAGTACAAATATAAATGAGGCACTGTCCTTAAAGGGTGAGATTCCCTTTCTGAGGTAAGGATTGCACGTAAGGAAACCAAACATCTCTTCACTACACTCAGGAAAACATCTGTCTCTGGTCCTTTCTAAAGAAGGATGTGACTTCACTGTCTGCCTTTGGAGGGAATCCACAAGCGGGTGGGAATCATCCTGACGTGATTCACAGCGTCTGGTGGCCAGAGTTGGTGGAGGCTATTTGTTTAACACCCGTTCCCCTGGGCACCTAAGTCTTGTGTCTGACACTGATTGGCTATGTGATCTTGAAACAAATTGCAACACTTCCCTGGGACTCCCAGTCTCAATCTGGCTGATGTTGTAACTGTAATTGAGCTAGAAATGTGCTTTGCTGGGAAGGTTTATGAAATACAGGATTCTGTCCAGGCTCCGTGGCTCATGCCTGTAATCTTAGCACTTTGGTAGGCCAAGGCAGGCAGATTGCCTGAGTTCAGGAGTTGGAGACCAGCCTGAGCAACATGCAAAACCCTGTCTGTACTAAAAATTCAAAAAAATTAGCTGGGCGTGGTGGTGTGCACCTGTAGTCCCCGCTACTTGGGAGGCTGAGACATGAGAATCAATTGAACCCGGGAGGTGGCGGAGGTTGCAGTGAGCCGAGATCACGCCACTGCACTCCAGCCTGGGCAGCAAAGAGAGACTCCATCGCAAAACAAAACCAAAAGACAGAAAACAAAAAACAAACAAAAACCAAGATGCTGTTTGTCACCAAAGCCTAGCCTCCTTTGGGAGTCTGGCAGAAAGCCCCAGCTCTCTCCTGGCATCCCGCAAACACTCCTTCCTGTCAGACCCAATGGTCTGATCCAACAATTTGAAAAAGGAGTGAAGTTAGGAAAATGTAATTCTTTGTGCCCTGAAAGAATTCACATCCCTCTGAATCTCTCATTTGCAGTTGTTTTGCTTATTTGTTTTGTTGTTGTTTATTTTTATCCCCTTTCTCCATAAAAATAAAGCGTTTGGATCAGAGGAATAATTCTTAAATTCCACTTCATTTACAATCACCTGAGAGACATTCAAATGCGCTGTCGCCTGGGCCCATTCCAGGCTGGTGGAATCAGAATCTCTGGGTGAGGGGCCCTGGCTCTGGTATTTTTTATAAGCTCCCCAGTGGCTTCTGATGCATGGCGAGGGCTCAAAGCCCCAGCCTGGGGGATGTCTGCAGTCCTTTCCAGTTCTCTGATTCTGTGACCCACCTATCTAGAAGGCTGCAGCCTGTAGCCCATTGGGATGCAGCACAGATGAGTTGTGTGAGTCATACCGCATATGCCCTGAACACAATGCACTCACCTTGGTCAACATTCTGAGAGTCATTATCCCAGACCCCCTCAACCTCTACAAAATTGCCCTCTGGTGCCCCTAGTCAGAGTCAGAATCCTGACTTATAGGGCCACTCCGGTGTTTTAAGGCACAGGAAAACCAAACCTAAACTAATAACTGGACAACTGCTATGTACCAGGCACATACATCTATAATTGCTAATCCTTACAACCACCTTCCAAGACAGGTTCTATTATTTTCATTCTACAAAGGAAACAAGGGGCTCAGGAGGGTTAAGCAACTTTAATAAAGCAGTAGCTGGTGAACTAAGGCTGAGATTCAAGCTCAGGTTCTGGATCCAAACCCCACGTTCTTTCCATTATACCCACTTGGCCAAAGCTAGGGCCATGACTTGGGCCAGGAGAAGACAGCGTTACCTAAGGCAAAACCATTGGGTTCAGCTGCGTCGCTGGCTATTAAAGGTCCGAAGCCCCACAGTCAGGTGTGAGCTGGGTCCCATGGCCTGCTCAGCTCCAGGCCTCCCCGTGTGGGGAGACAGTCCCCTTGTCTAATACACATCAGGCTGCCAGCCTCAGTTTGTATTTTTACAGTCCACTAATTAGGCCATTTTAACTAATTTGTTTGCATTTTGTATGAGCAAGTTGGGCTTTTGGATTGACTAATGTAATTGCAGCTGGTTTCTGCCAAATACAAATTACTCAGTCTAGTGTGGGCTAGGGAGAAAAGCAAATATTTAATAGACATCAATACCCTTGTAGCTTTTTAGTGGAGCCTTTTTTTCCCCTATGGAAAGTTGAAGTAATTTCTCCAGCATCTGATTGAACTTTCATGTTGGGGAATTACTTTTTAATCATTTTTTTAAAAAATAATGAGACAAAGGCTTTAGTGACTCTGTTGGGTTTTATCTCTGATCCATTTGCCCCTAAGCTTGGGAAACTCACGGGACTTTTACCCGTCCAGCCTGGCTCCCCACAATCCCTTTCTGCGTGGGCTAGTCCAGCAACTGCGAATCGGTCTGCGTCACAAATTGTCACAGCCGAAAGGGGCCTGAGAGATCATCTAGTTCAGTAGTTCTCCAAGTGTATTCCTGGGCCGGAAGCACTGGCCACACCTGGGAACTTGTTAGAAATGCATATTCTCAGGCCTACTGAATCAGAAGCTCTGGGGTTAGGGCCCAGCAAACTGTGTTTTAACAAACCCTCCAGGTGGTTCTGATGGAGGCTGAACTTGAGAACCACTGATCTAGTTCAAGCATTTCATTTTACAAATGAGGAAACTGGGGCCTGGAAAGAGTCTATGCTTCTGGTCACAGCAGGGACTGTGCCTGTTTCACTCATTGTGCATCCCCCAACACACAGGGCCTGGCTTGTGGTAAGCACTCAGTAAATCTTTGCTGAATAGATGAATAAGGGAATGAATAAGCCAGAACTAGAAACAACATCTCTGAGTCCTAACTCACTCCACCAGAGCTTTCTCTTGCCCCAGGGAAGGATGGAGGCATGGGGGAAGAACTGCTTCTTGGTTCTTGCTTTGTGAGAGGCTTGAAGCATTGTATCTGTGGCCTGTCCTGTAGGAGGATGGCAGCTCTACCGCCAAGGTCTTGCTCCCCAGCCACGGGCCAGTCTTGTTCACTGTCCCTGCACCAGTAGTTTGACCAAGCCCATGCCCCACTAGGAATTGTGTCTGTTGCTTTCATAGATCCTGTCACTGTCTGAGGCATAATCAGGCCCCCTGCCTAGGTCTTAGATTCCCTGACCAATAAGCTCAGCTCAGAGAGTGAATGGGGAGAATTAAAGTGAGATCCAATTCATGAAAAAAGAGATTTCTAAGGCAAGGGTCCTAGGAAGGTGGGTCTTCAGGTTCAGTTACTGGGTCCTGTGAAGCCAAGGAGGAGGGGGTGGGGAGAGGGAGGGAGAGAGGGAGAGGAAGAGAGGAGAGAGAGACAGAGAGAGAGAGAGAGAGAAAGAGAGAGAGAGAGTCGGTCCTCAAAGTTTTTAGTTGCAGACATGTAGAGCCATGTTGCCTGGATCTGGGTGGCGTACCCCTGGCTGCCTTGGTCCCCCAGCCCTGGCCTGCTGACCCTCTCTGAAATGAGAAGAAGGGGAAGGCAAACAGGATTCAAGAGTTTTTAAACAAAAAAGGAGATCTCCCAGGGCATGAGTGACAGGCTTCTGAGAAGGTTCCTGGGTCCCTGATCCTGTTACATTCTATGAACTAACTACGCAACTGAAAGTATCAATCCACATGGATCCAACCACTCAAGGAGCTTATGTTCTTCGAACCTCAAGTTCAAATGGCTCTCACGCCATACTGCTACCCAAGTGCCTTATCTTTGATTGTCTACATGCCTATAGTCCCCACAGAAGAGCAGAGTGATCTTTCCAATGTTGATAGAAAACTCTTTGGATACTCAATGCCTTCATAGTTATTGCCACACTTCCCTGAGACCTATCCTTAGGAAAGAACTTGATAAACTCATTCACTTACAGGTGGTAGCAACCAGTAAGAGCTGCCTTTTCCATCCCCATGGAAGATTTAAGCTGATGATTTCATACCTTAGTGCTAGCTATTAATTCCTAACTTGTGGTTGACTAACCCACAACTTCTTCTCTGGGCCCTGCATATTTTGTATTTTTTCATGCTCTTTGGGGCTCCCAGTAGAGGGATAAAGAGATTCCTAGTTGCAGACAGATTCTTAACTTTATGTGTTCTTGAGTTAAAGAGCTCTATTGTAAAGGGTAACTTTACTAACAGATAATTATTGGGCACCTACTGGGGCAAGGCAATGTTCTAGATGCTGACAGTGAAAAAAGACAGATGAGGTTCCTGCATCCATGGGTTTACATTCTAGATCAAGGAAATGGAAAATAAACAAGTTAACAAATAAGTGAGGAACATAACTTCCAAAGGCAAGAAGTGCTGTGAAAACAATAAAGCGGGATGAAGTAGAGTGACTTTAGGAGCCAAGTTAGATGTGTTCCTCGGGGAAAGCCTCTCTAAGGAGGTGCCATTTGAGCTAACTGAACAGGAAGGAGCCAGGTCTGGAATGTGAGGGAAGAGCATTCCGTCCGAGAGAAGGGCCTGGGTAAAGGTCTGTAGTCGGGGGTGAACTTAGTGTGTTCAGAAACAGAGGCCTGTGTGGCTAGATGTGCATGTCCTTGAGAAGAGCAATCTTAGGGGAGGGTTGGGGGCAGGTGGCAGACTATGACAACATCCTTAGTTCTTTGCAATTGTTTTATGATGAAGGGAAGCAGGTAAATGGGCTGGAAACTGGAGGAGGTAATCAAGTTCAAGGGAGGAATCTGTTGTGGTGATCTGGTTTGTGTGTCTGTGTGTGTGCTTTGTTTTTTGTTTTTGAGACAGAGTTTTGCTCTTATTGCCCAGGCTGGAGTGCAAAGGCACGATCTCAGCTCACCACAATTACCGCCTCCCAGGTTCAAGTGATTCTTCCGCCTCAGCCTCCCGAGTAGCTGGGATTACAGGTATGCATCACCACACCCAGCTAATTTTGTATTTTTAGTTGAGACGGGTTTCACCATGTTGGTCAGGCTGGTCTCGAACTCCCGACCTCAGGTGATCCACCCGCCTCAGCCTCCGAAAGTGCTGGGATTACAGGCGTGAGCCACCGCAGCTGGCCAGGTTTGTGTGTTTTTATGGAAGAGGGTTGGATGTTGATAGGGATGATCAACACACGTTCCTATGTGAGAACTCCCAACCCTGACCCTCCTACCCTCCGTGGAAGGGCCAGGCAACTGACAAAGACCCCCACCTACTGCTCCTTCATCCCTGCATGCTGCCTACACCGGCAGACACTCAGAGAAGACTTTCAACCCCCTATTTGTGCTGACTGCACACCATCTTGAGCTGCAGTAGATATTGGGGTCACCTTGGAGCCCCAGTCCTTGCAGAGACTTTCCCAGCTGAATCTTATTATGTCTACATGTCCTTATCAACCTGGTCAATCCCAGGAGCTCAAGCCACCCAGTCCCTTTGCCAGATCTCACCCAACACAGCCTTGTACATCCTAACCTGGCTTAGGTTCTACCCATGTCTTCCAATCCTCCAAACCCTTCCACTAGGCACACTGGAAATCAACACAGCTCCTATTGCTTCAGTAACTTTCCTGCATGCTTTTCTCCTCTTCTCACATAACTGAAGCCCATTCTCTCTGAGGACTTGCCACCCTGTCACGTGGAGGTTATTTTATCTCCCCTATCTCCTAAACCAGTGGGTCTGGAGGTGAGATGGGGCTGTCTTGTTCCCATTACTACTTCCAGACCAATCTCCTCTCTCCTTCAGAGTCCTTAGCTATTGAGGACCTAGACCTGACTCACTTCCTCTCCACAATATAGACTGTCACAATCTGGGTGGCCTCCCAGTGTCTTAGCTCCCTTGACTCCCTCACTTATCTCAGCCTTCCTCTCCCACAGTCATATCCCCAGACCCTGCCATTACCAGAAACTGCCCCACCTCTGGAATCTGGACGGCAGGCACCTCACTCTCTGAGCTCCTATCTTTTGAGCTCTCTTATTCTCCAGAAATGCTTTGTTCTCAGGGAGACCTCCAATCCATTCATTCACCCCACCACATTCTCCACTGTCCTTCACCTTCCTCTTTCGTTATTACCCTTCTCACCAGCTTAGATTCCATGACTCACCTTTATAATAGTCACCCCTTGCCCATTTAAGTCCACTGCCCCTCTCTCCCTTTATTGTACTTGCCTGGCAAAACCCCAACAATGATTAAACCCAACATCTGACTCACTCTATGCTTGCACCAGAGCCCACAAACATTGATGAAGAGTATCACACCATGGTGCTGCTCACTGCGTGCAGGTTAAATTCATGACCACAGCACTGCCTAAGCATCCTAACAAAATGTCCTCATTTGCTCATTTCCCCACTCTCTACGATTTCCCCTTGGTCCTTAAACCTCCGTTAATCCCTGCCCAAACTTTTAGCTTGTTTCACACTTCATTAAGACAGAGCTAATAGAAACAATGGGTAGGAGGCCAGGCGCAGTGGCTCACGTCTGTAATCCCAGCACTTTGGGAGGCCGAGGTGGGCGTATCACCTGAGGTCAGGAGTTCGAGACCAGCCTGGCCAACATGGTGAAGCCCCATCTCTACTAAAAATACAAAAATTAGCTGGGTGTGGTGGCACATGCCTGAATCCCAGCTACTCGGGGGGCTGAGGCAGAAGAATCGCTTGAACCTGGGAAGCAGAGGTTGCAGTGAGCTGAGATGGTGTCATTGCACTCCAGCCTGGGTGACAGAGTGAGACTTAGTCTTAAAAAACAAAAACAAAAACAAAAACGGGCAGGAGGTAGAAATGCCATCCTTTTCCTGTCTGCATTTGTTCTCATTTTCTGCTTTGCTGCTTGTTACAGTGGATGAAGTGTCCTCACTCATGAAGACCCATTCCTTCACTTGTGTTCTGGAACCTGTTGCCTGCGTCCTCCCTGTGGCTTTTGTTTCTGCAGTCCTCGACTCGCCCCTCTAGTGCTAGAATCATCAGTTTGTCATCTCTACTTGACCATTCAAACATCCTCTATAATCTAAAACAGGGATTAGCAAACTCTGTAAAAGGCCAGATAGTAAACATTTCAGGCTTGATGGGCCACATGGTCTCTGTCGATTGGCCTTGTGGTTGTAGCAGGAAAGCAGCTACGTATAATGTGTATAAATGAATGGCCATGGCTCTGATCCAATAAGATTTTATTCACAAAACAGGTAGCATGAGAATGAATTTGTTCCATGAGCCAAAGTTTGCCTAATCAAGAATAGTATATAGACTCTTACTGGGTTAAACAACCATGTGCTCTGTCAATAAAATTATGATAGAGGCTAGGTGCGGTGGCTCACGCCTGTAATCCCAGCACTTTGGGAGGCCAAGGTGGCAGATTGCTTGAGCCCAGGACTTTGAGACCAACCTGGGCAACATAGTGAGACCATGCCTCCACAGACAATAAAAAAAACTAGCCAGTCGTGGTGGCGTGTGCCTGTGGTCCCAGCTAGTCAGGAGACTGAGGTGGGAAGATCACTTGAGCCCCGGAGGTCAAGACTTCAGTGAGCCAGATAGCTGGCAGGGAGAGAGGTGAGAATGTAAAGGGTCCAGGGTGATTTTTGAAGGTAATGGTTATGTTTTTATTTTCATGGATGTTTTGTGCATGTCCATAAGTTATTTTGGATATAAACGGCAAAATATAGGAGATAGCCACATCCTATTTTTATTATTGGCAATTCAATTGGCTGTTTACTTTTTTCCATTATTTCTTTTAGAAAACACTTGAGTAGTTCTTTCCAAAATTGGTGGAGATTCTGCTATCTCTCACGTGATGATCATGACACCTGGATTAGGAGTTGGACTCCAGATGAGATCTATGACTGTTGGGTTCCCTGGGATGGGGTTGGTTTTGTGTGTGTGGGTTGTGGGGGGAGGTGTGTGTGTGTGTGTGTGTGTGTGTGTGTTGTGGGGGGAGGTTGTGTGTGTGTGTGTGTGTGTGTGTGTTGTGGGGGGAGGTGTGTGTGTGTGTGTGTGTGAGACAGAGAGAGAGAGAATGTGTGTACATATGCAGGAGGTGCTCTGGAAGGGTCTCACCTAACAAAACAGCCTTCACTTTTAGCCCACAATTACAGTCTGCATGCAATAGTTATTGCAAGGTTGACTTTAAAGACATCCTCATACACTCTAGATAGCTCTCTTCTACTTAGCCATTTCAGAGCACAGATTAGGAAAAGCTTTGCTGAAGTCCCTTTGGTTGGATATGTTCTCTGCTTGGGGAAACCATGGCCACTATGAATAGAACCCTGTTTGCTGTCTGTTGTCACTCTCCAATAGTATCTCCAGGGCTAAGACACTATTGTAGAGAGTTGACATGTCTTCTCTTCTTCTGTGATGTCTCGACCTGCTGAGAGCAATTGGTGCAGGTATCCCAGGGCCTGAGTTAGACCAGGATCCATCTCATCTCTGGGTAGTTAACCTGGGTCCTCTGCCCTCTCCCCCTGCAGGGGTAGTGAGTGTCAACACTCTTTCTGCCCTACCATGCCTGGCCACTGGGAGTATAACTGATTTCTTCTCTTTATCCTATCCCTTCTGGAATAACTAAAAGATTTCAAAAAGAACTCAAAACTGAGACACAGTAAACACGCACACAAATTGTGGCATTTACAATTTTAGATTATTAGACTGTTGAATCTCTGTGTGGCCAAAGACCTGTACAGGGGGCTTTGGAGGGGTCACAGGGGGCCAGGAGTCAGAGGGGATGGTTTCTCAACCCAAGAGACAGGAGATCAAACCTAAAGGAGAAGAAAAGCCAAGGATGATGTTAGAAAAAAAGAACAAAAACAGAAGGGAGCCTGGGAGGGGCCCAAACTAAGGCGTCTAGAACGAGATATCAAAATTAGAGCTTGAGTAGGGCTTAAAGAGCCAGAAGTAAAACTAAAGCATCTCAATCTGTAGCATCTCGCAAAAAGTTAACCTGGCTGGCACAGTTTTGGGGAGTACAATGCTTTTCCTTGGCTTCAGGAGACCCCCTTTCCCAACTCCTTTGACCTTCAAACATCGATTGCAGAATCAATGTTCATTGATTATTGTGCTTTCATTGGGACACAGCGCAGACACGCACAAATCAGCCAGCTCTTCCCTGACTATGGTGGTGGCCTAGTCCATCTGGGCTGCTATAACAAAATACCTTAAACTGGGTGGCTCATAAACAACAGAAATGTGTTTCCCACAGTTCTGGAGACTGGGAAGTCCGAGATCAAGGAACCGGCAGATTCGGTGTCTGGTGAGGGCCCATTTCCTGGTTCACAGATGGTGATTTACACGATGGAGGGGGCAAGGCAGCCTTTTTTATGAGGCTCCCCCTCCATGACCTAATAAAGTCCCAAAGTCCCCACCTTATTACACCATCACATTTGTGATTAAATTTCAACATATTAATCTGGGGAAGACACAAACATTCAGACCATAGCCGGTGGGCAAGGGCTGAATCCCCCTTGGCGCACAGCCCAGGGGATTGAGAACATTTGGAAAGGGAGAACTGGAGTGAACAAGCCATGTTGAAGGGTGAGTGAGTGCCCAGAAGCCATAGTCCTGGGAGTAGCATGATGGCAGTGGACAGGCACACAAACAGGAAGAAACTGGCAGGTCTTTCCGGTGGTGACGTGAAACTCAAAGCCATTGGAAGGATGGCCGTGTGTTCTGAAAATGAATCACCAGGGAGAAAGGAGCCTCTTCCACCCAGACATACAAGATACATCTCACCTACCCAATTATGGCCAATATTTGGGAGCCAGGATTTATGATTCAGAGTCAGTTTTCTTTTTCTTTTTTTTTTTTTTTTTGTGGGGGAGAAGTCATGGTGATTTTGAACCTTGGAGGAAAAGAATAAAGCCATTATGGAGAAAGCTGGGTGTATGAGTGGATTATAAGCCTGCATGGTGGCCTGGTTGGGGCTGTCACCCCCTTAATTAGAGTCACAGATTGCTCATGCCTCAAATATCTTGAGTAGGAAAGGAAGGAGCAAAAATGGAATGAGAATAATAATAATAATAATAATAATAATAAAGAATTTGCTGATATCAAATGTTTTCTCCTTGGTTTCTGCTTGCCCAGGTCTGAGTGGTGCAGCTTATAATTAGTCTCTGCTTGCAGAAGTGTGGTTCCAAAGACTTGAGGATTAAAGACAAACTCTAGAATTTCTCAGTACCTGACAAGCTGTAACATGAAAAGCTACACTTAGTCCATTAAAGATTTTTCACAGTGACACTTGAGTGCAGCTTCAGAAATATGCCACCTTGCCATTTATCATTTTCAGGGCACGGGTGTCGGAAAGGAGTTTGCTATGAAGAACAAAACAAAATGGATTGCATGTGTAGAGGTGAGCTGGCGAATACTGATAAATGTACTTCACTGAATGTCAGCAAATGTCACTTGAGAAGCCATTTGCAGCTACCATAACAGCCTCCCAAACCCAACAAAGAGTAGCAAAAACGGGCAAAATGAACTGGGCGTCTTGCTTCCGCATGAATAAGCAATCAGCCCTCTCAGAAGTTACACCAGAAAGTTGTTAAACTTGATAGAAGAAGCTTTTCCAACCATACTGATGCATACTATAGATTGCTGCAGAGGGCTGGAGACCTTCTGAGGACGTCAGCGCTGTGACTCTGGGCAGAACTTCACAACCCCTTCTCTTCCAGGTAGGTGCCTTCCTTTTGTATGTGCAGCCACTGGCTGTCTCTGAGACATATTTTCTGGGTTTTCCCACACCAGCTTGCTGCTTTTGCTGTGTCTACAGACCCCTCTACTCCCTACCCACTCCTAATCTACCCTCCCTTGCAGTGTAATCTGGGAGTGGCTGCAGATGTGACGTGGGATGCAGTCCTCACATGCCATATAAAGAGAAGACCCAACAGAAACACCCTTGAGCCAAAATTTCAGTCTCTCACTCAAGAAAAGAATTTTCAATGTGTCTCCTGGTTAATGTGAAAATTGGAGTAATGGACTCAGCTTCTGGTTCATTCTTGGTGCCCTGGCCAAAACTTTCCCTCTATGTGATTTAGGATTTCTGGAAGATGGGGCCAAGTGTTCTTCAGAATTCAGCTTGGGTTGAGATGTTCCCTTCTTCCTCCTCAGCTTGGTGAGTCTCCAGACTTTCCTGCAGAGAAGTAAATGGGAAAGAAGATCATATTCTCAGAAAAGCTCTCCATGGAATGTGAGATTAATTAAAATAAAATTCCAGCCCCTCTTCATTTTCTAATCTCTGGGGGCTCCTCCTCCTCTTTAACACATACGAGGTCATCCAATACTTTTTTCCTCCTTCATACCAAGAGACTTTAACAGAGTAGCCTGAATTTGTCTGGCCTTGTGAAATATACCACACACACACGCACGCACGCACGCACGCACGCACATTGCCCATACAAACTGAGGTCAGTTAGGCTTTCATTGGTGCAATGCTGTGGTATAGGGCTCAGATACAAGAAGCCCTTTGTTGAATGTACATCTCAGACTCTGTCCCTGAATGTGCTAATGGACACACTTCCCTCTTCACACTGTTCTGCCATATGTTTAGCCTGTGTACATTGGAAATGAACACATTTTACAACCAGGAAAAGATGGGCTCTTGGGAAAGTGAGCTTCCCTCAGATGAACTCGGAGGGATGGTGCAGGAAGGAGGGATTGGAAGCTAGCTCCTCTTCAGCCACACTCCTTGCAGAGTTCTTAATTCTTGGTGTTTCCTCCTTTTAAATTAGGTGCTTCCCATGGAAGGGCCTTTACTTGGGTCTCGGGAACTCACAAGCCATCTGCTTATTACTGAAATTGAATTGCCCTCAACTTGTTGACTTTCATGTCAACAAGTTTAGTTTAGGAAGAAACGGTGGCATGTTTAGGAGAGAGAAAAGGAGAAGATGAAAGCCAGATCTCTGGATCAGAGGTGGAGGTGAGGGAAAAGTGGAAGAGATCCTCCAGAGAGAATGAGATGTGAAATGTTCCGCTTGAGGCAGGACCCATAATACAGCCTGGCAGCACTTTACTCAGTTAAGGCACTTTCCGAAGAGCAAATCTCTGCTGTGTCCCAGCGTGGAATGTATGTCCCAGACCCAAAAAGCTACTAAAGCATAAAAAGACATTCTAAAGAAAAGACAATATGGGTGCAGATTTCTCATTGTGCCAGTATTCTTTATTTTCTTAGTTGCTGTAATTTTAAAATTTGTATCTTAAAGCTCAAGCTAATAAGCATCTGTTCCCTGGTGTGAAAAGAAACTGTTCATAATTGATTAATATCACACGCATCCTGTAATTGCTTGAGGCTAGAGCTATGTAAAAACCTACCTTCCCATTGTTTTGTCTTTAAAGAACAAAAACAAAAACTGTGTCGTATAGACAAGGGTAGCCAATATTGTCTCTTTCAGTGAGAAAAAGCAAAGCTGATTTGGGTGAGCTACTTTACCCACTAATTAGTGGCAGTAGCAGGTTTCCTTGTTTTTAATCCAGAAGCTGTTTACAGTGGATTCTTCTCTGCTCTATTTAAAAACCTAACAAGGCCCCTTTAACCATTTTGCATTCTGGGATGTTTCAAACAAAATGTTAAATTGCTACCACAAGAAGAAGATTTGTTTAAAATACAAAACTGCTTAGAATTGCAGTAATCCCCTCATTCTTGCAAGAATGTAAACAGGACATCAGTTTAGGGAACATTTGCCCATGGAAAAGTCTCCTCTGAGCAAGAAACTTCACCCACTGCATGGGAGCAATGGGCATCATTTAATCAGCTCTAGACATTCCCAGTTTCAAACTGAGTTCCCCTGTCCTTGAAGGAGTGGAAAGATACATTAAAGTGGGAGATAAATAAGCAAATTTCAGGTTAACACTGCAGACAGGCCATCCTAAGGAGAAATGTTTAGAGGAATTTATTATCAGACTTCCACATAACTTCACTCACGTATTCATTCATTCAAGTAGGCACTTTTAAATGCCTACCTTATGTCAGACCTGACATAATATCTTACCTAGATAGCAAGTTTGCTTAGAAGTCACACTCTTTGCCATCTAGAATCACACTCTTTATGGCTCAGCTCAAACCCCATCTCTTCCTTCTAAGGTTTCTCCCATGCTTCCCTGTGTGCTTCCAACCAAGACACCCATAAAGCAGCATTGTTCTGTGCTGTCCTGAACTGGGTACATCTTTCTCCACAACAAGTGTTAGTTCCTTGAAAAAAGGGTCTCTATCTTATCTCTGCATCACTGAGATAGTCTTTCCTAGTCTGCTCTTTAAAATGAGATTTAAGGCACTGAAAACTGGGTTATCTCTCACTCACGTAGAGATCTAAACCACTTTGGTGTGAATACATGGGAAGCAGCCTTCTCCTCCTTGGCTACTGATAGTGTCTGGATTCAGCATTCAATGAAGGTTGTACCAACGATGTAGGTTGGGGAGGAAGTGGATGAGTCCATCCGGATAATCTGGGTGTCATGCAGGCAACATCAGACTGGTTAATTTGGAGGAATAGGAGCTGAATTATCCAAACAATTGTGTAGATGCAGCCTCTGCTGGCAGAGCCATTTTCCCCACCTCTGTATCAAATATGCTTTAGAGATTTGGGAGTTGACACCGCATCCAGATATAGTGGGAGAGAAATGGAGAACATTCACATTTTGCTCTGCAGTTGCCAGACTTGAGGAATCCAAGCTTCTTTCCTACTACAGTAACTTATACTATTTCGCAGTGGGAAGAGTTTGGTGTAGGAATCATTCTATCTTCCCTCTCTTGTTTCTGCCTAGGTGGTCACAGGGGAGAGAATACCTAGCCCCACCAACCCCACACAGCCAATTTTGCTATTGAAATCTAAGATTTTGCATGAGATCCGCACATGTTAATGACTTTTGATGAAGAGATTTTCTTTTTTAAATCAGGGATTCAGAAATTCCCTTCCTTCCTTGTGACGCCTATTATTTTCATGTGGGCCTTTCAGGGAAGAATCTTTAAAATTTTCAATCTTTTAAAGCAGAGTCCCCCAAGCAGGCAGAATACATCCTGTCAGAGCCAAATGTCAGGCCAGAAGAACCTGTGCTTCGAGTCACTTGGCAAATGCGCAGAGTTTAACAAGCTCTATTTTTTCCCTTAAAAATACACAAAACTCACTTAACATAATTCATAGTAACACTTTCTTATTTCAAATATTTCATTTCAGTTCCTTAAAATGTATTTGTTTCCCTGCCCAGTTGGGTGGGGGGGGGGGGAAATCTGCTTCAATTTTAAGAAGAAAAATATAAAGTTTCTAAAAGTAAGGATAGCTGAAAAGTTTTTTCCCCTCTTAAATTGAGATTCAGAAAAAATAAATTTCTATATTCATTTACTTCTGTTGTGAGAGCAGAAATGCCACCTTTGTTCAAAGAAAGTTTTTGAAATGATACAAATCTACATGTGCATGTTTCTAGAATTAATACCCATATGTTCACTGTAGCGGTGGGATTTTCTACTAGGGGAATCCGCATTGGGAGAAGTATCCCCGCCTTGGGAGCATTTAAGGAAATTTTAATATCCAAACAAAAGCAGTATTACCATCACTACCCACTCCCTCCCTTCGAGGAAAAACAATTAATAATTTGCATATGCTCATGACACAAATTAAAGACAAAGGGCCACTCACAGGCTGTGGGCACTACATAGCCCTCCGCAGGCTGCAGAGTCCCAGCGCCGAACGGTTCTAGCTTCCGAATGAATAGCATTAAGCTGCACCACTAAAGCGAGGTGTTCTGGGCCCTCTGGCCCATTCCCACAATAGAATCGAGTTTCCCCAATCAGAAACATCTCCCAATCTTTCCGTAAGCTTTTAGGGGGGAAAAAAAGAACATACAGTTCCAAGGGGGGAAAAATACATATATACTTTGCCCTTTTTATTTTAATAGCCAAACATGTAATGCTAGCTAAATAGAAATTCTTGTCTGTTAATAGGTTCCTTTAGTTTGTAATAAATAGGAATGCTAATGAGTAAAATTTGGTATTTGGTATGCATTAGCTTTTGTGAGCTTTTCTTTACAGTCCTCATTGACATGCAATATGGCAAGCTTCCTTTGAAACATATTTATAAAATAACCACAGTATAATTAAACCAACAAAGCCACCTTTTAAGTAAGCTTAATAGCACAGGTTTTTTTCACCTCGGTAAAATTTACTTTAAAAAAGAAAAATAGTTATGCCTCAATCCCACTGTATATTTTATTCTGTGCATCTAATATTTCCTTTGCATCTACAATCTATGCATATCTAATTCTTTTTGACAACTATGATTATTAATAAAGTGCTTGTGAAAGATATGCTTCATAGCTTCTTCAACAAGAATGATGTTTTTTTGTTAATGGAAATTGTAACATATCTTGACAGATACAATATATGATGTGCTTTTTTCTTAATTGTTAATATTGCTATGCTGCATACACAAGGAGCAGATCAACAGATATGGCAGGTAATAATCAGAGTGGATGCCATTTTACACAATGTAACTAAAAATATTTTAATGATATAAAAGCAATAGATACATAAAAGCAATTATGTTTAATTTTGCTTTTGGTGTGCCGGCAACTTTTGGTTGTTGCTGCTGTTGCCAGTGCGCTTAGCAGAGTAGGAAGCTCGAAGCGCAAAGCAACCGGACCGAGGCAGCTCTGCCTTCTTGCAGCCCAAGGGTCCTGCAAGCCGCTCTTTCTCTCTGCGCAGCTTCAGCGATCCAGGCGCGCAGGGCCCGGCTGAATGCTAATTTGGGATACACAGGAGCGCAAGTTCACCGAGTTTTCCGCAGTTTTGCAAATCCTTTTCCCTCTCCCCATGCCTCGCGGTTTAAGACCACGCGATTTCCCAAAAAGAAAAACTCAAAAGATGCCAGGCGCCGGGCTGGAGTCACTTAGAGCCAGCTCTGGCTGCTCCTCCGCCTCCCCGACCCCCGGCCGCCGCTCCGCCCTGCCCCTCGCGCCTCGACCCCTTCTCCCGAAACTCCGTCCTCTCCGCCGAGGGGCTGCCTTGCCCCCAACCCACCCCCCGCGTGGAGAATAAACACAGTTGACATCACTCTTATAATCTTTATTTAAAACTGTTTCCAAGGTTACAAATTGCCGAGCCTCGTATGCAACAGGTTCCTCCAAAGCGGTATCATTACAGATTAACTGTAATGTGTAGGATTAGAATAAAAGCATAAGGGATTAGGTAAAAGGGCGACGCTCCAGACATAACGCCCGAGCGCATCTCGACTGAGTCAGCCTAGGGAGACTGCGAAGGCGCAGGGTGTCGGGGCGCCACGGGGCCGCAAAGCCGGACTCGGTTCCTCCGCTCCCGGCCCTGGCCCCGGCCCCAGAGCGGTCGGGACAGCGGCGCCGGAAGGCCAACGCGGCCGAAGGTTTCGGAGCCAGGCTTCCCGGGCGTCAGGGGCTAGGGACGGGTCCCCGGAGCTGGGGAAGATGAGGGGCCGAGAGGCCGTGGAGGCGGAGGACGCGGGCAAGCCACGGCCCGGCTGGGAGCTTCGGGAAGCGCCGCGCCCGGGACGCGGTCTCCGGGCGGGGCGAAGCGCAGGGAAGGCGGCGAGGGGGTCCCCACACCCGCACGGGGCACCGGGTTTGTCCATGTGGGTGACACTGCCTTCAAGGCCCAGGCCCGATGGGGCCCTTCCTGGCGTCCTCCTCACCCCCACTCCGCCGCGCCTCCCCTGTCCAGCTGGGGCTGGGGACAGCGGCAGGGGCTGGGCAGCCGCGCAGGCCGCCCGCACCCTTCCGAGCCCAGGCCTCGGGCCTTCGCCGCCCGCCCAGGCCGTGCGCCCTATTGGACCACCTTCCCCCCGGCCTTCGCCTGCCCCTCTCGCGCCAGGAAGGCCCTGGAGCTCCCTCTCCCCCTCACACCGCTTCCTGCGGGGCCAGGGCTCGCCGTGCTGGCCCCATTTGGACTCAGGCCTGACCTGGGCCACGGCCTCAGGCCGCTGACGCAGCCCCGAGGGCTGTTTGCGTGTTGGGGTGGAGGGCGCGGGGCTGGAAAAACAAACAGGGCGGGGGCGCGGAGGTTTGGGGTGGGGGCCGCAGGGGGCTGGAAGGAAGTGCGCAGTGTGGCGAGAGCGCGAACAAAGCCCTCTCCGGAGCCCCGTCACCCCTCGGTGACCCCAGGCCCGCCCCGCTGAGCCGCGGGGCTCCCGGGCCTCGCCTCCGAGCAGGCCGCACCGCCCGGTGGGCGCACGTCAGGCCTCCGCGGCCGCCCGGGCCAGTGCTCCCCTCGGTCCCCGCAGGCCGAGCCCGCGGCCGGCCCCGAAGGCGCGAGGGACAGCGCGGCCGGCGGTGGAGCCTCACTCAGGCACGGAGCCCACAGAGCGAGGCTGAGGAGGACTCCATGCTGTTGTCCGTCGGGAAACCGGACTACTCTGGGGCGCGCTGGAGCCACCATTCTGCCAGCAGCCGGGGAGGGGCCGCGAGGGCTCCCAAGTGGACGGAAGTAGGCGACCAACTTCGCCGCGACTCCTGCTTCCTAGAGAAGGGCCTTGGCTGAGGAGGCGGCGGGAGGGGACTGTTGCAAACAGCTGTTCCTCATACATATTTCATTACACAATCAGATAATGCGTCCCACCACCTTCTCAATTATTCACAGATAAACATTTTCAAGACGTTTTGACATCTGTCTTAGTGCCTGCTATTAATTTAGTAATCACTGTAGTTAAAAATGTATGGGATTTTTGCCGTCGGAGCACCTCGTATCCGGCGCGCGGGCCCAGTGTGGGACTGCGGCTGGGAGCCCGGGCCCTCCGGGAGTGAAGATACCTTTGGAGGTGAGACGGCCTCTCTAGCGCGTTGACACTGTTGATGGAAGGGATTAAAGGGGTATCAGGTTATTTTAATTTATTGTTGAAGATGATGACTGCCCCCTCCCCGATCCGCATACCGTCCTCACTTTCCCACCCCAACCCTAGACCCGACAACACCGTTCAGCCCTTTGCCCCGGGCAGCGGAAATGGTTAGCTTCCTCTAGGAGTTTCTGCTGAGGAAGGCGCAGGCAACCCTAGTCGGCTTAGAGAGAGACAACCGCACGCGATCACCGAGCACGATTTCTCCCAACAAAAAAACTAACAATAATAGCGATCCACACACTCAAGAGGTCTCAAACCTCCGAAGTTTTGCCCCGAGTCTTGTGGCCCTGGCAGAGGTGACAAGGGCATTTGGGAAAGACAGAGAAAAATAAATTCGCTCCAGTGACTGTACACGGGGCATTTGAGGCTGTGAGAAAACGAGTTGCTTTTCTGCTTGAGTGATAAATGTTGCAACGGGCATAGCTATGTAGAAGCAAACAGTTTTTAAAACCAGAGAAGCAGAGTTTGACGAACCTTGTAAGGCTGAAAATAATAGCATACATTTCCAACTTCAAGATGCTGTGATTAATTGTTGGGAAAGCTCTAGATAAATTACCCAAACGGGGGAAATACTCAAAGGTAAACGAGTTTGTTTCTTTGTGTTCTGAATCTCAGCTGCCAGGAATGAAAGTTACACTTTTAGTTTGAGAGTGATGTCTATTTACTTCTCTTCCTTCTGTCGCAGTCTCTTTCCCAGGTGAGTTAGCAAGTGGACTTTGATTTTTAAAACTACCTCATTTGGGAACGAGGAAAAACAAATCTGGTGAAAGAAAATGGCCCTGGAAGAAACTGCCCTTCTAACGAAGATTAAGTGACTCCAAAGTGATTTTCACTCTTTATTGTTCAAAATATCCACAAGAACAAACTCGCTAAAATTTCCAGGAATTAACTGTATCTAGAAAAAGAAAAGGACATAGTGTTTGCCCCCAAAAGAGAAGACATTCACACCCCCATACTCTTCTGTTTCTAGGGCAACTACATCTGCAGAAACATGTCCTCCTGTGGCGTTTTCCGGGTAGTTGATTTCTTCTTCACAAAATGGGCCCTCCTCTGCCCCTTGGAGGGTGGTCATCCGACTTGCTGGCCCAGAAAGTCCTTTTTTTCCACCTTCTTTGTCTAAATGAATCTTCTTGGACTTACACTCCACTTTCAGATGAGAGAGCGAGGCTCAGAAGATGTGCTCAAAAGAGAGAAAGTTAGGAAAGGAGGTGAAGTGGAAGCGAGGGCGCCCCTGCTCCCAGGGAGCCTGCCTCTTCTGCAGGAAACCGGGAGGTAGCCACTAGAACTGGTTAGGCAAAGGGAGCTCACACTAAAAACAAGCCTATGTAGAGTAGTTTCTCAGGCCTTGCCCAAGAGCCACTCTGGAAACTCCTCTTGGCAACCCCCCAACTCCGCCCGGACACCGTGCTCAGCCAGAGACAGGGGAGCAGGGGGTGAGGACTTCCCAATATATCACAAAAAATTTTTTTAAATAAACTATGTAATTTGGTTTACTTTGAAGTGTGTTCTTCTGCAAACATATCTGACATACAGGGTATTGGGGTGGAGTTGGGGGCAGGAGGGTGTGGATCCTTTTGAATGATCAAGTTTAGGATAAGAAGGGTGAAAGGGGCAAAATAAGGGCCCTCCAGCTTCTCAGGCCATGGTTAGAGCTGAATGTTCCTATTAAGAATTATGAATCTCCCAGCAGTGAGTGAGAACTTGCATACGCGCCACCCAAATCCTTTTTCAGAATGCAAACCCCTAGGTCAAAAATAATAAGAAATAAACAATAAAAACAATCTCGGTCAAAATGAATCTTTCCTGGATTGTCCTTTTCTGGGTATCTCCAACAGAGCTGAGAGGAAGGCTAAAAGGTTGGCTCTGAGTGGATGAGGCCTTGGTTCTTTCTAGTGGCCAGGACTTGACCTGAAACCTTTCACCCAGTCGGCTCAACAAAGTTTCTCCCTCCGAGCCAACGTCCCTCTAGCAGGAAGCCCCCTTGGCCTTGCGGCCTGCGTCCTCATTCGGCGAACTCTCCCGTTCACGGCTTCCTGTACATCTGCCCTTGTGGTTGGGGTCACTCCTCGCAGGCACTGTGGCTTTTGTCTGCATCTGGACAACAGGGTGTGCACCCGTGTATTCAAATAATTATGCCTGTGGGCACTTCTTTATTCCTCAAATTCCTGTTAGTGTTCCTTTAATTCTCCCGTAGTGTTCCTTTAATTCTCCCATGTGTATTCGGTACGATTGCCTGTACGTTCCAGGCATAGTCAGGTGACTCAGCTTGAGTCTGAGCTCAAACGTGCGCGACCCCCTGGGTCTGCATGGGGAGAAGGAGGTGTGCACGTGCAAACGCGGGACTTTGGGTGGAGTGTGAGGTTGATAGGGCTTTCGGCCCCAGGGCCCTCTAGGCCTCTTTTAAATACCTTCATCTGCCCAATTTCTTAACCTTTCAGGACAAGGAGGGAGACCCTCCGCGATCCTGCGCCTTGCCACCCTTTGGGAAGGATAGGACCATCATCTAGGGCGTCTCTCGGTGGACTGTGGCTGGGCCGGGCTGAATGGGCGGGCGGAGGTCTCGAGGTCGTCTCCTGGCTCTCGATTGCTCCCATCACCCAAGCCACCTCGAGGTCGAGTGCGCCCTGGGGCTATGTCTGGGGAGGTCATGGCGTCTCGGGGCGAATGATATGCACGTTTTGGGGCAAAACTCTCCTAGGCCTCGCAGGAGCAGCTGTATTTGTAACTTGGAATTGGCCTGGGCCCGCCTCCCTTGGCCCCTCCTCCAGCTCCTACCTCAACACGCAGCGCTCAGCGGGCTGCCAGAGTGAGCTTCCCGGACCACCCCCAAGCACCCTGGGGCCTCACCATCCTTCAGGGTCCCTGGGGCATCCTAGAGGCCTGGATCTGGAAGAATGGGGGCCAACAAGAGTGGCCAGGGCTCTCCTGGGGCGGTTTTGCGATGTATTCCTCCGCTAGAATTAGCCTTTCGGGCCTGCGCGCCTACAGGTTTCAGAGGCCAGCGGGAACGGTGGCCTCGGGTGTGTGGGGGTGAGGGGTGTGGTGTGTGTGCACGTGTTCACGCGCGACTAGAAGCGGTTCCTTGTGCATTTCTAGAATCTTGTAGATGTGTTTTCTCGTGAGAATGATGCAGACTTACTGCTGACTTAAGGTCAGTTTGTTTGAAAAGGGAGAACGTCAGTCCGATGGTCGGTGGTTGTGTCTCTCCTGAGCATTCGTACAAAGTGAAGCCACCTCCCCTCCGCCATGCAGTCTCCCAGACCGGGTCAAAGGACCCAGGCTCCAGGTCGCTGAGGCCTGGAGGGCTGAGGCCCTTGCTGTGCGCCCTGGTGCTCTGATCCCAAGGCCCAAGCTGCCCCGGTACCCACTTAGGGTCAGGGTGGAAAGCCTACGTGGGAAAGGGGGACCTGGAGGACTACCCCCACGCCCATGGCAGGGTGGAGTCCCGACCTTGGCATATTGGACCTACTCACTTGGCATCTCCCTGCCCCGACCCCGTCTGGGATCCGTATTGGCAGCGACGAGGAAGGGAGGAATGGTAAGGGAGTTGGGTCGGTACAGGACGGAAGTGAAGATGGAAAGAGAGAAGAAAAATAAACAAAACTGGGTAGGGACATGGAGATGGGTGAGGCAGGGGTAGGGGTGGAGTTGGGGCTGCCTCGGGGAGCAGCGGCTTTTCACCCTGCTATAGGGAGGTGCGTTTGGCTGAGCTGTCCCCCCACCAAATAAAGCTAATGATGTAGTAATTTAGGAGGGGGAGAGGGGCTGGGCAAAAGGAGAGAGGGGAGAGGATGGGGAAACGCGCGCCCCAAGAGCAAAAGCAAACAGCTGTGGAGGCGCTGCCCGCGGCTCAGGCTTCCCAACAGGTTAGCTATACTGGGATCCACCCGGCATTTCGCAGGAAGGGGTGGGGGGAAGACAGAGCGAGAGGGGGAGAGAGGCTCACAAGAGGACAGAGGGAGGGAGGGAAAGAGAGATAGGAGCCAGAGAGCGCACCGCGCGGCTTAAAAGGAGAGACTTACTAATGAATATTTATCCGCCGCTGCTCCGTGCTCCCGGCTTCCCTTACCTTTCGGCAGGTAAGATCCTCCCTGTGCCCCAGCCCCGGGGGCCCTCCTAGCTCCCCAGTCGGGGAGCCTGTGGCTGGGCGGGAGGGCTCTCCGTTGGTGGGGGTGGGAGGGCGGCTCTACTCTGCGTTCACTTTGGGTGCCCAGGCATGCGACCCTGCACGACTAGGAACCGCGTGCGTGGGCTCCATGTGTGGAATGAGTGTGAGCATGTAAGAGTGTGTTTGTGTGTGTGCGAGAGAGAGACAGAGAGACTATGCGCCCGCAAGCGCGCGCGCGCGCCTGTTTGTGGCGCGCTCTGGAAACATTTTCCGACTTTTCACTCGGACGCCCTGGATTTCTCGCCTTTGCCTTTCTCTGCTTCCCCTCCCTCTTCTCTCGCCCTCCCCTCCCCCACCCAGGTCTACCCCACCCTACCCCACTCCTACCCCGGCTGCTGAGGCGCTCTTCTGCCGGCTATTGTACGGCTGGCGCGGGCTCCCCCTGGCCACATCCCGGGCCTCTCACACAAGAAGAATAGTTCTGTTTCCGCCGTAAACCCCCACACAAAGGCTGCCCGGCCACCGGGTCCCCTGTCCCCCTTCCCGGGGACTTCGGCTTTTGAGGTGCTGCTGCGCGTTCTTTCTCCCTCCCCCTCTCAGGGCGCCAGGGCCCAGACCAAGGAGCTAAGAGTGATCGGGACTTGGGGGTACCGGGTGGAACTCCTTGGGGGCCGCCCGCCAGGCTTCCTGGGCTGCAACTCGGAGCCCAGAGACCCCCAGGGGAAGGGCGCCTCTTCCCCCACCACCACCCCAGCCGTCGCCTGCGGGAGGAGCACGGGGAACCCGGCCCAGCCAAAGGGGGAAGAGGGAGGGGAAAAGGAAGAAGGTCGGGGAGGGGCTGACCATATAACCAGAATTCTTTAAACGGACTTACCCGGCCACCTGTTGAGAATCCATGTGGGGTCGGCTGGCTCCGGAGTTGCGCAAGGTGGACACACAAAACCAAAAGCCGGAGTTGGGAAAAGAAAATTCTTTCTCTGACCATGCCAGACGCGGCCGGTCAGGCTCGCAGCTCCGCGCTAGGATCGGGCGGCTGTACAACCAAGATCGACTTTGCCCTGTCCCCCAACGCCCCCCTCATCCCACGGCTCCACGGCTGGGAGGCTCCGGACTCAGAGCTCGCGGACTCGGCGCTCAGGGTCAGCACCAGCAGCTCGGCTTAAGCCGGGGCAGGCTCTCTAAGCCCTGCTCAGAAGTCAAGAGCAGCAGTGCTGCCTCTCCTCGCCGCCTTTCATGCCGCGGCCGCTCCTTATTCTTGTGTCTCGGCCTCTCCCGGCCCCCTCGGACAAAACCCCCAGAGCCCGGCCACTCTCTTCCCGCTAAATCCCCTTCGGGGTCAGTGCTCTACCAGCACCGGGCCGCGCGCCTCTCCTGCCAGCCGTGTGGCTCTTAAAGAGCTGCACCCCTCCTCCGCCCTGCGCGATCCCCCGACCCCCGCCTCCCCTCCCCTCTCCTCCGGATCTAGCCCCCCACGCCGACGCCTGAGGTCCCTGCTGCCCCGACCGATGCCTGCGGACTCCCAGCCCCCTCCCCTCGCCTCCTCCCCTGAGCAGCCGGTGGGCCTGGCCTCGAGGCCACAGGGCTGAGTTCTACCCTCGCCTCAGGTCCCCTTTCTCACCAGCAGCGCACACCCCTCCCTTCCCCGCCCCTACTTTAGCCCTCTGGGTCGATCAAGGCCCGGGCACCGCCTTTGCCCAGCTCAGAGGTGATGCCTAAAGATTGCCAGTTTAGGGTTAAGTTAGGGGGTTATGTGATGGGAAATGGGGCAGGGCATGCTAGCGGAGCTAGGGAGAGAGAAAGGAAGAGAAGCAAACCAGATGGACTTGGAGGGCTCTCTGTATCCCAGGGCCTACCTGGCCTTTTGGTTCCTTTCCACGACCTCCCAGAGACGCTCACGCGGGCACGGGGTCCTGAGGTTACCAACCTGACCAGGCCCACTGTGTGTCTGAGGGATCCTGGGCATGTTTGTGTTTGTGTGTTGGGGGGTGGGGTCCAGAAAGTCCTGAGTGTGGATTTGGAGCAGCCTGCTTCCCAAGCCCAGAGCATTAATTCCCCCCAAAAGTAACCCTTAAGGGCCCAAGAGCTGTGTATGCAAGGAGGGAGTGAAGGACCTTGAGCTCCGACTGTCCAGGGAAAAGGGCATCAGAGGAGAGGGGAGACAGAAAGGGAAGGAAGGCTACACTTCCTGAGGACTGAAGCACAATTTTTAAGAGGGTGTCTTATATTTACTGGCCAGCCATGTCAGCTGCCCCACTAAGAAAAGGTGAAGTAGATGACTGCTTTGGTTTCCCTTCCTTCCAGGGCTCTGGCTCTCTGCCTCTCTGCCAGGCTGCCAGGCCAGTCTTGCAGGGTGGTCTTGCCTATAGCACTTTTTTTGCCAGGCCTCCCTGGGACTAGAAGCCAAAGAAGGGATACCTCTGTTGAGGGGGAGTGCAGGACGGGCTGTGGTCCCCTGCCTTCCCTACTGCCACTTGTCATAACATGTGACTGGGCTCTGTGAATGGTGGAGGCAATGATGGGTTAGGGAGGGGAGCTGCCCACCCTTTCTCAAATCCAAGTCCTGGCACACCAGGTCTGGCTGTTCAGAAGGGGAACCTTGGGAAGAAGTGTGTGGCCTCTGGGCAGTGGAAGCCAAGGGAACCTAAGGTGATAGGAGGATGGAAGGCTGACCCTCAGCCACCCCAGCATTAGTCCAGATGCACCTTTAAGGAACTGGAGTGACTAATTGATTTGCAATTGGTCCACTTGGGAGAGGCTGGCAGTGCACTCCCTGGGCTGGATCCTGAGACAGCAAAAGCCTCTCCTGCCACCCGCTCCCCTCCCTGCACTGCCCCCAACCAGTATGGCTCACACCTCCCAACTCTCCAGCCCCTCTCTCTTGGGAATGGGTAACTGCAGGCAGCTAGGCTGGGTTTGTGCCCACCCTCCTGGGCCTGGCAGTGGGAGGTGCCGTGGTTCAAGACAGAGCCAAACTTCCCCTGTTTCAGAATGTGGGGGGTGGAGGGTCCTTTAGAGGGCGGCGGGGCTCATTAGGCAGAGCAGGGTGCCGAGAGGTGCGCGTCGCCGGCCCCTGAGGCCGCCTTTGAGCCGTCGGGGCGGCTTCATTAAGCTGCGCTAACAAGGCGTACAAATGCCGAGCCCAGCAGCTTTCTTGCAATGCCCGGCCTTAGCAGGGCGCCGGACTAATGAGGGTCACTCAAAGGGGCTGATCAAATATTCAAATTTCCCCGCACGCCAGGAACTTTTATGCATGGAGAAAGTTGAGGCAACTGAGCTGTGTTTACTGTCCGGGGCGACAATTGCTTGGAGCGCCAGTCCCCGGAGGCTAAGGCGGGGGGCGGGGGTGCGGGGAGGGAGCAGTTGTTGTTGTTGTTTTTCAAAGGAAAGTAATCGGGGTCCTTGAAGGGCTTCGCGGCCTCCCCGCCTGCGTGCTGCGCTCCCCTGCGCCCTCCCTGGCCGCCCGCGCCAAGCGCCTCAGTTTGCAGCTTGCGGGGAGGCCCAGACTACGGGCCACCCGGCCAGCCTCCGCCTCCCGACATCCTGGGAGCCGGAAGGGGCGTTGCCCCCACAGGGCAAACCTTCCCCCGGCCTCCTGGTCGGCTGTTTAGAGCTGAGCAAGGCCAAGTGGGTGCAGCTGCCCCAACCCTCCGGATCCTCGTCTCCCGGAGGCCTGCAGACCCGTTGGCTTTCCCTGTAACCCAAAACAAGGAGAGAGTGGGAGGTCTCTCGGGCGTTCTCCAGATGTGGTTGAGACTTTCCCAGTGCTGGGGTGGCGGGTGACATTTGTAAATAAATGCCAGTTGGTCCGGGTACAAGGAGAACACTATTTAAACCCCAAAGACATCTTTTCTCCCTGCCCCACCTGAAGGCGATATTTTAGATCGCCGGGGCCAGGATTGAAGCGGGGATGATGGCAGCAAATTTGTTCTGCACAGGTGACCCGGCCTGTACGGGCGCCAAGTCCCAGATCCCGCAATCAGAGCGGCCAGAGAGCAGAGAAGAGACCTAGAGGATCTGCAAGCTGACCTATCCACCCGAGACTCTCCGCTCTGAGCGACCCCAGGGTGCAGGCGCCCTCCACGCGCCACCTCCTCTAGCGGTCCCCCAGGGTCCCTTCCCAGTCCTCGCACTGCCCTAGGGCTTGCTTGGTTCCCAGACCAGCGTGGAAGGCCGCTGGGCCCCGGAACCCAAGGTCCCTCTGCTTCTGCTCCACTCCCCAGTGCCCAGCGCCTGGGAATTTGGGAGGGGAAGCTCTGGCGCTCCACAGCCCTGCTTCCCACCCAAACACGCACTCAGAACCCCTCGACTGAGATCCTATGGAGCCTGCGCCCCCAGCCCGGCGGGGAGCCAGTCCGGCCCTCCGCTCTGGGACCAGCCGCCCCGCCTCCCTGCCCTGCTCTCCGGACTCTCAACTTACCCGCTCCAGGAGGCGGGAGTACTGCTTCAGGCCAGAGCCGAAAGGCGCTGGCGGCGGCTGGACCGCGAGGTGGGCTCGGTGGGCGGCGCCGAGCTCGGCTCTGCTGGGAGGCGCGGACAGCCCGGGGCTGCCACCTGCCCCACCGGGTCCTGGCGCACAAAGCTACACGCCTCTCTGCAGCCCTCTGCCCTGCTTCGCGTTCCGGAACCGCGGTCGCCACCCAAGCAGGCGGGGTGCGGCAGGGCGGCAGGGCGGCAGGCGCTGGGGCAGAGGCTGGGGGGCGGGGGTGTCGCCAGAGTCTCAGCCCCACTTGCCTCAGTTCTCCCTGAGTGGCGATGGTTTTTTATTTCAGCGCTTTCGGCAGAGCCCGCAGCACCTGCCCAGCCTCCCTCCGGGGCTGGCCGGGCAGTGGCAGGGAGAGGCCAGGTCGCCACCACCCGGAGGCGGGGGTTTCGGGGACGGGGAGGGGACTGACCGGGTTCACCCGCCCGCCCGGCGCCTGGGTCCCCGGCTCCGGGGGATGCAGTTTCGGGGTCACGAGCTGCTTTCAAAAAGTTGAACACAATATTCGGAAACCCACCCGTAGGAATTCTCCCCCCACACGCGGCACAATACCCACTCCCCTCCCCTTTTTCATTCCTTCCTCCCCCGCTTCCTCCTCCTGCCCCTTCCCCCTCCCACCCTTCAGCCTATAATCCTTCCCCTACGAGAGAAAGGGATCGGGAAGAAAACATGAAGTGTCTGTTTTTGTGTCCCAACCTTTGGGCTCTTTCTGGGCCCTCAGTGAATGACCGCCCAGAGCTTTCAGCTGCGTGGAGAAGGACTCATGGCCAGGAGGAGAGGAAATATATATGGAGTGGAGAGAGCACTGAAATGGGGCTTGGCAGGTCTTCCCTTTGGAGGAATATTTTTCTGCCCCAGTCGTCGTGTTGAAGACCTGCTACCCCACGGCTGTCTCTGGCTAAGTGAGCCAGTATTGGCCCCTCGCCGGACCCAGGGCCTCCCTGCCGCCCGGAATCCTCCAAGGAGGCTTGCACTTGTCGGCTTGCTCTTCTCCCCGGCCCTCAGAGGCCTGGCACTGCGGGAGTCAAGGCCTAAGCAGGGCTCCAGCTCGGGGTTTAGGGGCTGGGACACTCACAGCCCCAGTCACGTTAGGTTTCCCATTTAAATTCTCTCTCAACCTCTCTTTCTCTCTTCCCTCATTGAGATCACCAAAGTGGTGTGGACACGGCGCCTTGCCCCCAGATCTGCATCGGAATGCAGAAAAGATCTTTAAAAAAAAAAAAAAAAAGTTTTGAATTCCTCAATGATTTTTCTTCTGGAAAGGCAGCTTAGGATAATTATTTCAGCTTTATTGAGGGCAGATTAGTTGAAGTCTGGGCGCTGCGTTTCAATACGCGTTGTACACGGGCCGACAATGTGGTCATTGTTGGCTACTGTGTGTGAATCCATTCAACATATACACTTTTTAACACCAAACCGAGTCCTGTCTAAATATACACAGTGCTCAGGGAAAGACGTCTCTGACCCCGACAAATCTGCGTAAATCACACTTCCATAGTTACAGAAGCCTCACAAAGGGAGGCCCGGCTCAAGATGCTGATTACAGCTTCTTAAAAGCAACATACCTAAGAATAAATACCCATGCCTGGCCTAGGGGCTGTGGTGGCCAGAGGCAGAGAGGGCCCTCTGTGTTCTATGGGCCTTTTGGCGTCTGTTTTAGGCTTTCGATGTTACTTTCCCTAGAGAAATTAGACAGTTTAAAAATAATAATGGTAATTATTATTATTTTACAATACGAGCAAACAAGCAATTTTCAGGCCTTATTCACTTCATCCGGGTGGCTGGCCTCCAAAGTTTGAGTGCCCTCTGGGGCTGGCAGGCAGGACCAGAGCTCCTTCTGTTGTGTGGTGAGGAGTGGGCATCTGTAGGACTTTTCTGGGTCCAGAGGGCTCTTGGGCTTCTCGGCTCCCGCAGCTCCTCCACCACTCCTCAGAGAGGCAGCTGAATTCTGGGAAGAAACAAAGAGTTGAGTTGCTTCTTAAGATGGAAAGAAGTGTACTGTTTGGACTGTTATTTTAAAATACAGGGTGGTGGGGGAAATCGAGGCTCCTTGGCCGGGGAGGGAGTAAAGAGAAGCCTAATTGATGAAGAGGGAGTTGAGGTGAATGCGGTCCATGGGCACCGATGGGGGAGGCAAGAGCGGCCTCCAGCACCCTGGGAATTGGGCTCAGGCTCCCTGGCGCCAGATACCCTCGGAATCCGGGATCCCCGGCTGGCGCCACGGCCCGCTGGGCCAAGGTCGGTGCTTGGTGGGCCCCATGATCTCATCTCTCCTTTCTTCCTTGCCACTATTAGTGCTCACATAGGCAGAAAGAGGCGGCCCGACGTGCAAACCATGTGCAAACCGCGCCCGCTGGGCTGGTCAGCCGTCTTTCCTTGCCTGCCGACCTGGACTATGTGGAGCCTGGGGGACCCTCTTGCCTCCCAACAAAATCCCCTCTCTAATTGCACATCCCATTCAACAACTCTGCCCAGGGCTTTTCGAATTTCTGGATCAACTTCTTTAGGAAAAAGGGAAGAAGAAGTCTCAGAGACAGCGGTAGAGAAAAGAGGAGAGAGAGGGAGAAGAGAGAAGAGAGGAGGGGGAGGTAGCGAGATTAAGAGTTGCAAAGATAAAAAAAATTCTCTTTATCCCCCCACTTCTCCCTCCTTCCCTGCTCTCCCCCTCCCCCCGCCCTCTGGCTAAGTGGTAAAACCGTCCTTACGTTCTCGGTATTGATTGGCAGGGCTGACAGTGATTGGCAGTGGTTGCCGTGGCAACGCCACAACGACACGCCACAGACCAATAGAAAAGCGAAACAAAATGTTTCAATGCTGCACTCACTGTGGATTTAGGGGAGATATTATGAGGCTGTTGTCATTAGGGCGATTGCGGTGGAATCGCTGAATCTTGACTCGGCGGTGGTTGGCTCTCCCTCTCCTCTCTCCCTCTCCCTCTCCCTCTCTGTCTCGGGTTCTCTCTCTGCGCGCGCGCACCGGGCCGCTCTCCTACCTCCCTCTCTATGTGGCTGCGCGGGTGTGTGTGTGTGTGGATGTGTGTGGGGTGTGGGTGTCCCTTACGCCCTTCCTCCTCTCCCTCCTCCTCCTGCTCCCCCCTCCTTTCCTTCTCCTCCTCCCCCCTCTCCTCTCCCTCCTCCTGGTCCTCATCGCCCCTCTCCTCCTCTTCCTCCCCTCTCTCTTCCTCTCCCTGAATTTTCTCCTCTCCTCTCAGGTCAGTCCATGGTATTCCGCTCCCCCCTAGACCTCTATTCCTCCCACTTCTTGTTGCCAAACTTCGCCGATTCTCACCACCGCTCCATACTTCTGGCGAGTAGCGGCGGCGGGAACGGTGCGGGAGGCGGCGGCGGCGCGGGAGGCGGCAGCGGCGGCGGGAACGGTGCGGGAGGCGGCGGTGCTGGCGGAGCAGGCGGCGGCGGCGGCGGCGGCTCCAGGGCCCCCCCGGAAGAGTTGTCCATGTTCCAGCTGCCCACCCTCAACTTCTCGCCGGAGCAGGTGGCCAGCGTCTGTGAGACGCTGGAGGAGACGGGCGACATCGAGCGGCTGGGCCGCTTCCTCTGGTCGCTGCCCGTGGCCCCCGGGGCGTGCGAGGCCATCAACAAACACGAGTCGATCCTGCGCGCGCGCGCCGTGGTCGCCTTCCACACGGGCAACTTCCGCGACCTCTACCACATCCTTGAGAACCACAAGTTCACCAAGGAGTCTCACGGCAAGCTGCAGGCCATGTGGCTCGAGGCGCACTACCAGGAGGCCGAGAAGCTGCGCGGCCGCCCACTCGGCCCGGTGGACAAGTACCGCGTGCGCAAGAAGTTCCCGCTGCCACGCACCATCTGGGACGGCGAGCAGAAGACGCATTGCTTCAAGGAGCGGACTCGGAGCCTGTTGCGGGAGTGGTACCTACAGGACCCCTACCCCAACCCCAGCAAGAAACGCGAACTGGCGCAGGCCACCGGCCTCACTCCCACACAAGTAGGCAACTGGTTTAAGAACCGGCGGCAGCGCGACCGCGCCGCGGCGGCCAAGAACAGGTTAGTGGCGGGGCCCGCGGCCTGGCTACAGCCTCAGAGGCCTGGGAAGGGGAGAGGGGTTGAGATGGGGCTAGCGGAGCGGCCGCTGAGAGCCAGGGAAGCCGTGACTCCTGGCCAGTCGGAGAAAGTTTCCGCTTGTCCGGGACGCGCGGAAGAGGGGGCCGGGCTGGCTGTGGGTGTATTGATTGCTTTGACCAAGAGGGGCTTTCGTCAGGGCAGAGAGTGTGTGCTTGCGACCCGAGTACCCGCAGCCCCTGGGAGACTTAGCCCTGCGCTGCACCCGTGCCTGCCTCCTCAGCCCTGCCGCCAGCTCGGCGATCCTCTGGAGCCTAGAGACAGGGAGGGAAGGAAAGCACTCTTTGCCATCTGGTTCTTATTTCTGTGCGTTGCAAAACCCCGAGAGAAATCCACTAGCGTCAGAGAGAGGAAAGTGAACCTGGGTCCCTATCACAAGGGGAAAAGGCCAGAGGCCACTGCGCAGCGGGCCTGTTTCCCCGCAACGCTGCACGTTGCCTGACCGGGAGCAGGAGAGCCGGGCTGGGAGTGGAGAGGCCTAGCGTGTGCGTGTGCGTGTGTGTGTGCACGCCCGTGTGCATGTACTCGCCCTCCTGTTTCAGCCGAGGAGAATCCCTTTGGTCCTCTAAGCTGGGAAGCGGGCACGAGCAGCCTCGTTGCCGGCAAGTTGGCCACAAAGTCACAAAATTGTATAGGGCTTGACCAACATCACAGGAGCTGGGCCTGGGGGAAGGAGAAAAAGAACCAGAGGGAAAGAAGTGGATAGGCGAAAGGAGTGGGGAGAGAAGGGAGAAAGAAAAGAGGAAGTTGGGTGAAAGCCCTGATGTGGAGCCTGTGTCTTTCTCTATCCAGCCAGGAAGGCCCAGGGCCTGGTGTACTTCAGGGAGCAGGACCCCCAGCTGCTGACAGCTGCCCGTGGGTGGGGGCTGGGTGTGAGTTTCTGGAGGTGTGTTCGAGTTTAGGCGGCCGGGACCTGAGCCCATGGCCCTCTCACCCCTGCCGTGGAGCCCACTTTTCGTCTGATGAGGGGAGCGCCCAGGGTCAAGCCAAGGCCTCCTTGTGGAGAGAATTCCAGACACCAGGTCCAGGCAGAAGGTTCCCGGTGGGGGAAAGGGCAGCTGGAGACTGCTCTGTGCGCCTCTCTTGCCTTCTCCTTTGCCCCTTTTCTGTCTCCCTGCTCTTTCCCCACTTTTCCACCGCCAGCTTTCCTATTTTCTCTACCCTCGGTCCTGCGCTCTGCGCTGGCATCCAGAGAGCAAAGTATGCAGTTCTACCCGGAGACTGGCCGGGCGGTGGGGAACCCGCAGCTCCCGGTGTGTGTTTGAGGGAGCAGGGACGGGGTTACTAGGGGAACTCGACCGGTCGCGGGGCAGCCGGCTCAGTTTGAAGAGCCCCAGGGACTGCGGAGGGAAGAAGCGCCCGGCTCCTCTCCGACTTCTGCTTCTCCAGGGCTTGGCGTACTTTGTCGCTTGCACCCAGGCCTCCCCAAGCGGCCGGGCTCGGGTTCTGCCTCTCCTCCGAGGCCAGCCTCTATCTGAGAAGACTTGGGATGCTCCCGAAAGCGGAATGGGGAGCGGCGGCGCGGGGGAGCCGGGTGGCGGGCCTCTGTGTCAGGGCGGGCGCGGATCTCTTTCTCCCGCAGGCTCCAGCACCAGGCCATTGGACCGAGCGGCATGCGCTCGCTGGCCGAGCCCGGCTGCCCCACGCACGGCTCGGCAGAGTCGCCGTCCACGGCGGCCAGCCCGACCACCAGCGTGTCCAGCCTGACGGAGCGCGCAGACACCGGCACCTCCATCCTCTCGGTAACCTCCAGCGACTCGGAATGTGATGTATGATAGCCAAGGCCGCCCTCCTCCCTCTCCTTCCCCTCCTCCCCCACTCCTTCCCCTCCGCCTCCTAGCCCTCCTCCTCTTCCTCCTCTTCCTTCTCCTCCTCCATCCCCAGAACAAACCGAAATCAGGATACCCAACCATACACACATACAAGTCCACACACACTCCCACCCCAGCCAAAAATATATAAAAAACAAGAAAATAACAAATTAACCGCAAACTATCAACAACCCCCAACCACCATCTACCACTACGGCCACCCCAAAGGACCCCGACGCCAACAGACAGTCAAACGCTGATGTTGCGGGCAGAAAACATAAAAGAGGTGACAATTGTATACTTTCTAGGACAAGCACGGCTTCTCCTTTCGGTTCCCATGGACCCGGCACCCCACCTGCATGACGATTTATTTGTATCTGGGAAAATATTCTCTCTAGTTAAAAATGATTTAAAGAGTCGACTATACAAAAATCAATCACCACCACGAGGACAAGAGGGCAAAAGCAAAACAGACAAAAAGAAAAAAAATCGCCGTCTCCGTTCCGAATTTGTTAAAAAAAAAAAAAAAAAAAAAAAAAAGGACAGGGGGAAAAAAAAAAAAAAAGAACTCCTGGAGAGGGAAATAGCAAATGTGTCTTGCCTTTTGTTGCTCTCTCTCTCTTTTTTTTTCTCTCGCTCTCTTTCTTTCTCTTCTTCTCTCTGTTTTTAAGTCAAGTATTGGTCAAAAAAATGCAATCTTCTGTTTTTTGTTCAGCAGACAATCATTTTCTTCGTAAGCACCTTTTTCTCTCCACTCTGTCACTGCCTGTGTGGGTACTGGTTATAAATGTGGAAAAAGAATAGTTATGACTGTAACAGATTTTTATTTTTATTTCAAAATTTTATATGAATTATGTATATCTTAATGATCGGTCATTTTCCCAGTTTGTAATATATGTGTAGAAATTGCCTGTATATGATATTGCTTTTTCTCCTCTCCCTTTCTCTTTCTCTCCTCTCCCTCTCTCTGTCTTTCTCCCCGCTCAACTGTCTCTTTTCTTTTTGGGGTTCTCCTCCCACTCGGTGCTCCTGGTGTCGACTTGGCAGTCAAGGAGAGGCATGGTGGCCTGGGTTAGGAAGAGGGACCCTGTCGCTAGCAAAAGCGGAGAGTGAGATTGTAGTATTCTTATGCAAAAGCTATTTCCAGTATTTCTTAGCAGCTTCAGAGGTATCTCTCACTCCCTGTAGGGCGCTTTTACTGTTATCTTAAACTGCGTGTTTATCTATATGTAAAAACTTTCTAAAGCAAATACAGTATTCTCCATTTTCTTATCACTCCCAGAGACTGGTGTTTTTGTCTGCCCCTGGCCCGCAGCCGCGGGGTGCTCGGCCTTCACTTCCACTCCTGCTCACCTGAGCCGGGGCAGAATTTCAAGGCTGGATCTCAGCATTTTTTTTCCCCCCTGAGGGCATTGGGAAGACCAGAACAGGCCCTCCGGAAAAGAGCCAAAGCTGGATCCTGAGCAAAAAGGCAAAGATGGTTCAAGGGTTGGGAGCGGGAGGCTACCGCCAGTTTCTTCAGAGTCAGAAGCTAGGCCCACTTCACCACAGTATGCATTCAGCCGGAATTGTAGCCTGCCAAGACCCTGTGGGTCCTTGGGGGTGTGCTGGGCGTCTTTCAGTTGTTGTTGCTTTGTTTTTTAAAAGGAAAAACATACAAGGCCGCCAAACCCCAGCATCCATCCCGAGTAGAGCTGACAGGTTTTGTCTTCTTTTTGGGGGGTGGGGTGGTGGTGAGGACAGTGGCCTGAGTGGGGAAGGCAGGAGGAGTGAGGGAGGAGGTCGCTTGCAGAGTTTAGGGTCTAGAATCAGGATGGACTCCCCTCCTCACCTCCTGAGTGTGTGTCTATGTGACAGTGTGATTTGCCTTACGGCTCTCGATCTGTCTCCCTGAAATTTCTTCCCATCTCTGGGGTTCAGCTGGAGTCTCTCGAGCCCCTAAGACATTTCAGAGTTGGTTTACACTTTAAAATGAAAACAAAAAAGTCACCACCTCTTACTAACCATGTTCCCACTGGCCCCAAGGCCTCCATGCCCTGGCCGGGGCCCCCACAATTCCCTGGGATGGCTTGGCTGGCCGTGCATCTGCCGCTCTGGGCCAGGGTGGCCTGCACCCAAGGAGGAGCAAAAGGGGTAATTTCAGAAAACTTGCTTTTACTTGAAAGTCCAATTTCCAAAGCAAGGAGGATTGGGGGAAACATGCCTGGAATTTTGCATCCGTTTCCAAACTAATTTTGACTTCCGATTTCCTTTTGTCCCCATCCCCAGCAGCACCAGCACCAGGGGGTTTAGGAGGGCCAGGCTGGGCAGAGAGGCTGTCTGGCCCAGAGGTGCCCTGAGTGTTCCAGTGGGACCTTGCATGTCCAGGGCGTGCATTTGCCAGGCAGGGAAGGTTCCTGAGTGCGCCCCTACTTAGAACCAGAGCATCCAGCTGACCTCCAGAGCTCCCAAGTTCTGTGGCCTGGCACATGGTGTCAGAATCTCTGTGTGTGTTCACTGCTCGGGAAAATATTCCTTGTCCTGCCACATTTCAGGCAATATCGACCAGGTGGTAGGAATTTGGGAAAAGGACTGCCTGGATTCTACCCAACTTGAGCCTCTGTTCTGGGATGAGGAGCTCTGTCACCCACCTTTGCTTTTAGATAATCAGTCACATACTTGACACAGAGCTTGGGCCTGGAAACCCAAAGAAGTGCCTGCCTCAGTGTGGAGAGTCTGGATGGACACTGCTCAGCCAACTGACCAGAATTGACGGATGAAAGGCAAGAAGTTGCTCTGCTGGAGGGTGACTCCTGGAAGGGCCTGCCTAGATAGAGGACATCAAGGAGCAGGTGCCTTTTTGTCTAGGGGACAGGAGACAAACCTGGAAGTTAAAATGATTTCCTATCTCAACACACGGTGCAGAGAAAGCAGATTTGGGGCATCCAGTGCCCACTCCTTCTGTATTGCAGAAAACTGTCCATCAGACTCCACAGCAGCCTTTAGCTTTGGAGGGCCTGGGCCTTACTGGGTGTCAGCAGCCTGTTGTCTATCTGTCTATCCTGCTATCTATCATGTATCACTCTCTCATCTCCTGTGTTTCCATCCAGGTCTGCACGAATACCAATACTCTATGCTTTGTACTTTCTGACCTTACATATAGGTTCCCTGCAGGAAGGACATGTGTGTTTGTTGTGGGTGTGTAGATGTGTGCAATTCTGGATGCTGGGCTTTCAACCCTCAGTCAAGGTCTGAGGGCATACAAAAGGATGTGTGTGTGTGATGTTTGGTATAAATGTGTGTACAGTGCATTGGTGTGTGTCCAGTATGTTTTCATGTATACTGCATAGCACAGGTATTTGTGTATGGCTTAGCCAGTTTCTCTGTCCTTAGTTCTGCAAGGAGTGCATATTGGGGGGCTCCAATACACCTACAAGGTACTTGGGCATGTGTCTTGTGGGTCTTGGGTCTAGTGTAGACATGTGTGTGTTCCCTTGTTCTAGGCACTCCCTAGATATGACTGCCAGGCTGCCCACCTCTAACAGGTCTTCCTGTCCCTTTAAGACTTAAGGGATCTCAATGGGTATTCATTGGCTGGAGGGCAGAAGGGGATTGGGCTCTTTGGCTATCCCAGTCCATCCTTTATTCTGTTTGATTTACTGGGGATATTGTGGTTGATTCGGCCTTTGCCCCTTTAAACATCGGAGTGAGAGAATAGAGGCCCCTTTCTGGCCAGATCTTGCCTTTTACCAGCTGCTGGCCTAGGCCTAGTCTTTTCTGGGCCCCTCAAAGCCCTGGCCAAAGCGGTCAACACCCTACGGGCCACTCAGACAGAGCTTGAGGGCAAGGCCAGGCTGAAGTTCCACCTGCAGAAAGCCATCTCAGTCACTGCACAGCCCCCACCTCCTGGGAATGCTGCAGGTTGTGCCTCGGCCAGGAGAATGTGTGCATTGGTGTGTGCTCTCTCGTGGGTCTTGTGAGCCTGGGTCAGACCCAATATGCAGGCCTAAGTGCTAACCATCTGTCCCCTATGTCTGGGCCATGCAGCAGCCAGTAGGCTGGCTCCTCTGCTTCTGGCGTTCCAGTGAGTCCGCACCCACTACCCTGCACGCAGCACACTTCCGCCTGGCATCCCAGCGGAGTGTTCTGGCTCGGAGCCTTCCCTGTGTGCTTAGACCTCCTGTGTACCTCAGTCACTTACCGTAAGTTTCCAGAGGCTTGAGGAATAATAGCCAACTTGGCTATTTTCTCAAAGAAAAATAATGACAATCCAAGATTTGCATTGGAAACCTGAACAGGCAGAATGGGGTGTGAAACTGGGCAAATCTGTATCAAAGCCTTGACCCCTAGATGTGCCTGCCTGAGGGAAGAGGCCCGTCTACCCCTTCTGGCCTGCTCACTCTCTCCGCACCCAGCCCTCTTCCGTCCCTGCCCCTAGCCCTGGCCCTGAGCCCCCCACCTGGCCTCTCTTCTTGCCCTCCTTGAATCCTGCGGAATCGACTGCCCAGTGCCAGTGCAGTTGATTATCCCCGGCGAGACACACAACTGATTAAAATGAAATGACCCGGAAGCTGCCACGGCGCGGGGCGGAGATGCCGATCAATAGTGGGGCTGGAGGCACGAGTCTGGCCAGTCCCGGCTGGGAATGGGGTTGAAGACGAAGGGCCCAGCCTGGGGGTGCCTGAGACTTTGGGCGGGGAGACGGTTCAGTGAGGCAGCGGGAAGGCCCTTGCCTGGGCTTGCCGAGGGGGCTGTGATGGTGGAGTGGCCCCCAGGTTCTTCTGCAAGGAGAATAGGACAGCCTGGTACATTCTCGACCCAGCGCATCACCCGGGACCCCGGAGCTCGAAGTCCATTCCCAGGCCTGTGGCGCACTGGATGCACTCGGCGTCTTGGAGCAGTCTCTTCTCCCTCTCTTCTTCCTCTGCCTCCGTGGCCCTGTCAGTCCCGCCTAAGCCTTTGTGTGGCCGTCACCTGGAGCACCGGCTGTGCCTCAGGGACTTTCCCGGGCCTTCCCCTTGTCCTCTCTGTCCCCCAGCGCTGGAGCTGAGATGCCCGGCCCGCGGGACGCTCGACCCCCTGGTACGCGCGCTGAGGCCCCCACGGCTTCCCACCGCTCCGGCCCTTTCCGGCCCCAGCTGAGCTGAAGCTCCCTGGCCCCAGTGTGCGGGCCCCGGTGGCCGTCTGGCCCGAGGGAGGGCGGGGGCAGGCGAGAGGGAGCCATGGAGGAGGGGAGCAGTACTAGCCCGGCTCCAATTTCTCCGGTCAGCTGAGCACAACTTTCCATTCGAGTGTATTCATGCAGCGGCTGATTGAGCTCCACTGTGCCGGGCGGGGCTCGGCGGGAGCGGGCAGGAACAGCCAGGCTGACAGAGGCTACACACACACACACACACACACACACACACACACACACACACACACACGTATGTGCAATTCATCTCATCTACATAAACATGCCCTCTATGTTATATCACACCTCACCTCCAGCCGTGCCATCATAAACACAGCCGAGCCCCTTCCCTCAGGCACCTACCTGCCCTCAGAGCAGTTTCCCAGCACCCATAGACCTGCTTCTCTACACAACATAAGGCCTGCCTTTCTGATTTTCCCCTTATGGATTCTACACCGGTCCTCAGATACAAACACAAGAATCCTTCATCTGCCTTTCCTGCAGGCACACTCTCCAGGATGCATGCACTCCAAATCTGTACAGTCGCACGCACAAAATGCCCAGGCTCACAATCGCACCCTCCTACAGAGCTACCCAGATTCACACAATAGAAATACACATCTGCATAAAATGGCATTAGCACCAATAGACATTTAGTGCACAGCCTGTTGTAAGTACACAGTGTGCTGGGGCTAACCAAAAGTTTAAACACAAGAAAGGGAGAAAATGAACAATAAATCCAGTCAGAGAACACAGCCACTACACAGTCACCATGACAAACACACAGAGGAAACCTTCGGGCACACACACATACCTGTGAGCCAACCCAGAGACATAAGACATGCCACCCAGAGGCATGCCAACCTCCAAACCACAGAGCTTGACTCTAGGGACTCACAGACCACCCATTCATTGCACGCACACACACACACACACACACACACACACACAAACACACACACACACACTAGGCTAGGGCCCAAAGAAGATAGGTAGGGAACTAGATAAGCACCTTGAGAGAAGCATGCCTGCTGTTGGGAGTGAGCAGGTAAACAGAGGCCTCTGTGTTACAATCCACCCCTAAACGCCCATGTTATGCTGTTCTGCAGAGCAAGAAGGGAGAGTGAAGAAGAGGGCTATAAATTATAGAGTGAGGATAAAGGCAAAAGGAAAAGGGAGAGAAAGGAGAGGGAGTTGAAACAAAAAGTGAGGAGAGGAGAGAACAGGGAAGGGGCGGGAGCCGGAAGGGTCTGAGGGAAGATGGGGAGCAGCTTCCCAGGCTTAAGCAGGGGGAGGGCCAAGGCTGGTTGGGGAGAGGGTGCCATTGCAGCAGGAGAGCAATTCCTTCTCCAAGAAAGCGCCTAGGGGAGCACGTTGACTTGTGGCCGGCTGGACTTGGGAAGTGGGACGAATACTGGGGGTGCACAGCAGTTTGGGGCCCAACAGCACCCATTCCCCTTGTGGGCTGGGGAGGTCATGCAGCTTCCTCTGCCCAGAAGAGGCCCACCCAAGAAAGCACCCACCTTCCCATGCCTCCCTTCCCTGGACTCAGGGGCAGCTTTTCCCCTCACACTACACACTCTTAGAGATGCCCCCAATATGATTCCATTCGTAAGACACACACAGTCACTGCTCTGCATGCACACACACACACACACACACACACCCCTCTGCCTTCTACAGTGGGCATAGGCAACCACCCACTTCTGCTCAGGGATGCCGCAAGGGACAGAAGCATATCTCCACTCCTAGCAACGACTCCCCACTTTTTACAAATAAAACCACGACTCTAACTGGTTTCTACACACACTCTTTTTGGAAAAGAAAAGGGCTTTAACCTGCAGGAGTCTAACCCGTCAAGACGTCGAGGACCTTTACAGAATGTGCTGGCAAGAAAGGAGAGCACAGGCAAGTCACACACACATGCATGTGCCAGGCTCTGCCTACACTCCAGCCCCGCCAGGCTGCTCACGGCAGGCTCAGTCAGGGTGGAGGCCCTCTCTGCCTGAGGATGGAAATGGCTGTGTGGCTGGAGGAGCTACAGACCAGCCAGGCACTGGCTGTTCTCTATCTTTTATTTTTTATTTTTATTTTTTTCTGAAAAGATGAGGCTTGGCAGGAGGGGCGAGTTCCCTGGGGACTTCTCGGATCCCTGCAGGCAGGAAGAGTGTGCGGGGCCCAGGAACCGAAACAGGAGGTCCGAGGGACCAAGGCAGGGTCCAGACGTGAGGGGGAGCGCGGCGGGGCGTGGGGGACGCGGCCCCCGGGGCAGGGGTCCGGGATCTGCGGACGTGGCCCGGTGGGGAGCGCGCCCCTTGGTCCCCGCTCCGCCCTCCGGCCTTCGCGGCGCTCTCTCGCTGGGCCTTTGTCCCCACCTCTCAGGCTCGGACTCCGTCTTTCTTCTTTCAGGCCGCTGGGAGGCGCTGTGGCCGAAGCCCCGGCCTCTCCCAGCCTGATGCCCTGGTCCTGCAGCCGCGCCGTCTTTCTCCGCACCCGGTTCCCGCGGGGCTGGGCTGCCTCAGGCGATGGCCCGGCCTGTGGCTGGGCCCGCACTGCCTTTGGTTTGTTGGATTTTGCGATATTTACCATAATAATTAATTTGCCGCCATTCAACAGAATATCTTAGCAAGGCCCCTTAACGACTGGAAGCGCTGCTAATTCCCTGCGTATGCGCCTCTCCCTCTGCAGCCCGGGACAGGCGCAGCCGCCTTTTGCCTGCCCCTACCTCGCCCGGGACACACTGGCGCCGCCTGGCCAGGCCCGACTGGGAGGAAGGACAGAGGACCGACGGACACTTGTACATGTGCGGGCGCACGGAACCCAGGCCCCGGCCACCGCTGCCTTTCCCCTGTGTGTCTGAGCTGAAGCGGCTACGCTTATACCGGGAGGTGAAACGGAAGCTCAGAGAGGGCCATAATTTGGCCACTGTCACACAGCCAACCTCCACCTTCACCCGGCTACACCAACACACTCGATGACCTTCTCTGTCTTCCTCGCCGTGCGCTCCCGATAGCGGGGGAAATACTTTTCTGAGACGCCTCTCTGGGCACGCAAGATGAGGCAAAAGCGGGAGAAGGGAGTGGGATAGGACCGGGAGCGGGCGGCCCTGGGCTCTGCCCTTCTGGGCGCGCCATCGCTCCCGCCACCTGCACTAGGACTTTGCAGGAACGCGCCTCCTACGCGCTGCCTAGGAGGACCAGACGCGAGACAAGCGCTCAGCAAGCAGCTACGTGCAGGCAGACCTACCAAGCCAGGAGAAAGAGCGGGGATTTCAGGGGCCTCCGCTCCCACAGCGGACCGGCCTCCGCTTAAACCACCAGCACTTCCCAGTGGGCCTGGGAATCGAGGATGTGAAGTGTGTGGATACATGTGAACGTTGTTGAGTGTGCAGTGAGACTGTTGTGCAGATTCTCATGAATTGCAAGAGAAATATTTACCTTGTGCGGGTGACAAGTCTACCTGCAGATGAGCCCGGGGGCTTGTCCAGTGCTTGTGAGCATGATGCAGAAATATCAACTAAGTTCTCGAAGAATGGAGGGGAGAGGGACAAGCACAATTGAGCCCTGTCCTCAAGTTTCTCACGATCCAGTAGGAGGGACAGTTGAGGTCACCACTTAAAAACAAACCAACCCCGTGGAGTTGCACACAGTGTTTCCCGGAGTGTCAACTTCGCAATTAATTACTACAACTTTGGCGGTGGGGATAGAGAGGGCTTCTCTGAGTTCTCTGAGCAGATGGCACTGACCCAGAAGGATGAATCGGATTGAGTGGAGGAGATTCTAGGCAGGAATGGCAGGTGGGAAGGCATGGAGGAGGTGTCAGGTCCAGTGGGGAGCAGTGCAGTGTGGCTGGCCCGCCGGGAGTACTGTAGTGTGGGGCCCATGGGTTTTTGAGAGGTTGGTAATTGATTCTGAGGGAAGAGGGAGTAGGGATTAATTACAAGATCAGGCAAGTTGTGTGGCCTTGATCCCATGGGTACTGGGGAGCCAAATAAAACTGTATGAAAGTGGCTGGGCGCGGTGGCTCACGCCTGTAATCCCAGGACTTTGGGAGGCCGAGGCGGGCGGATTACGTGGTCAGGAGATCGAGCCCATCCTGACCAACATGGTGAAACCCCGTCTCTACTAAAAATACAAAAATTAGCTGGGGGTGGTGGCACATGCCTGTAATCCCAGCCACTCGGGAGGCTGAGGCACAAGAAGCACTTGAACCCAGGAGGCGGAGGTTGCAGTGAGCTGAGATTGCCGCACTGCACTCCAGCCTGGAGACAGAGGGAGACTCCGTCTCAAAACAGTCAAACAAACAAACAAACAGACAAACAAAAAAACTGTATGAAAGCTTAAGTGGTAATATCCAGTGTCCTGCTTAAGGACTGTAGTCGGGGGCAGTGAGGCTGTAGACAGGAAGGCCCCTAGGAAACTATTCCAATAGGCAGGACTGAGCTAAGACGCCAGAATGGGTTAAAGGCATTTCCAAGGAGGAATGGTGAGGACTTGATGACCAGCTGCAGACCTTATAGGCTGCCCTCCGACCTTCAGCTTCCTGTGCGCTCACAATTCACGTGCTCACACGTGCTCCTTAGAGGGGTCTGTCGGTGGACGCCGCGAACCAATCAAACCCTTGCACTTTGTTCCAAAACCCATTCCCTACCAGAATGGGAGTCCTGTAGGGCCAGGTCTCCTCCCATACCCACCCATTTCGGCCTTTGTTCTACTGCACAATAACAGCTGGCACTGGGGTGCGGGAGGACGGTGAAAGCTCGAGTCCCAGGCTCCAAATCCTCCAGGAGTAACTGGGGTGACCCGAGGAGAGCAGCGCACTGGGTGAGTGGAAGCGTGGCCCGTGAGAAGGGTACCGAGGGTCAGAAGTGTCGCAAGGGACCCAGGACGCGCGCGCCTCCGAACCCCTGAGTCTTCGCAGGCTCTGCGAAACTTCAGTGCGCGCAGCCTCCTGCACACCGTTTTCGCGCGACCTCCTTGCCTCGGTCTCCAGGGGTCAAGCCAACCCAGCGCGGGAATGTTCCATTTGCCCTTTTGGGACATTCAGAGAGGCTTTTCCGGGCTGCCGCGGCGCTTCCACGCAGAGGAGGCGTCGGCTTCCAGGCAGCTTGGCGATCTTGTTATTGGACACGCGAGAGTTTAGAGACCCAGAGAAATGGAGTGAGTCAAAGTCAAACTCAAGTTTCTCGGCCCCTAGTCCTGCGATTCTTCCATTGCACATTGCACCCCTGGGCCTTTCACATCTGCTCCTAGCGAGCTTGGAGTGTAGGTGCGACCAGGGCGCATCTGTGCCAGTGCGTGTCTGCGTGCGTGGCCTTTGGGTGACTCCACGCCCGCAACTGTCTCCGACTGTGTGGGCGCGTGTGTGGCAGGTACCCAGGAGCAGGACAGGGAGGGAAGCCTCAGCTTCCAGACCCGCTCTCGCGTGCTGGCGGGAGCGGTGGGTAGGAGCAGGAGGTATGTGGTGAAGGATGTAGGCGGACTAGGGCTCTGTCCCCGCAGAAGAGTCCAGGACGCAACCCCTCACGCCGGGCCAGCGGGGAGGCAGGAGTATGGTGGACCCGTTCCCCCAGGGATGGGAGAGCTGAGGAAGGCTGCAGGTCGGATAGCTAGATTCCATGATGCCCCCAAGAAGTTGCCAGACTCCAGTCTGGGAGCTCTCAAGAGCCAGAGACCCAGGGAAGTCCCCTCTTTGGCCTCCGAGGACCCCGAAGCCTGGCAGCAGTGCTCAGCCTTGGACCCCGCGGTTCCGCGGCCGGACGCCCCTCGCGCTGGCTGTGCGCACCCTGGCGCAAAGCACTGCAGGTTGGAGGCGGAAAGCAGCGCGCTCTGGGGCCACTGGCGGGTTTTTGCTGCCACCTCGCGGCGATGGTGCATAGCATGCGAACCCTCCGCACCGCGGGCCTTGGTAGTGCACGTGGGTGGTGTGGGGGGCCTTGCCCTGCCGCGCTGTCCTTTTCTGCTCGAGTTTTCGCAACACCTCTTCCACCGGGATAGCCTGCTTCTCCTCTTGAGGGACTGCGCGCTGTCTTATACCAAAGTCCACCATTTTGCGTGGGTAGGACCCTCCACCCTGGCCTGTGGGATTTGGAGTCACCTTTCTAGCTCCTTTCTCTTGCTTTACTACTTGATCCCGTGGCTGCCCACCTGGACTTGCAATAGGTCTCATGCTAATATTTCCCTTCTTCGGCACTATTAACTTCTTGTCTTGCAGATAGATGCCTCTAGGTCTCCTACAGCGGGAGTGTGGGGCTGTCTTCCATGGTGATAGGCTGTCTGGTGGGAAGCCATGCGGAGCTAGTACCCTCTCCTCTCCACAAGGGCTTGCTGAAGGCCTTCCATATGCCTGACGCTGCCACACCTTGGAGACAGCCAATGGCAGCCTAGACCCTGGCCCTGCGATTATAGTTTAGTGCAAGCAGAGAAACACAATACACAAATTATCATTGAAGCTGCCATATGGAGGTATGGACAAAGTGGGAGCCCGAGGAGGGCCTTTGAAACAAATCTTGATGGATAAGCATGAGTTTTCCAGGCCAGTGAGGAGGGAAGGACAGTCAAGGGACTGGGAAGTGTGTGTCCAAAGACACCTGGGTACAAAAGAGCATTGGGTGCTGAGAGGGACAGCTGTTTCCTGGGGTGCTCCACAGTCTGATGGTGAAGACATTGCTTTGCTCTGGACAGCATAGCCAGCCAGCTTGGGCGAATGTATTGATAAGAGTATCAAGTGTCAGCAGTGAAAGGAATATTTGGAATTGCTTCGTTTTCCATTTAAATAGACAAGGAAACCGAGATTCTGGCTAAGTCTCTGTCCTTAAGTACAAAGCTAGTTAGGTGGCCGATTGCTCTATAGAGTCCACCATGGTGCCTAAGGGAGGCTGCGTTCCAATGCCAGGTGGTCTGGAAAGAGGATGGTGGTGGTGGTGGTGGGGAGTGGTTAAGAGGAGCCATCACAGGCTCTTTTCCTTTTCTCAGCTACAGTTTTGCTTGCCTGCTTCTCTCTCAGGCAGCATAAATACTAACCATTACTCTCTTCTCTACAGATGCAATCATTCTAAAAGCTTTGGGGTTTTTTGTTTGTTTGGTATGTTTGCTGCCAAAACTATTTGGCAGCCAAACCTGACCTAAACAGTATGAAGCTATTTATAGTCTTTATTTATCCTGCTTGTCATAGATATCAGATGTTTCACTGCAGAAATGCTGATGTGTTGGATTACAGGTACTGCTCTGGACCCCCTTGGGTGGTGTTATGTAATACAGAATATACGGACCATTATAGGTACCTTTCTGAAATCTCCAAAACTATGAATTTCCCAGGGTTTTTGGAAACGGTTTGCGGTCCTTTGGGATTGAGCCTGGATTGTCTTATGATAAAGAGGTTCATGGTGGGAGAGGAAGTCAGGAGAGACTGGGAATTTAAACAACGTAATGAGACAAACCATGATTGGTAGTTTGCAGGAAGAGTAGGTCAAGTTGGCTGTGGGACAGGGTCACAGGGCCAGCCCAGCAAAGCTGCTGGCATCCTGGAGGGCCTCAGGGGCTAGGGTCTTAAATTTCTTTTTTTCCTTTGAGACAGGGCCTCGCTCTGTCACCCAGGCTGCAGTGCAGTTGCATTATCATGGCTCACTGCAGCCTCACCCTTCAGGGCTCAAGCAGTCCTCCCACCTCAGCCTCCTGAGTAGCTGGGACAAAAGGTGCACACCACCATGCCCAGCTAATTTTTGTATTTTTTTAAGAGACAGGGTTTCACTATGTTGCACAAGCTGGTCTCAAACTCCTGGGCTCAAGTAGTCTTCCCACCTTGGCCTTCCAAAGTGCTGGGATTACAGACGTAAGCCACCGCACCCAGCCCTTAGATTTCTACACAAGCTGGAGAAGGTAGATAAGATCCTGGCTCCAGGCATTTTTTTCATGGCCGTTCTCTCCCAGAGTCAGACTCTCCCCTTGATGCCAGAATTCTCCCTTTCTCCAGACCCAGGGAACACCTAACTCCACCTCTCCGGGTCAGTCAGGTAGGGGCAGCCAGATGCTCACCCTATCCCCTGGATGTCCTGGGGGAAAATCCGTCTCTATCATAAAGCCATAGTAAGTGCCTAAAATGTGAAAACTTTACATGAGAAAGACAGCTGCGAAGGAGAAAGAAAGTGAAAATTTATGACTGAATGCTTTCTAGGCATCCAGCCATGTCCTAGGTTCTTACACCAGCTTATTTTTTTTTTCATCCTTGCAGCATCCTGGGAGATCAGTATTTTCATCCTCATTTTTATAGTTGAGGGAATTGAGGGCCTGAGGTTATAGGATTCTTGCTAGTCCTCTTTCTCCCCCTGAAGTCCCCCTGCAATAGGGTAAGAAGTTCTAGTCCAAGCTTTCCTCTCTTCCATCTTCCAGGAAAGCGGAGAGACTGGAGCCCTGGTAGTGTGTGTTGGAGGGGAGAATGTGGGTCCCTTGGAAGGGAGTGGCTGGGGGCCCTGAGCTCTGGGGGATAATCCAGGCCAACCCTGTGGTGCTCCTTTCCCAAAGCTCCATCAGAGACAAATAGAATTGTGACATATCCCCTTGTCCCTCCAGGGAAGGCTGCTCCCTCCTCAGTGGGTGTCACCTCCGTCTGCAGCTGTTTAGCTCTTCCTTCTGTGTCAACACTCCCCCCTTGTCTCTTTGTGAGAACTTCGGTTGTATTGTTGTTATTCTTGTTGTTGTTTTTGAGATGGAGTCTCCCTCTGATGGAGTCTCCTTCCATCACCCAGGCTGGAGTGCAGTGGCTCCATCTCAGCTCACTGCAACCTCTGCCTCCTGGGTTCAAGTGATTCTCCTTCCTCAGCCTCTTCAATAGCTGGGACTACAGGTGCACACCACCACGCCCAGCTTATTTATTTATTTATTTTTATTTTTAGTAGAAACAGGGTTTCAGCATATTGGCCAGGCTGGTCTTGAACTCCTGACCTTAAGTGATCTGCCTGCCTTGGCCTCCCAAAGTGCTGGGATTACAGGCATGAGCCACCGTGCCCGGCCGGCTGTATTGTTTTCTATGTTTATTTAAAACTAAAAACTTGCAATGATGCGAGTTTGGAACTGCATGCCCCAGGAACATCTGGGCTCCTGAGTCACTGGAGAACAGCTTAGAGACAGGGTGGGGACAGTAAGCTAAGCTGGGAAGAGTGACTCAGAGATACCAGAGTCATCATGACCTGTCCAGAAGCAGAGGAAACAGCGACCCTGCAGATGGGCCAGAAGGAGCTGGGATTTTTCAAGTAGCAGGAGAAAGGATGCACCTCAGGTGGTGGGGGAAGTGACAGTGCAGAAAATGGTGCCCTCATGGAGCTATCCTGGCCAGCAGAGAGCCCCAGACCACATTCTGCCTGGCTTTACTGTGATTGCAGTGCATGGCTTATTTCTCCTGCTAGACAGGGTATGGGGCTGTGTTAAATGCACCTTTTGTATTGCCCACAGCACCTAACACAAAGCCAGACTCTGTTGATTGGATGGGTGAGTGAATGAAAAAGTACCATAGGCTTAAAAACCAGGCAGTGCCGGGTGCGGTGGCTCATGCCTGTAATCCCAGCACTTTGGGAGGCCGAGGTGGGCGGATCACGAGGTCAGGAGATGGAGACCATCCTGGCTAAAATGGTGAAACCCTGTCTCTCCTAAAAATACAAAAAAATTAGCCGGGCGTGGTGGCATGTGCCTATAGTCCCAGCTACTTGGGAAGTTGAGGCAGGAGAATCGCTTGAACTCAGGAGTTGGAGGTTGCAGTGAGCCAAGATCGTGCCACTGCACTCCAGCCTGGGCGACAGAGTGAGACTCCATCTCAAAAACAAAACAAAACAAAACAAAAAAACAGGCATTACCAGCCTGCCACAGAATATGCCTAGAGAAATCTACAGGTGACCCTGATGGGGCATGCAGAACCCAGAGCCGTGGAAATCACCTAAAAGGAGGGGACCACCTAAAAGGAGGGGACAGGAGAGCATCTGAGCAGACTGTCTGTTGCCTGGAGCAACAGGAGGACTCTCTGGGGTCAGCTGAAAGGGAAGCAGTCAGGGGACTTGCAAGGGGGGAGTACCACTCGGGCAAGGGCAGGAGAATAACAGGCGGTGCCCTGGAGGAACACTGCATGCTGCTGAGGAAGGAGGGCGGCCTTGGCGATGATGTCACCATGAAGCACTTGGAATTGAGACAGAACATTCTCACTTGGGGTCAGTTTGTACCCTCGTACTGAAAGTTACTCCCTGGTGCTATCTGTACTCATCATATTTTGACACACTTTAGAGTAACCCTTCCATCTCTCCCTGCTTCTTTTTGAATTTAAACATCAAGCATTTGAACACAAGTCTTCATGTCCATTTATCTCAGTGTAAAGAGGAACAACTGGGCTGGGCGTGGTGGCTCATGCCCTCTCTTGGTACTTGATATAGTCAGTTGCCTGACTGCAAACCCAGGCCTACCCTGGGTAGAAAGAAAAGGGAGTTGTGACAGTTGCCAGGAAGATTTCTCTGTGGAAGCAGCTGGTGTTTTTCTGAGTGGAAACTTTGTGGAGGGAACTAGCATTTAATTAAAAAACAGGCTGGGCGCAGTGCCTTACACCTGTAATCCCAGCACTTTGGGAGGCCGAGGCGGGTGGATCACTTGAGGTCAGGAATTCGAGACCAGCCTGGCCAGTATGGCGAAACCCCATCTCCAATAAAAATACAAAAAATTAGCCAGGTTTAGTGGCCGGCACCTGTAATCCCAGCTACTTAGGAGGCTGAGGCAGGAGAATTGCTTGAACCTGGGAGGCGGAGGTTGCAGTGAGCCAAGATCGGGCCACTGCACTATAGCCTGGGCAACAGAGTGAGACTCCATCTCAAAAAAAAAAAAAAAAGGAATAACTGATGGGATCACGTTGACTTTCCCATTCTCTCCTCATAGACATGTGCTCAACAACTGCCTCTAGAGAGGAAGCAGGCCTGGTGGTGGCAGCTGTGGAGTAGGGACACGGTGGCTGGGATGGGGGTGGAGTTAGGGAGTGGGAAGCCGGGGGTCTATCTCCTGCCCATGGGCTTTTCCTATCTAGCCACATGGTAGATGAGCCCGTGCTCCTGGCCAGTTCTGCCCTCCTTGCCTCCATTTCATTTCAGGATTCCTGGCCACTCTCTCTGGTTGCCAGCCCAGCACCAAGCCTCCCAGACATTGATTCTCTGCTGCTCTGTGGCATAGAAGACTACAGTGATGGGCTCTGCAGACTTCACCTTGGAGTCCCCCTTTCATCCCTGCTCATTAGTCTCCTCCTCGGTTGTTTGGTTGAATGTTTCCTAATGCCAAGGGGTAGGGGCAACGTATGATATCTTCACTTTTTTACATCTCAGCATGACCCTGGCTTCCCCTCCTTCCTCCTTCCTGCTGCCTTGCCTTTTTACCCATCTACCTCCTGCTCACAGGATGGACACTGCCTTGTCCCTAGCAGCTCCAGCAGCTCCCTTCTCCAAATGCCCCCCTTCTCTAGGTGGCCCTTTCCGTCATGTCCTGGCCTTTGGATGTTGGTTCCCATAATGCAGATGAGAAGGTGGAGGCAGAGAGAGGGGAAGAAGCCGGCCAAGGCTGAACACTGAAGCACCCTCAGGGCCAAGGCAGGCATTCTCCTGCTGGATCGAAGGGCCCCTGGGAGACCCAGGATGCCCATGAAGAAGGTTCCCATCCCTGGGGCCCTGCTAAAGCTTCCCAGTGGGGGCCACATGTCTCCCACACTTCTAGGGCAGTGTTTCCCAAACTTACCTGACCATGAGGGGCACCTGAGGCTCTTGTCAAACGGTCACAGTTCTGAGTCCTTATTGCATTGGAATCCCCAGGTGCTGGAGGTGATTCTTATGAATAGGCAGGATGGGAAAATACTGCCTGATGGCCTTGTTCCTCAGTGCAAGGGTGAGGGAGGGGTCCTAGCAGCGCTAGTACCTCTTGGGGACTCGTTAGAAACGCATTTTAGAGTTTGAGACCAGCCTGGCCAACGTGGTGAAACTCTGTCTCTACTAAAAATACAAAAATTACCAGCATGGTGGTGCTGGCCTGTAGTCCCAGCTACTTGGGAGACTGAGGCAGGAGAATTGCTTGAACCTGGGAAGCAGAGGCTGCAGTGAGCCAAGATTGTGCCACTGCACTCCAGCCTGGGTGATGACTCCATCTCAAAAAAAAAAGAAAAAGAAAAAAGAAAAAGAAAAATGCATTTTAACAAGATCCCAGGTGTTTTGTAGGCACAGGGGTGTCTCTGGGTTGGAAATTCTTCAAGGTGACACCTTGTGTCAGGGAGAAATGCAGGCCTTGTAACCTTGGTCCTGTCATTTCAGCAATCTGAGCTCTGGTCTTGCTCCTCTGTGAACTGGTGGTGACAACAGCTGGGCACTGGTTGTGATGACCAGATTGGATGTGGGGCTGGAAACATATCACCAAGTTTAGAAATGTGGTCTGCCCCTGGTGTCTGGCCCTTGTCCTTGGCAGCTGCTCATTTCACTGTGGCCACCCCAGGACTCCCTATCCCATCTGTCTTCTCACAGGTGCTGCCCTCCCTGCCAGCCCCGGCCGCAGTGGGGCTCTTCGACTCTTGCAGGTAAACTCTTGAGAAGATGGCCAGCCTCTGGGGGGGGTCTCCGCCTTGGCCACAACCACAGCCCCTCCTTCCTACCCCCACCTCTGGTCATGGAAACCAGACGCCCCAGTCACTCAATGGACAGATGCTGAAGAACTTGGAGAATAATCACAGACAGAGCCCCCTTCCCAGAGGGACAGACCCATTGCCAAGGCCTCAGCCCAGAGGGACTGTGCTGGTCCCAGAAACAGCCCACATAGAAATGGTTTGGACGATTGGCTGGCCTTGTAAGGGTGGCTGGACGGGGGCCAGCTGGTAAAACATCGCGGTGGTGAGGAAAGGTGCCTGGAGCTAATGTGTATAGATAGGAGTATCATTGTGCCACCGGGCCAGGCATTCCCCACCCAGCTGACCTGATTATGGATGGAGGACAAGATGCTGCTGCTGCCAGCTTCCCCAGACCCCCAGACCATGCAGCACTTCCTGGCCTCAGACAGTTCCTCCTCTATGAAGATTTGTCCAATCAGAGCAGCCACAGGCTGCCCCAGCCTCTCTGTATTCACATCCTGGACCTTCCTGGCCTGACACCCTCAATTTTATACTGCATCTTGTTTGCTTCCATAAATGTCATCCTGTGTGTCAGATCACATGTCCCCCTTTTTTTGGTCTCAGAAAATAAGATTGTTATATTTACATTACTTCATTGAGTTTTATTTTGTGGAAGGCAGAGGGAGAGCGTAAGTAATGAGTTTGTTGTGTCTTGCTTTCCAACCCATTGTAGATTTCCTATTTTTTCTTTCCTGTTGTAAATGTTAATCAATCAATCTACAATCATGTATAATAATAATGCTTATACTTTCGGTTAGTGGCTCTGAGTTCTACTGACTTAAGTCCCATACACCCACCAGCCTGGAATTCCTTCCAGTGGGGCTACCCCACAGCTTTCTGGGGCACAGCCTTGCTTTCTCTCACAGTCTGGTCACTGTTGAAAAAAGCCGACATTGTCTTCTTGATTCAAATAGGCCTTCTGGAAAACATTATTCTGAACAATCTCACAAAGATCTATAAAGAGTTTTCTTTCTTTCTTTCTTTTTCTTTCCTTCTTTCTTTCTCTTTCTTTCTTTCTTTCTTTCTTTCTTTCTTTCTTTCTTTCTTTCTTTCTTTCTTTCTTTCTTTCTTTCTTTCTTTCTTTCTTTCTTTTCTGAGTTGGATTATCTTTCTGTCACCCAGGCTGGAGTGCAGTGGCATGATCTTGGCTTACTGCAACCTCCACTTCCCGGGTTAAAGTGATCCTCCTGCCTCAGCCTCCCAAGTAGCTGGGACTAGTGTGCCCACCACCATGCCTGGCTAATTTCTGTATTTTTAGTAGAGATGGGGTTTCATCATGTTGGCCAGACTAGTCTTGAACTCCTGGCCTTAAGTAATTCACCCGCTTCAGCCTCCCAAAGTGCTGGAATTACAGGCATGAGCCACCGCACCCAGCCAAGTGTTTTCAAAAATTGTGAACCAAACACCCAGCACCTTAAAGTATGTGAGAAGTTTAACATTCCACAATTAGACCACTTGATCTCCACAAGGGGGATACTGTGATCCCAGGAGAGCCTTGCCCGGGAAGCCTGGATTGTTCTAAAGCTTGGAAGTGACATCCCAGGTCCACACTGTAGGTTTCCTCTCAGCTCTGGGTCTGGGGGCCTTTGTCATGGCTGCAACTTGCAGAGAGGTGTCTTAGGACTGGGATGCCGCTGGCTGAGGCCCTCTTGAGGGTCCTTTTTCCCTTTCTACAGCCACATATTGGATTCTCTTATCGGAGCTTGGCAAGCTCTTCCCAGGGGATTTGCTGTTCCTGGCTACTTCCTCTCTTCCTCCTCTCCCCTTCCTTCTTAAGTCCCCACCCTCTTCATCTTCCTCTTTTCCCTTCTTCTCCCTTTTCTTTTCTTTCTTTTTTTGAGATGGAGTCTCGCTCTGTCGCCCAGGCTGGAGTGCAGTGGCATGATCTCGGCTCACTGCAACCTCCACCTCCTGGGTTTGAATGATTTTCCTGCCTCAGTCTCCTGAGTAGCTGGGATTATGGGCACACACCACCAGGCCCAGTTAATTTTTTTTTTTTTTTTTTTTTTTAGTAGAGATGGGATTTCACCATGTTGGCCAGGCTGGTCTCAAACTCCTGACCTCAGGTGATCCACCCACGTCGGCCTCCCAAAGTGTTGGGATTACAGGCATGAGCCACCAAACCTGGTGTTCTTCCCCCTTTTCTTGCCCTTCCCTCATCTGCCTTTCTGGACAGCCCCGCCCAGTGTTCCCTCTCCCTGGGGTCTGTGTTCCGTGTGACAGCCCCCTGCAGGTGGAGGAGCCAGCTCCCCATGTCCTTGCCTCCCCAGTGCTCCAGCCTCCCTGCCTGGCTCAGCCGCCTCGGCAGATGCAGGCACCCCCTGCATTGTTTGCTGTCCTGAAGACGAGCAGCTGCCGCACTAATTGCCACCAGCAGGGGGGCCGGGCTGTGCTCGCACTCCTCCTGCCGATTAGGGGGCGACAGGGGGGCGGTGGGGGGGGGGGCAGTTTTCAGGAGCCGAATGAGCTGAGCCAGTGTTGAGCATTATTCCAGGAATTTTAAACACTCGTTAAAGGCTTTGCCATGTCTCACTTCAGTACACATCATGCTCCAGTTACTGCTGGGAACTGCGGGGGCATCAGCCCGGGCAGCACTTATCAATATTTTAGCACGAGAAAGGCAAATGATGTTGAAACATTGAACTATATTTCCATCTGTTCAAACTGAAATGGAACAAGCTTAGCTCAGGAAATGGAATCTCTCCTCCCCAGCTGCCTTGGAAGCAGCAATACCCACTGGCCTGGCCTTGGCCCTTGCCTCAGTTTCCCCTTCACCTCTCTTCTCGATTAGTCCCCAGTGTTCATAGCTTATGGGCATGATATTGAGCAGGTGTTAGGTTTGTGGGTAGAGCAGGAGTGGTGGCACCTCAAAGAACCTGAGAGGGACCCCCGTTCTTGTTAAAACGTGCCTTCCCCATTGACTGACAGAGAACAGTGGGGTCAAATGCGGTCTGTCTTAGTGCCAGGGGACATCCTCTCCATCCCCTGCACGGGCCTGTTTCAGTGTCTCTGGACTGTCCGTCCTGCAGGAAGACCCAGGATGGCTGGCTGGATGTGAAAAGGAAAGCACTGACCATATACAGGTGGACGAACACCGTAAATACCACACACAAATAAAGCATTTATGGTAGAACCCTGTTTCCCCTGGAACAAAACAGAATTTATTGGCAGGAAAGAAACTTAAGAAATATTGGCATTCAGTTGTCTGGGAAGAACAGAGAAGTTTCTACAGTGTGGAAAGCAGGGTGGCTGATGTGGGTGGAGATGAGTCATCTCATGTGATTTAGGGGAGAGCCCATGGGATGTCTCCTCCAGCAGGGCCCCCAAAAGGCCTGTGGTTAACAGTATTCAAGGAAGAAGGAACCCTTTTGTCCCCAGCCCTAAAGCAGAATGGGGGATTGCTTCTTCCCATTTCCCCTCAGACTGTCTTTTGGCAACCTCTCCCTTTGAGGCTGTTCAGTTTAATTTGGTTCATCTGCAGGGAAATAGGGGTGGGGTGGGTGAAGGGCATGTGGTAAGAGATGGGCCCAGAGCCTGCATTCCCCAAGACTCACCCTGCTAAGAGGGGTCCTGGGGACTGGTGTGGGGTATATACTTTTTGTTTCTGGCATCAACTGAAGAATAATTGCAAGACATTCGTCACCCAGGCCCCCATGCAGGCAGCTAGGCTGGTGACAACTTGCCTTTTGGGGAAGGGGTTTCCACTGTGACAACTGTAGCAGCAGCAGAGAGGCTCTTGTCTGTCACAGGAGATCGAGGGCTGCAAAAGCCCGAGAACCCACTGATTTCATCCCTCTCTCTTTTTGCAGACAAGGCCACCTACATCCCAAGCCAGCTGGAGGAGCAGCTTCCAGTCTTCAGAGATGGGCCCCTCTTCTTCAGTTGGCCTTGGTAGTCAGGACAGAGGACAGAGGGATATATTGTAACATATATTGTAAAATTTGAGCCACATACACGGGATAAATGACAACGCAAATAATCATCTCCGAAAAGAAATCTGACATCCGACGACTTAGAGGCCAGAGCCATTGCTGACGCTCCTGGGGAGGAACATTCTTTGCAAGCATTTGTGCCTCAGTGAGGGTGGTGGGGAGCCAGCAAAGTGCTGGGCTCTGCAGAAATCTAGGGGGCTGCCTGGGTGATGTACAAATGCAGACCTATTACATCAATAGAAAAATGTAATGTGTTCATTACTATCAAGGCGGAGTGCTTTTTAAATTCACCATTTCTGAAAGACTCAGGATTAATGTCAAACTGTATGAAAAGACCCAGCCTTTCACCTTTCTTTCTCTTGACCATAGAATGCGGGTCTAGTAGGGGGAGAGCAAAGGGGGCACTTTAGAAGAATTGTGAAGCAAGCACAGACAGGGTCACAGAGAGCCCTGGTATAGCAGAGGTCCACCCCCACCCTGGTGTCCTCATACACATTATCGCACTAAGGAACTAGGCAGAACTCTAAGAAGGGCTGGTGAAGGAGAGAAGACACGGGGACTCAGCACATTGGCTGTGCTGACATATGTGAGCCTGAGTTGGAAGATGGCGTGAATTAAGACTGAAGCCAAGACCCCCTCCCTCAAAAACAGCACTTATAGATGTTAGAGGGCAGAAAGGCAAAGTCAGAGGAAGCCTAAGGTTAAGTGAGTACGTACCCTGCACCGGGCACTATCCAAGGTACTTTACATGAATTCTTAAAGAGCTTCTGAGATATAAATATTATTATAAAACCCATTTGACTAATGGAAACCTGAGGGTCAGAGAGGTTAAATAATGCACTAAATGACATACTTGAGGTCACCGAGATAGAGAGTGGCATATTCAGAATCGGAAACTAAATCTGTAATACCTCCCAGGCTCATGTTCCTTTTATGCCACATGCCATGTGTAGCCCCAATGTCAAGGGCTAGGGGTGGGGAAAAAGAGCAGACAGCAGGCAGGATGAGACTCCCTGGAGGTCTGAGGGAAGGAACATCCTGGTGTAGGAATATTGTGCCTGCAAGGTTGCTGAGATATGTCTGTACACAGCCTGGTGAATCTGGAAGTGTTGAAGAAATGGCTTTTGTTTTGTTTTGTTTTGTTTTTTTAAACAGGAGCCAGAAACCAGAGGGATCCCTAAGAGGACGAAGACAGCTGCAGAGCAAGTCCAGGTTACCCTGAAACTGAAGGTGTGAAGGTGCAAGCTCAGAGCCCAAACCCAAAGGCCACCATACAGATGGGGAACTGGTGGGACACCAGCATTCCTGGGGCTCAGTGTGAGTGCAGGCAGCATGGACAGGGGGTGACAACATACAGTGAGGGTGGGGGCAGGCCATGTCCTGGCTTCATGAGACAGGCTAATGTTGTTTGCATGCCCAGCTATTTACAATCAGGAGACTGAACTGTGACTCTGCAGAGGCTTATACCAGCTATATACAGGAGCCCTTTTTCTTGTATGCTTTGCCCACTGTAGACACTCACGACTGTAGGGATCCCAGGTAGGAAGGTAATGAGGGAGACTAGGCTCCATCTAGCAACCATATGTGCAGAAATGACAAAGAAAACAGGACCTAGAGTTTGGAGAGAGGGTAGGTGGGGTTCTTCTGACTTCTCAGAGTACAGAGTCACATGGTTTCCCAGAAAGCAAGGTTCACAGGACACATGCATATGGACATGAACACAAGAAGAGTCTCGATCATAAGGCTGGGCCTCCAGGAACCTGAGGAAAGCTGCCCAGCCATGCCTCATGGAGAGTGAATGTTTAAAAATCAGAAGGTCATTCAAGACTGAGGACATCTCCGGAACCAGGTTTTAAGGCTGTCCTCTTAGCGGGTGGGTTTTGTCCACTCTTCAGCTCCACCGCTGACATTATCAGACTTTTTCCTGTAGGCACCAGAGTCACGGGGCCTATGACAATGTTTCAGATCTTGAAAATACATTATGAGTCCAAAATATGAAACAAGAACTATAAAAATCCCATTGATACACATTTTATTAGTATACCCAAAGTTCATTAATTTAATATTTGTGCTGGGTGTGGTGGCTTTACACCTGTAATCTCGGTGCTTTGGGAGGCCAAGGTTGGAGGACTGCTTGAAGCCAGGAGTTTGAGACCTGCCTGGGCGACACAGGGAGACCCCACATCTCTACAAAAAATAAAGATAAAAATTAGCTGGGCGCAGTTGTGTTTGCCTGTTGTCCCACCTACTCGGGAGGCGGAAGTGGGAGGATCGCTTGAGCCCAGGAGTTTCAAGTGCAGTGAGCCATGATCCCTTCACTGCCCTACAGCCTGGGCAACAGAGCAAAACACTGTCACTAATAAATAAATAAATATTTAATATTTGTAAAATATTTGAAATCAAATTGTAAGTTAGGATCTCATATTTCCCAAATATGCCCAATGATTGAGACATCAAAGCCAATCATAAATGAAATGTGTCAAGATTCTATACACAGAAAATTGTAAGCAGGAAACTTAATGTGAGCATGGTGACATTTTAGTGTGTTTGATGTGCAGCCTCTGAAGCTCTTCAAATTGGCCTGGAGGAGATTCAGCACCTTATGTGAGTCAATTCAACATTGTTTATTAAGCACCTACTATGTACTAGGCATTGTTCCAGAAACTTGAGTGACATCGATGGACCCAAAAAAGATGTGTCCTCATCTCTAAAGGGAAACAGTGAAAAGGAAGCAAAATCAATAAGTAAAACATGTAGTGTGTTTGAAGGTAACAAGGAATAATAAAAAGTGAGGCCAGGTAAGGGGACCAGGAGGGGTGGGGTGGGGTGGGGTGGGAGAAAGCAGTGGCAAGAAATGGAGTTGTCAGTTTAGGCCTCTGTTAAAAAGTGAGATGTGAGAAGGACTTGAAGAAGGTGAGCCAAGGAAATATCTGGAAGGAATGTGTTCCAAGAAGGGCGAACAGCTACAATAAAGGCCTAAGATATGCCTGCTGTGCTTGAGGAACAGCAAGGGGGCCAGTGTAACTTGAAGTGGGAGGCACAGAAACAATGTTGGGTCAGGGTGCAGGTCCGCCAGGCCCTACAGGTCATCACAGGGAATTGCTTCACACTCAAGGAAATTGGGGACCGTAGGAAGTTCTGCGCAAGTGGAAGGTGGGAGCTGCCATTGGCAGGAACTGGGAGAGTTGAGGGTGAGAGTGAGGCATGTTTGGGGTAGGAACAGGAGCAATCAGGATTTCAGGTTGGACATGTTGAGTCTGAGCATCTGTGAAACATTCAGATAGAGAGGTTAAGTGGGCAGTTGGGCCTATGAGTAGGAGCTCGGGAGAGGTGGACAGGTTCGAGTTTTCGGCAGATTTTATAGAGATGATGTTTAAGGCCACAGAGTGGGATGACCTCACTAAGGGAGAGTGGAGAAGGAGAAAAGAAAAGGAAAAAGGCCAGAACCCTGGGCACTCCAACTGTTATGGGCTGGGGAGAAGAGAGACGAGGAAGAGCCAGCAAAACAAGCTGATGCGTGACCGGGGACACAGGAGGAAAACCAAGAGAGTGTTGTCCAGGAAGTCAACGCAGCACAGGAAGGCAGAGGGCTGCCATGATGAACATACAGGAATGCAAGTGCAGGTCTGAACAGGGCTTGGACATATGAACAACTCAGCAAGTGATAGCTATTTTTTTTTTTTTTTTTTTGAGACAGTGTCTTGCTCTGTCACCCAAGCTGGAGTGCAGTGGTACAATCATGATTCACTGCAGTCTTTACCTCCTGGGCTCAAGCAATCCTCCTGTTTCAGCCTCCCAAGTAGCTGAGACCACAGGCATGTGCCAATACAACCAGCTAATTTTTTAATTTTTTTGTAGTTGTACAAAAAAATTAAATTTTTAAATTTTTTTTTGCTGCCCAGGCTGGTCTCAATCCTCCCACTTTGGCCTCCCAAAGTGCTGGGATTACAGGTGTGAGCCACTGTGCCCAGCCATCATTGTTATTTGAATTACTGTACGAGTAGTGTTACGTGAGCACTGCGTGAGCGGAGGAAGGTGGAAGGCCTGGCAGAGAAACGAGCTCTTTGCTAATCAGATTATCATGGCTAAGAATCTACAGTCAACCAGAGTCTGATGGAGGGGCATCTTTGCTTAGCTACTCGCAGATTAAAGCAATTCTGCCCTGAGGAAAAGGTCCCAGGTTTAGAGACAGGGCCTTTCTGCTCCTTCCGGCCCCCTGCATTCCCCACGGTGGGGAATCTGCAGGCAGGACACTGTTCTGCTGGTGCTCGGTATTGTCCCCCGGCTTGAGCTGTCAGATGATTCCCTGGACCCCTTTTGACCTCTGCCTTTGACCTGGGGATCAGGTGATGTGTGACTGGAGGCAGGTCTGCGCATCCTCTGAGGTGACAGCTCACTTGAGCTCCCCCTTGTCTCTGCCTGTCACCAGGAGAAAACACCCCCTGTTGGGTTTTCTAAACACGCATCAGCTTGGGCGGTGACCCAGCCATAGACACTGAGGAGCGGCTGAAGCAAGGTGTGGCGAAGGTTCCAGCAGAGCCTGGGGAAGGGCCCCCAGAAAGTCAGATTCTCCCCAAGGCCATCTCTGGAGCTTGGCTTGAGTGTGGTTGTCTGCCAGGCTCTGGGGGCCTTGCAGTGGTGACTCATGGGCCATTTTTGGAGCCCAGACAACTGGAGAGATCATCAGACGGTTTGCTGGCTGTCTCATGAGGCTGCACGTGTAGCTCTGCCATCCGTCCGTGTGTCCTCGGCAGCTTGCACATGCCCGTAAGTGCTCAATGTGGGACGCCCATGAAGCCCGGAATGCACGACCCTCTCACTGCCACCCGATCCTTAACCCTCCCAGGCAAGATCTCCAGCAGGGATGGCACTCTCCCATCTCAGCTCTTGTTCCTAGATGTATTCACTTGCTATAGGATTCTGTGCTTTTACTGAGATGCTCCTTGAAGCAAGGGAGCTTCACAGTTAAGGGTCTGTGTTTTTAACATGCGTTGGAGGTGATTCTCATGTGCAGCCGATCTGGGACCTTCAAGTATACCCAGACCTTCCTGCCTGGGGAAGTGCTGACTGGCAGTACCAGTGATTGTTCTGTAGGCTAAATGAGTCCCCAGGTGGGACAGGGAGCGAGATGGGGTGAAAAAGTGCCAGAAAACTCCTCTGTCCCCAAAGATGCCCTCATCTAACCTGCCAATCCCACCTTCAATCCCACCATGGGGGATCACTCAAGCCTGTGGGGCTGAGTGCTGTCCTCTCTAGAACCTCTTAGAAATGCAGCTCTCGGCCGGGCGTGGTGGCTCACATCTGTAATCCCAGCACTTTGGGAGGCTGAGGTGGGCGGATCACGAAGTCAAGAGATCAAGACCGGCTGGGCACAGTGGCTCATGCCTGTAATCCCAGCACTTTGGGAGGCCAAGGCGGGTGGATCACGAGGTCAGGAGATCGAGACCATCCTGGCTAACACAGTGAAACCCCGTCTCTACTAAAAATACAAAAAAAAAAAAAAAATTAGCCGGGTGTGTTGGCAGGCGCCTGTGGTCCCAGCTGCTCGTAGTCCCAGCTACTTGGGAGGCTGAGGCAGGAGAATGGCATGAACCCAGGAGGCGGAGCTTGCAGTAAGCTGAGATAGCACCACTGCACTCCAGCCTGGGTTGACAGAGCCAGACTCCGTGTCAAAAAAAAAAAAAAAAAAAAAAAGAGATCAAGACCATCCTGGCCAACATGGTGAAACCCCGTCTCTACTAAAAATACAAAAATTATCTGGGTGTGGTGGTACACACCTGTAGTCCCAGCTACTTGGGAGCCTGAGGCAGGAGAATCACTTGAACCTGGAAGGCAGAGGTTGCAGTGAGCCAAGATGGTGCCACTGCACTGCACTCCAGCCTGGTCTGGGGACCGAGCTAGACTCCGTCTCAAAAAAAAAAAAAAAAATGCAGCTCTCTCATGAGAGTCCATTCTTCAGCCCCAAGGATAGAGGCTGCAAAAACTGCCCACGTCATCTGGCCCAGGACACATCCTGCCTGTGGGGTGGGCTGACCTCATACCTGCCACATACTGGGAGCCCAGAGTCCTCCCACTCCAGCCCAGCCCAGTCCAGGGCCACCAGCTCTTAGGTTCTGAAGTAGCCCTTTGAGAGGGTGAGGGTGACATGCCATGTCTCTCTGTTCCCATCCTCCTGCCAGTCTTCTCTCCACCCTAGCATTTCAGGCAAAGGAACAGAAAGCCAGTCTGTGCCCCCACCTGACACTCTCTCCAGGAAGTGTCAGGGAGTGGGCTCTGCTGCCTGGCCCCTCACGCCAGGCTTCAGGATGAAAGGAAACTCCAGAATGACAATTTGGGATTATCTAGTGCCCTGGGCCAGATAGTCTCCTGTGAGGATTAGTGGCATCTTTGAAAAGCAGCGGCCACTCCTTTACACAATACCTCCTCTTCAGGGGATCTCCTCCCACTCTCCCATACAGGGAGCTCTGAATCTGCAGAGGACAGCTTATCTTGGAACACCTTTGGGATGGGAAACTGATCACCTTTCAAGGAAGCCCAGTCCATCTGCATCTGTGCTAGAAAGTTCTTCCTTCTACCGACTCAGAAGCAGTCTCCCTGCTGTTTCCTCCTTGCATCACGGAGCAAAGCCTGCTGCTTTTTCCAGGAGCAGTGGGGGCACGAAATGTCCTATTGTTTACGTACCCAAAGAGTGCTTGCTCTAAGCTCCTTCTCCACGAGAACTCTGCAGCTGCCGCTGACCACAGGATGCTCGTTTGGACAATGAAGCCCCTTTCTAATGGGAGGATACTTTCAGGATTGTTGCCCCTAGTGAGCTTCCTACTCCTCCCCTTCCGGTTGCCCCCGGTGTGCCCTCAGGCTCCTGGCAACTCCACTGCTTCACTCAGCCATCACTCCAACTAGCTTTCTATATCTCCATGCCCCTGTGTTCAGTCCTAAGTGGAGCTACTGGATATTTGAGCCTCTCACTCAGCAAGCCTTGGAGCTCCTTCCCTTAAGCCCTACTAGCACCCTTCCCCCATGCATGTAGGTCCCGGGGCCCAGCCACCACTGCAGGCATGGAGGAAGGGGGTGGGCAGTGCACAGGTATCCATGGCAAAGGGCCAGCGGGCTGTATCTGTGGAAACAGAATCTGTAGCCTCCCTCACTGATCCTCTCTGAATCCCCAGCGCTGGAGGGTGTAATTTTTTATTGTGAAATATATATTACAAAAAATTTGACATCTATCTTAGTCCATTTTCTGCTGCCATATCAGAATACTTGAGCCTGGGTGATAAAGAAAAGTAGTATATTTGGCTCACTCACCGTTCTGGTAGCTGGAAAGTCCAAGATCAGGTCTCTGATGAACCAGGGTGACACCAACCAGGAAGCCTGGTATTTTGCAAGAGACAGTGTCTTAACCCAAAGCAATGCATCTATAACCGGGGAATGTCAGGCACCGGTAATGGACAAAAGAGAGATTTGGGGTGAAGGGTCCTCAAATCATACCTCTTGGCAGTTACCTATTTTGATAGACTCAGAAGCCCCAGATTAGGGAAGGTGAAAGTCATTTACTCTAGTACCTCTTCCAGTCCCAAATCCTCTTGAGCTCACCCAGCCTCTGCCTGATCACCTCCAGTGACTGAGAACTCGTCACTTCCAAACCAGCCCAGCCATCTCTGGACTCACCTCTGAAGAGTTCTTTCTTCCTGACTCAAAGTCTGTTCCTATAGCGCCCTCTATGGGTCCCTTATCTACCCCTGGGGCTTCCTCAGGATGAATCCCATCCCATTCCTAGAAGTAGTGAGGTACCCCTTGAATTAAAGACCAGCATTCAGTCACTCTGAGGCATTCTGTTTTCGTGTAACATCCTGAGCTTTGGAAACTCTTCGTTCTAGAACCCCATTTTGGTCTAAGGTGTCCCTTGCCTAGACCTGACCACAGAATCTCAGTCCAGCCACAGCCACAGGGGCCTGTTTTGCCGGAGGTGGCTTGGTCCTTCTCCTCTCCTAGTCCCAGTGCTGAGAAGGGTGTGGAGGAGGAAGGGAGAAACACCAGACTCTGCTGAGTGCCGGCAGTTGTGGAGTTATGTTCTGTGCTAGGCTTTTGCTATGGTCTCAATGTTTGTGACCTCCCAAGTTTCTTTTTCTTTTTCTTTCTCTTTCTTTCTTTCTTTCTTTTTTTTTTTTTTTTTTTTTTTGAGACGGAGACTTGCTCTGTCACCCAGGCTGGAGTGCAGTGGTGCGATCTTGGCTCACTGTAACCTCTGCCTCCCAGTTCAAACGATTCTCCTGCCTCAGCCTCCTGAGTAGCTGGGACTACAGGTGCGTGCCACCACACCTAGCTATTTTTTTGTATTTTTAGTAGAGATAGGGTTTCACCATGTTGGCCAGCCTGTACTTGAACTCCTGACGTCAGGTGATCCACCCACCTTGGCCTCCCAAAGTGCTGGGATTACAGGCTTGAGCCTCGGTGCCCGGCTGACCTTCCCAATTTCATCTGTTGAAACCTAATCACCAGTGTGATTGTACTAAGAAGTGGGGCCTCTGGGAGGTGATTAGGTCACAAGGACAGAACCCTCATAAATGGGATTAGTGCTTTTATAAAAGAGACCCCAGAGAGATCTCCTGCCCTTTCCACCATGTGATGAACCAGAAAGGGATCCTTCACAAGACGTCGAATCTGCCAGTGCCTTGATCTTGGACTTGCCAGTTTCAGGTCCCTGAGAAATAAATTTCTGTTGTTCGTAAGGTTGGCATTTTGTTATAGCAGCCTGAGGGGACTAAGATAACTTTTTGCATGTATTATCCCATTTAAGCGATTAGTCCCACTTTACAGGTGAGGAAACTGAGGCTGAAAGAAGTTAAGATTCTAGGACTCTTGACAAAAGTTTTGTGTAAACAAGAGTCGCTACAAAATCACTTTTCTAATAGCAGCAGCAGCAGCAGCAGCAGCAGCAGCTTCCTATTTGCTCAAACTGGGAGGTAAAAGCAGAGGGAGAAGATGGTCTTTATATTTAGAGTTACCTAAGGGACTTCCTGAGCTGGGAGGGGGTGAGCGGGATTCCAGTGCTTCAGAGAGGAGCTGCTGGGCTGTGGGCAAGACCCTGGCTGGTGTGGAACTATGCAGCCCCCAGCCCTGGCTAAGCCCCGCCTCTCAGGCCCTGGAGGCAGAAAGCTCCTCAGCCTGGCCCCTCCGGGATTCTGGATCCAGCTGTCCTGGTTGCTGCCTAACTTTCAGCCGTGTGTCCAGCATATCTGTGAACTGATCTGGGGCCAGAGCTCAGGGAAAAACAGAGGTAAGTTGTGGTGGGGACCTCCCCAACCCCTACGCACACACACGCACACACATGCGCAGCAAGACTCCTCCCTGGAGGTGGAAGTAGCGGTGATGTCAGGCTCCCGGACTTGTGTATTCAACCCGGTGAGTTAACAGGAGAAAGAGCAGAAGCCGGGGGCGGGAGGATGTTGAGGCTCCTCTCTGTTCCCGCCTCTCTACCCCTTCTCCAGTCCCCTTCAGTAGTGGGTCAGGATCCTGGCCTAGACATGGAATTCCCTAATCAAGTAGAAAGAGGGGTCTAAATAAGCGGAATTGGGGTGGGAGGAGCCGGGCCAGTTCTGGTGGGGGAGAGGCCGCCTCCTGCTCCCTCGGCTGCCTCCTCAGCCTCCCTGCTTGTTGGCGGCTCACACACCCTTGGCCAGGTGAGGCGGGCGTGGGCCTGCAGCCTGGGCCTGCTCAGCTGTGGACCTTGATTGTTTCTTACTAGATGACCTGTTTCTCACCACTGGAGCTACTGAAGCTCACAACCAATTTGGGAGGGGACAGGCATAGTGACTGTTTGGCCCATGGTGGCTCGTGGTGCTGTGGTCATTAGCCGGGAGTAAACGGAGTCTGTCCCACCTGGCCCACGAGGGCACCATGTCAGGGTTTGGGCACATAGTGGTATGTGATAATGAGCTTTGTTACACATTCCCTTGGTACTTCAGTTTTCCTATCTGTAAAATGAAGGCAACAATATCCACCTTATGGGTTTGTTATGAAGATTAAACAACAAATCAAGACACGAAGCAACTGCCTGGCACTTAGTAAGTGCTCAGTCAATGCAGGTTACTATTGTAGTTATCATCATCATTATGACAAAGATTATGGTTATTATTCTTGCTTGTCCTTTGGGCACATACTTCCCTCAAGAATGCATTGGAAGCTGGGTGCGGTGGCTCACGCCTGTAATCCTAGCACTTTGGGAGGCTGAGGCAGGCAGATCTCCTGAGGTCAGGAGTTTGAGACCAGCCTGGCCAACATGGCAAAACTCCATCTCTGCTAAAAATACAAAACTAATTAGCCAGGTGTGGTGGCACATACCTGTAGTCCCAGCCACATGGGAGGCTGAGGCAGGAGAATTGCTTGAACCCAGGAGGTGGAGGTTGCAGTGAGCTGAGATAGCGCTGCTGAACTCCAGCCTGGGTGACAGAGTGAGACTCCGTCTCAAAAAAAAAAAAAAAAGAATGCATTGGGTTCATTGGGTTCAGACGCTCTTGGGCTGTGGTCTTCCAGCTGTAGCCTCCCATTTCTATGACCTAGCATGTCTACATTCACACTGACTATTTTTTTCCTCATCCTTTGTGGGAAACCTGCTTCTCCTCCTGAATGCCCCAGTTTGGTGAATGGCACACTATCCCTTAATGCATGGCGTCCCTTCCGTATCCTTCCCTTCCCTCAGCCCGCTGTGCTCAGCCAGTGTGCAAATCACATCTGGGCCCAGCTACCCCACTCCAGGAGGAGTTGGTCACTCACTCACCTGCACCTGGAGTGCTTTTCCATAAGGCCAGAGTAGTGCTTGTCACATATGCTGTCATTTTTGTTTTTAAGCCTATCTTCCCTGTACAGAATGCCTAAGGGTTACGTCTTCTGTTTCTTTTATGAGGCAGGTATCAAGGATGGCTGGATAGGAAAGAGGGTGCAGGGAAGCATTGTGAACCTTGGGTCTAGTGACATCGCTATCATTCTCTCTAAACTTTAATGACCCCTCTTTGCGGTGATTAAACTGAATCTGCTCTCGCTCCTTCTAGACACTCAGGAAAATGAAGCAACCATTTCCTCCCTCCACCAGGATATGTTGATCCTAAGCCCAGAAAGGTTAGGCGACTTGCCTAAGGACACAGAGCAAATAAAAGGATTAACACATCTGAATGCAAGACATTGAGGAGTTGACACTGCCAGTTCCTCCCACTTCTTAAACAAAGCATCAGTGTGCTTCCCTGGCACCATCCACAAAGGGTGGGTGGGTTGAGAAGCGGGAAGATGTAGAAGTATGGGGGTTGCACTCAAAGCCATAGGTTTGGGGGACTTGTCTCAACACACACAGGAGAGGGGAAGGACAAAGTCAAAACAAGTTCCAGACTTTTTCTGGCAAAGAAATATGCCAGAAAGATTTGAACTGTTCTAGGGAAGGCTTGCTGGAAGAAACCATCTCTCTTCTCTGACTAGGCACCCACTCCTCTGTTCAGGCAACAGCCAGTAGCAATCTTTAAGGAAGACATAATCAGGCCCTCTTTTGCATAGCTGGAGATACTGAGTGAGCTATTTTCAGATGCCCAGTTCTGGGAGAGTTAGGAGATTTAGGTGTAAGCAAGATTGGGATGAGTTGGAAAAGGAGGGAGGAGAAGTGTGGCCAGGCCAAAATGACAGAGATTGACAGGGAAGTAGAGAGACAGTGCTGGTATGGGGCCACTGGAGCAGAGGAAGGTGTAAGAGTGATGGCCACTGGCATTTACTAAGCATCCACTGGGCACCACAGCCACGCCAGGGGGATGGTAAACTCATTTTACGGAGGTAGAGACTAAGGTTAGGGGAGGTTGAGTAAATCACCTGGAATTACAATGGCAGAATCAGCATTGGAACTCAAATCTCTGACTCCAGATCCCAGGCTCTTTCCTTTGTTCATATAAAGGAGAACTTTGGGGTTGGGTCTAGGGACCACAGGGCCAGGGTTTGTTTGCCTGAAGGGGTAGAGAAGGATTTCATGACAGGGGCCATCTCTCCCAACTCTGTCCTCCAGACACACACACACACACACACACACACACACACACACACACACACACACCACACACATGCCCATTCCTTCAACTGGCTGGAAAGTGCAGGATTTGGAGTTAGAGATCAGGTTCATCTCTGAATTATTGAGTGGATAGCCTTTCTATCTCTGCACTTCATAAAATCATGACCACTGTCAGGCCAGGCGCAGTGGCTCATGCCTGTAATCTCAGCACCGTGGGAGGCTGAGGCAAGTGGATCACTTCAGCCCAGGAGTTTGGTACCAGCATGGGCAACATAGCGAAACCCTAACTTTACAAAAAATACAGAAATTGGCCTGGTATGGTGGCATGCGCCTGTAGTCCTAGCTACTCTGGGGGCTGCGGTGGGAGGATCGCTTGAGCACAGGAGGTCAAGGCTGCAGTGAGATGTGACAGCACCACTTCACTCTAGTCCGGGTGACAGAGTGATGCCTTGTTTCACAAAACAAACAAACAAACAAACAAAAAATCGGATCTCCCAGAGAATATATGATACACCTAAGTCTTTAATAACCATATGGTTCCTGATAGAAGTTCATAATATTTAAAATATTAATGCTATATAGTTGCTATTGCCACTGCTCACGCCATGTTGAGAATTGAGGGGCGTTTTTTTTTTTTTTTTTTTTTCCCCTTGAGACAGAGTCTCACTCTGGCCCAGGCTGGAGCGCAATGGTGCGATCTTAGCTCACGGCAACCTCTGCCTCCTGGGTTCAAGCAATTCTCCTGCCTCAGCCTCCTGAGTAGCTGGGATTACAGGCACCTGCCACCACACCCGGCTTTTTTTTTTTTTTTTTAGACGGAGTTTTGTTCTCGTTGCCCAGGCTGGAGTGCAATGGTGTGATCTTGGCTCACTGCAACCTCTGCCTCCTGGGTTCAAGTGTTTCTCCTGCCTCAGCCTCCCTCCGGAGTAGCTGGGATTACAGGTGCTCACCACCACACCCAGCTAATTTTTTGTATTTTTAGTAGAGATGGGGTTTCACTGTGTTGGCCAGGCTGATCTCGAACTCCTGACCTCAGGTGATGCACTCGCCTCAGCCTCCCAAAGTGCTGGGTTTATAGTCGTGAGCCACCATGCCCTGCCCTAATTTTTGTATTTTTAGTAGAGACGGGCTTCACCATGTCAGTCAGACTGGTCTCGAACTCTTGACCTCAGGTGATCCACCCCGCTCAGCCTCTCAAAGTGCTGGGATTACAGGCATGAGCCGCCGCGCCTGGCCGAGGGATAGTGTTTTAAGAGGCCTGACCTAACCTCTTGTGAAGAGCACAGGGAAGACCAAGTGGACTTTTCTTGGTCTCCATTCATCACTGAGGTAAAACAACCTGGCCATCTCATCCATCCCCCTGCCTCTCAGCTACCTCCCTGTCGCTCCTCTCCTCATTTATCCAAGCATTATCACTTCTTTTAAACTTTTCCTTGAAGGAAGTTCTGAGTTATTCTTGAGGATTAATTTCATACCTTTAGAGCAAGATTCTTACACTTTTTTGTGTGCCATAGCCCCTCCTCCCTTCCCCCCTCCTCCCTTCCCCCCTCCTCCCTTCCCCCCTCCTCCCTTCCCCCCTCCTCCCTTCCCCCCTCCTCCCTTCCCCCCTCCTCCCCGGGCAGTCTGAATAACACTTTCAAACGCACAAAAGATAATACATAGGACATCAAAGGAAACCAATCATTTTGAAATACAGTTATCACAATATTTTTAAAGCAGTGATATAGTAATATGTGCTTCTCCATTAATGGATTAAAGAATAAAATCTACTGGCAGGACTAGTAACCACTGGAGTTTTAAAACACGGATAAGCATAGATGATATTTGCAGAAACCTGCCACTACTGTAATGGGATTGGAAAATATCTGTTATCACTGCTGTTATCACTACTGTGGTCTGTTACCTACATTCATCATTTTTTAAAAAGCTAAATTTCAGTTGGAAGTTAGTGAAGATAAAGACGTAAGCCTTTTCCCAACCAAAGTCATGGACCCCTTTGAATTCTACCTATTAATCTCTTGGTGAAGGGAAGGGGGTGTCTGTGGACTCCAAGTTAAAAGGATTTGTTTTAGAACAGTGTTTCTCGCAGTGTGGTTCCAGCACCAGCGATATTAGCATTATCTGGGAAACTATCAGAAATGTAAATTCTTGTCCCCACCCCAGCAGATTTACTGAATCAGAAACTCTGGGGTGGGGCCCAGCAATCTGTGCTTGAATAAGCCTCCAGGTGAGTCTGCTATGAGCTCAAGTTTGAGAACCACTGCCTTAGAGTTGGGTAGGATACAATCTCCGAAGCAGAATGCATGGCCAAGATGACTCCTTCCCCTCAAAGTCTTAGAGAATGATCTATTGCCTATTTTCCTGCTCCACTTCCTTCAGACTAACTCTGAATCTGGGGTAGACTGTGGTTTGGAGTTTAAAAACCCGAGATCCTTGTTAATGCGTAATGAAGTGCTACAAAGCAGCTTCTGTCACAAGGGTGGTATAAAATACAGCTGCAGGGACAGCGGTTAAAGTTTCACTCTTTTATGGACATAAAAAATAATTGGCCTTCTAATTATCTCCATAAAAGTGAGAAAACTTGCCTGGCTTATTGGCATCTTTATTAGCACTAGGAAATAATTAGACATCCTTAATAGCTTTCTAATGATCCCTAGAGGAGGGAGCCATTTTTAGGGCATCTGCTGCCATGATTGGGTCATTATGGAGCCCTTCAGACCTGGTCTACACAGAGTGGAGTGCTTGCACATTCATCAGTGCCCGGTACTGGCTTTGGATCTCTGATGGCTCACGTGCCAGGAAAGGCGTATCTCTCATGGGCCCATGACTCTTTCCGGAGCCTTGGCAGCATCTGTCCCTGGTCTGGGAAGAGGACCCTCACTATGGTGGACTGACAAGGGGGGCTGATTATTTATGGATAGGTGAACCTCCTCTGGTCCTATCTTTTTAAGGAACTTGGAGCATGTTTATTCTATACCAGTCTCCTTTGGGAAAGATTGCTAGGCTTGTAACATTGCAATTCTCAGACCCCAAAGCACAAGCTTTGAAAAACTGAAGTCGTATTGGTAAGCAGGACAGTGGTTTTCCACCTGGTTGGTACATGGCACCCTTGCAGGTTTGGGGTCTCTGGAGGATTGAGCTTTAGGGCTGAGTGTTAGGGAGGAACGGAATCTCCAAGTGGAGGGAATCCGAGCCTACGTTTCTCCAGCAGGTGGCGCCATAACTTTACCTTCCGCGTCTCCGTCGCCTGCGATGGAAGCCGAATTTGCAGGCAGTGATGTGAGGCAGCTGTCTGGGAATCCTCTCCTCTGTATTTAGGGCTTTAATATCTCATAGAAACCCACATCATCTTCTCTCCAACTGACCTTCTCCAAGCCACTCTCATCCCCAAACCCTCGATATTTCTGATTCTTTATCTGAGAATCGTGAACAACCCTTCATAAACATGTCAGAAATACTGACGGTCCTTCCAGACCTGGAACACTGTGGAAGAGTTTGGGCAAGTCATAAATGATGCTCTCGATCACTCCCACATTCTGCGACTGTCCCCAGACCCTCCGCCTCTTCTCAGAGGTCTGCCATCAGGATCTTCAGCGTGTATGATTTGCTTACTTTGTCAGCCTAATCATAAGGTAACTTGAGCTCATAGCAGACTCACCTGGAGGCTTATTCAAGCACAGATTGCTGGGCCCCACCCCAGAGTTTCTGATTCAGTAAATCTGCTGGGATGGGGGGCAAGAATTTACATTTCTGATAGTTTCTCAGATAATGCTAATATTGCTGGTGCTGGAACCACACTGCGAGAAATACTGTTCTAAAACAAATCCTTTTAACTTGGAGTCCACAGACACCCCCTTCCCTTCACCAAGAGATTAATAGGGTTTTTAAACATCTCTCAGGGGTTAGGTAAAGCCACAAGGCAGATGATCATCTGGATTTCACTCTGAACAGTGTTTGGAAAGATGGACTCTGGACCGATAAGGTTGGAGCATACATACATATGTGTGTGTGTGTGTGTGTGTGTGTGTGTGTGTATATATATATATATATTTTTTTTTTTTTTTTTTTTTTTTTGAGAAAGAGTCTCAGTCACCCAGGCTGGAGTGCAGTGGTACCATCTGAGCTCACTGCAACCTCCACCTCCCAGGTTCAAGCAATTCTCCTGCCTCAGCCTCCCGAGTACCTGGGATTACAGGTACAGGCCACCATAACTGCCTGATTTTTGTATTTTTAGTAGAGATGGGGTTTGACCATGTTGGCCAGGCTGGTCTCGAACTCCTGACCTCAAGTGATCTGCCTGCCTCGGCCTCCCGAAGTGCCAGGATTACAGGCATGGGCCACTGCGCCGGACCAAGAGCATATATTTTTACACATGTTTACACCTTACTACATGAGTTAGGACTGATCCTGGTTTTACAGAATCTCAGAGTTCACTTACCTAATTCAATTGCTTACCCAATGCAGGCATCCTTCCTGCAATTTGACAACTTGATAGCAGCAGGGTCCCTTCCAGTTTGCAGATGATGTTCATAGCTCTTTAATGCTCACTGCAACCCTGTGAGGAACACTGGTGAAGTGACTCACCCAAGGACTCCTAGCTACTAAGTGGCAGGATTTATTAGTGTCATCTGACTTCAAGGTCAGCACTCTGTGCAACACAGCTACCTCCCCATCATGCTTGGTAAATGTTTCTCCACTTCTTTTCTTTTCTTTTCTTTTTTTTTCTTGAGACAGAGTCTCACTCTGTCGCCCAGGCTGGAGTGCAGTGGTGCCATCTCAGCTCACTGCAACCTCCACCTCCTGGGTTCAAGCGATTTTCCTGCCTCAGCCTCTTGAGTAGCTGGGATTACAGGCATGCGCCATCACCCCTGGCTAATTTTTGTATTTTTAGTAGAGATGAAGTTTCACCATGTTGGCCAGGCTGATCACGAACTCCTGACCTCAGGTGATCTGCCTGCCTCAGCCTCCCAAAGTGCTGGGATTACAGGCATGAGCCAATGCACCCGGCCCATCCAATTCTTAGTGAATACTGATACAATGGCCACAATTACTCCCTCCTAAGGTGGTGAGTCCCACTGTTTGAGACCTCGGGTTTTGAAAAACACTTTCCTTATTGTCTGGTAATCCTCTGCTGCATAACCACTTTACCCCAAAACTTAGTGATTTAAAACAACAGGCTGGGTATAGTGTCTTACACCTGTAATCCCAGCTCTTTGGAAGGGTGATGTGGGAGGATCGCTTGAGTCTAGGAATTTGAGACCAGCCTGGCCAACATGGCGAGACTCTATCTCCACAAAAAGTAAAAAAAATAGCCAGGTGTGGTGGCACACACCTGTAGTTACTTGGAAAGCCAAGGTAGGAGAATGGCTTGAGTCCAGGAGGTTGAAGGTTCGGTGAGCTGTGTTTGTGCCACTGCACTCCAGCTTGGGCAACAGAGTGAGACCCTGTCTCAAAACAAAACCAACCACAACAAAAAACCCCAAAAAACCAAAACCAAACCAAAACAACAACCGTGTTCTTCTATCTCATGATTTTGTGCACGAGGAATTCAGAGAGCACTCGCTTGGATGATTCTTCTGTTCCGTGGGGCATTTAGTTGGCCAGTGAGCTGGTCTGGAGGGTCCAAGACAGCTTCTCTTGCACATCTGGTGCCTTGGCAGGGAGGGCTGGAAGGCTGGGCTGGTCTGGACCTATCAACTAGAGCACATCATGGGCCTCAGGGCAGTTGGGCTTCTCTCAGGGAGGCTCAGAGCTCCCCAAGTGAGCGAGGGAGAGTTCCAGTAAATGAGGTGGAACCTGCATACCCTTTTATGACCTAGACTTGGAAGTTACGTAACACCACTTCCACCACATCCTCATTGTCAGAGGCCTGCCCAGGTTGGAAGAGAAGGGAGATAAATTCTGCCTCTTGATAGGACAAGTATAAAAACTTTTGCCACCATGCTTTGAAACCACGTTATTTAATTGAAGTTAGCTTTTCTGTATCTGCCTCTAGCTGTACACTTTCTAAATCTAGTCTTTATTCTCTATTTAAAACCTTTTTGTCAAGGTTCAAGGCAGCCTCTCTAGATACCTAAGGTCGATGACTCAGTCCACAAAATGATGCCTTGGGGTGAGACACCAAAATAACAGAACTCTCATTCGTATTTTAATTTTACCTAAAGAATGTAAAGTGAGCCTTTACTAATGTTTTATATAAGATTTGACACTGACACCCACCTTCAGGCTGTGTTTCAGGTGGGTATTTGTTACCTGCTATACACAAGCTATGCCAAGGGAAGAGGGGGTGTTCCCCAACAGGATTGCAAGTGGGGACTTGAGCCATTTGTGTGCCTTGTGTTACAGAAATGCTTGAGTTTATGGGTGCCAAGACAATGGGATCTAGCTTCAGTAAAATTACCCATCCCCAAATGGTTAAGAAACTTTCAAAGATTTTTGTAAACAATCTTTAGATTGAAAAACTAGACAATTAATACAATCAAACAATGGGAAAAAAAATGACAGAGTAGGCATTTCAGCTCCTGGCTTGGACACTTCATCTGTCATGTTATGAGGTGAAAACAATAATACCCTGGTCAGATCAGACAAGGCCAGACCAAAAAAAAATAAAAATTATGGAGGTTATTTGAAATATGAATTTGCATCTACTATTGGTATTGCTGTTAAATTTGCATCTACTATTGGTATTGCTGTTAAAAATAAGATATTAAAATGTTAGAGCTAATTTTATACCTTATTCAATTTTAATAATTTTTATGTGGTTTATAATGTACATAATATCGTATACTATATATTTAAAATACATATATGGGTCATGCTCAAATATTTTTTTCTGATTCAGCATATGAACAAAAACTTTGGAGACCAATGGAATCTATTTCCATCTTTCCATTAATTTAGCAGATATTTATTAAGCATGTACTATACAAATGTACATAATATACTAAATATTAAATATACAAAAATAAGTAAGGTCTTTGCCTTCAGGTATTTTGGAAGATATGTTTTTTTCAAAATTACAGCTGGACGTGGTGGTTCACACCTGTAATCCCAGCACTTTGGGAGGCCAAGGCGGGTGGATCACCTGAGGTCAGGAGCTCGAGACCAGCCTGGCCAACATGGTGAAACCCCGTTTCTACTAAAAATACAAAAATTAGCCGGACATGGTGGCACGCACCTGTAATCCCAGCTACCCTGGAGACTGAGGCAGGAGAATCGCTGGAACCCAGGAGGCAGAGGCTTCAGTGAGCTGAGACTGTGCCACTGCACTCCAGCTTGGGCAATAGAGTGAGACACTGTCTCAAAAATAATAAAATAAAATAATAAAATTATTTGAAATAAAGTGTCATGATAGAATTGTTCACAAAGTACTGTGAAACACTCAAGTAAAAGTACGTCAATTCAGGATGTGCGCGGTGGCTCATGCCTGTAATCCCAGCACTTTGGGAGGCTGAGGCGGGTGGATCACAAGGTCAGGAGATTGAGACCATCCTGGCTAACACGATTAAACCCCGTCTCTACTAACAATACAAAAAATTAGCCAGGCACGGTGGCGGGCGCCTGTAGTCCCAACTACTCAAGAGGCTGAGGCAGGAGAATGGCATGAACCCGGGAGGTGGAGCTTGCAATGAGCCGAGACCACACCACTGCACTCCAGCCTGGGCAACAGAGCAAGACTCCATCTCAAAAAAAAAAAAAAAAGTAAGTCAATTCTACCTAGGGGAATCAACCATGGAGGACTTCACAGAGGAGGTGACATACGTAACAAGTGCATGGTGGCAGACACTTGCCTTCTTGTTCTTTCTCTTCTTTGGACCTTCTCCAGCTCTGTTATGGCTTCCTTTGAGCATAGTGATCCATTTTGCACACAGTATTCCAAAGAACAGGGAAGAAGAGTATTTCCAAACCTCTTCCGGTTGACATTTGGAAATAGGCTATGTACTCCATGATGTCAGGGTCCACGTTATGCACATAATTGCAAACTGGCACTGGGTATGATGCCTGGCACATCATAGACTCTTGATTAATATTGTGCAATTGAATTGCATTGGACTTCTTGACTACACCAGTTCATTAGTTAATGTCTTTGGAGAGTAGCTAAGAATAATCTGTGTGCCTTCACCTTCAGCTCCCAACTCACACATTTAGGTGGGTTATTATCCATCTCCAGTCTGGCCATCACTTACCTCAGTTTACTGGTCTTTTTCTCAGGAGCCTTCATGAGATCTTCCTGAATTTGTTCACATCCTCTTGGTCCTTCACTCCCTCAAAAGCATAGTGTCTTCTGAAAATCTGGAGATTTTATCATATTCTTCCAGATTATTCATAAAAATTAGGTAAAAATATTTCTGGTACTGATTCAATAGGCTGGAAAGTGGAAAAATTAAACTCTCTCTGTTTTTCAATAGCTTATCTCCTCCTTAGCTATGAAAAAAAAAAACAGCTGTGGGTTTTAAACAGACCTCTTCTACTTCTGGGCTTTTCCTGAGAGAGGCAGCCTGATAAAAATCTGAACTAAAAGTGAGAACATCTCTGGAAGTCGCCTGAGTCCACACAAATTCATCTAGGGATCTATGTGGCTGAACACTTCCTGCATCCAGTGCCTAGCTGTATTGCAACTTACCTGTCCATAATACCCTCTGGTGGGAACAGCATGCAATGGGAAATGAGGCGCTGCACCTTCTTGGCTAAGCCCATTCATTGCCTTAGGCTGTACTTTCAACTGAGTCATATAATTTTTCTGTCCGTTTTTGAAGTAAGAATGGTCAGACTTAATACTATACCCCAAGGAAATATTAAGAGAATGAATGCAAATTACAGAAATAAAAGGACTGTAGGGTTCCAGGAGAAAGATTATGCTTTTTGAATATGGAAAGGTAGTTTTGAAGTTAGAATTAGATGCAAGCACATGTGCCAGAAAACCCAAGAAATTGATAACTAAAATAAGATCAGAGTTTATCTCTCTTTTACTTAAATGAAGTCTGGAGTCAGAAGTCTAGGGCTAGATAGCTACTCAAAATCATGTAAGTTTCAGGCTCCTGTCTGGCTGCTCCACCAACTTTAGCATACTGCCTCTTGGTCCAAGGTGGCTGTGCAAGCTCCAGTCATCATATCCGTATTCCTGTCATCAGGAAGGAGGAATGGAGAAGAAAGGAATCTTCTTCCTTGAAGAACACTTCTAGAAATTTGCATACAACACTTCCAATTATATTTATTAGCTGAAACTTAGTTACATAGTACATCTAGCTGCAAGGGAGGCTGGACAATGTAGTTTTATTTTGAGCACCATGTACCCAGCTACAAATTGCAAGTTTTATTATCAGGAAAGAAGTGGAGACTAAATAAAGGAGACTAATAGCAGTGCATGAAGTAGGAAGGTGCAGATCATTGCCAGAAAGAAAATTATACTAATAGCCTATCAAGCACATACACAAAGTACTAAGAAATATGAAAATTATTGCTTATTTTATTTTAATACACAAGGGGGGACCTCCTTGTGTATTAATCCATTTTTGCAGTGCTATAAGGAAATACCTGAGACTGGGTAATGTATAGAGACAAGAGGTTTCATTGGCTCACGGTTCTGCAGGCTGCACAGGAAGTATAGTGGCTTCCACTTCTGAAGAGGCCCCAGGAAGCTTCTAATCATGGCAGAAGGCAAAGTGGGAGTAAGGTGTCTCACATGGCAGGATCAGGAGTGAGGGGTGGGGGTTCTACACACTTTTAAACAACAAGATTTCATAAGAACTCATTCATTCAGTATCATGAGAACACCACCAAGGAGATGGTGCTAAAGCATTCATGAGAAATCCACCCCCATGATCCAGTCACCTCCCACCAGACCCCACCTCCAACACTGGGGATTACAATTCAACATGAGATTTGGGCAGAGCCACAGATCCAAACCCTATCACCTTTGGTCACCTAATGGGTCTATACTGGATTCACCTTAGAGGAGCATCAGGAAGTTTCTTCTCTCTGATCTTTTATTTTCTTCCCTCCTCATTGCCACTCACCCCCATCTTTTCACACTCTGATTTTCCCTCAAAGTCTTAATTCTTCCTCCTCTTAGCCTCTAGCTCCAGCTGTCAGTCATCACTCTGGCATAGAAAATGCAGGAAGATAGCCCTTCCCAGGCCAGCTTCACAGAATACAGCAGCAAAACAGACCCCTATGTTGCTAATACTGATTGCTTCTTAGAGCACACTATGATAACTGAGCCTCTATCACTTTTTTATTTTTTCTTTTCTTTTTTGTTTTTTTGAAATGGACTTTTGCTCTTGTCACCCAGGCTGGAGTCCATTGGCATGATCTTGGCTCACTGCAACCTCCACCTCCTGGGTTCAAGCAATTCTCCTGTCTCAGCCTCACGAGTAGCTGGGATTACAGGTGCCCACCACCACACAAGCTGATTTTTGTATTTTTAGTACAGATGGGGTTTCACCATGTTGGCTAGGCTGGGCTCAAACTCCTGACCTCAAGTGATCTACTCACCTCGGCCTCCCAAAGTGCTGGGATTACAGGCGTGAACCACCGTGCCCAGCTTCTGTCACTTTTTTTCTATCTCATCAAAGATCTCCTGTTTTCCTGATTTGGAGATAAAGTAATTCTCCCTGCTCAATTATTGAGAAACTAAATATCCCACATGTGGATTTTCCAAGTTCTCATTGGTAAGCAATGCCCTCATTACACATCATATGTTATCTGACTATAGCACATTCCAGAAGTGGGTAGGATATTTATAAATAATGGGTATGGGGGCAGAAGCATTGCCTAGGAGGATTCCAGTCTTAGGAAACTGGCTGGGAGGCATCAGAGCTAAGAATTCAAGAGATCTTGTTCTAGGATAAAATTCCCTGTTTGCCGTTGGTATTTGTTTGAAGCGTCACCCCTAGCACTCTGCAGAAGGTCAGCCTGGGTTTCCTTGATGAAAGGAAATATGGGATAAGGGCCTGTGATTTCTGACAGGATTGAAGCCAGTGGAATGTGATGTCAGTAAGATGCTTTTGGTCCCAAGAAACAGAATATCCAATGATGGGAAAATGTTTTTGGTTCACATAAATGAAATATCTAGAGGTAGGGCAACCTTCAAGTATAATTGGATCAAGGCTCTGGCTTACTTTCTCCAGAATTCTCAAAAGTCAGCCGTCCTCAGTGTGGGTGGCCTTGCCCTCAGGCTATCTTCCCTCTTGGTAGCAAAATGACTGCAGCAGTTCCAGATCACAAACCTCATATCACTCAGTCAAAACAGAGAGAGAAAGCAATCTTCTCTTCCTTTAATGGACTTAGGTCCTTAAGTTCTGCACTTCTCTGTGATTTAACAAATCTAAACCAATCATGACTGCATGCAGACTGCCATGTTGATCTAGGCCTGGGTTACATGACCATTCTTTTAAGCAATTACTGTGGCAAGAGGGGTGGAGTTATATTGTTGGTATTAAGACAATCAGGATCCTCCCCTGAAGCTGGGGCTGGGGTCAGTATGAGCCAAACCTACATGGCTGCTATGCAAGGGGGAGAGATGAGTAGCCAAAGGAAAATCTATGGGCTGTTAGGAAGAGATGGGAGTCAAGGAATGGTATCTGGTATAAGTGACCCTACCAGGGTATCTTATTTCTGGGTTCTACCGAAATCAAAGGACTGTCAAGAGGGAAGGGAAGAAGTCCAGATGAGCAACTAAACCAGGTTAGTGGCCTGAGGCAGCTGTAGGGCTCTAAATTGGAGGATGAAGCCAGGTGGGCACAGAACCAAGAAGGTAGCAGGAAATATTGGAAGGAACCATTTTTAGTAAAATCCTTTTTGAAGTTCTGGCAAAATTTTAGCTGTGTTATAAGAACAAGGGTAAGGCTGGGCATGGTGACTCAATGTCTGTAATCCCAGCACTTTGGGAGGCCAAGGCAGGTGGATTACCTTGAGTTTGAAACCAGCCTGGGCAACATGGCAAAACTTCATCTCTACAAAAACATACCAAAAAATTAGCTGGGCATGGTGATGTGTGCGTGTCGTCGTGGCTACTTAGAAGGCTGAGATGGCAGGACCGTTCAAGCCCTGGAGGTGGAAACTGCAGTGATCTGTGCTGGTGCCACTGCGCTCCAGCCCAGGCAAGACTCTGTCTCAATAAAACAGGAACAAAAACAAAAAAACAAAACAAAGATAGCGTTTATTGCTGGGCCAGTGTCAAGCCCTGAACTGGCCCTTGGAGCTACCATGGTAGTGTTAATCAGCAAAAGAAAGTATAGAGGGATGTGGCCAGGGTTCTGTGGGCCAAGACCCTATGCCACCAAGAGATTCTACCTCTCATGTTGACTTCTATATTTCATGGTGCAAAAGAAGATGACATTGCTTTGCAACTTCTCTGAGGTATGGGAATGTGGCACCTCCCATTCTAGGAAAACTGTTAGTTGATTATGGATAAATCCAGGTATCCCTGAGCTTCCTGACTCCTCACTTTGACTCCTCCTATATCTTCCTTTCCTTCTTACCTTATACCTCTTGATTCCTCTTCTGTCTTCTTTTTCCTGTAAGCTTTTTCTTTTCTCTTTTCCTTTTTTTGTCCAGTCTCTTCATTTCTCTTCATTCTGCTTTTTCCTTCTCTGTCTTCATGTTCTCTTCTCTCCATCTCCTTTTTTCTTTCTTCTGATATTTCACAGATGTCTGACTAAATTATCTCTTCTATATAGATTTGAGCTTGATTTAAAAAATGATTATAGAGGGTGGAGGAAGGAGGAGTCAACAATGCCTGTGGAGCCAGGACAACCAGCCACCTGGGTAGGTTCAGGAAAGTCACTTCATCTCTCTGAACCTTAGCTTTCTCAACTGAAAAACTGAGAGGTGGATTATATGTTTTTTTTTCCCCAGGGCCCTTGTACTGCCCTTTAGGACATCTGGAAAAGGAGGCTAGGGGCCAGTCCCTCTGAATCTAGCCCTGGGTTTGTTTTTATTTGGGGTGAGTGGGGGCAAAAGTGGCATCTCTAATGGTGGGGGTGAAGATTAGTGACTGCTAATTGGCAGTTCAGGACAATGACCAAACTGAGGACCATGGCCTTTTCCCATCCTGGTAGGAGAGTCATGGTTTTGTAAAATAGTATTCAGTGTAAACTGGAGGCTCATTTCGTAGCACTTGAGAATATTGTCAGACAACAAAACTCACTTTATCTGGGAATGTCTAATTTCTCCTTCATTTCTGAAGGATGGTTTTGTCAGATGTAGAATCTCAGTTGAGAAGTGTTTATTTTTCTTTTTTTCAGCACTTTGAATATGTCATCCTACTGTCTTTTGGCTTCCACGGTTTCTGATCAGAAATCAGCTGCTAATCTGATTGAGGGTCCCTTGTACATGATGAGTTGCTTCTTTGTTGATGTTTTCAAGATTCTCTCTTTATCTTGCAACACTTTGATTATAATGTGTATCATCATGGATCTCTTTGGGGTTTTCCTGCTTGGAATTCATTGAGTTTCTTGGATATGTACATTTATGCTTTTCATCAAATTTGGGAAGTTTTTGTTCATTATTTTATCAAATGTTCTTTTCTGTCTGTCCCTTTCTTTCTCTTCTCTCTTTCTGGGACTATCATTATGCTTATGTTGGTATGCTTGATGATGTCCCACAGATCTCATACGTTCTGTTCATTTTTCTTCATTCTTTTTTCTTTCTGTTGCTTAGACTAAATAATCTCAACTGACCTATCTTCAAGTTTGCTCATTCCTTTGTCTGCCAGATAAAATCTTCTGCTGTATTCCTCTAGTAAAATTTTTCAGTTACTGTACTTTTCAACTCCAGAATTTCGATTTGGTTCCTTTTTATAGTTTCTATTTCTTTATTGCTATTTTCTATTTTGGTGATACATCATTCTCATGCTTTCCTTTAGTTCTTCTTTTAAACATTTTTTATTTATTCATTTGTTTATTTTTATAGAGATGAGGCCTCACTATGTTGCCCAGACTGGTCTCAAACTCCTGGGTTCAAGCAATGCTTCCAAAGTGCTGGGATTACAGGCATGAGCCACTGTCCCTGGCCTCCTTTAGTTCTTTAAACAGAGTTTCCTATAGTTCTTTGAACTGATCTCAAAGTCCTTATCTAGTAAGTCCAATGTATGGGCTTCTTCAGGGTCAGTTTCTATTGATTCCATTTTTTTCTGCATGTGGGAAATTTTTCTTATTTCTTTGCATGCCTCGTAATCTTTTATTAAAGCTGTATATTTTCAATATTATGTGGCAACTCTGGAAATCAGATATTACCCTGTCTCTAGCATTTGCTACTGTTGCTGTTTGCTTAGTGACTTTTCTAAACTAATTTAGTAAATTCTGTATTCTTTTTCATATGTGGCCACTGAAATCTCTGTTCCATTAGCTTAGTAGTCAGCTAATTAGACAGAGATTTCCTTAAACACTTGGAACAATGGCAACAACAAAAACACCCGGTCTTTGCAGAAGGACTAAGTGTGTATGTTGGGCATGTCTTCAACACTCAGCTAGGAATTTTACAACACTGCTTTACATTCTGCTTGTGCACAGCCTCAAGGTCAACCAGAGATAAGAACCCTATTAGAGCCTTCTCAGGTCTTACCTGGGCACACACACAACCTTGGGTATGCACATGGCCTTCTAGATTCCCAAGAATATATTGAATCTTTACAAAGCTCTTATTTCTCAAAGCATCTCACTCCCCAGCCTTTCCTCCCAAGCTTTTGGGTTAGCCTATTGTGTGCCCAACCATTATCCATTGCCTTAGGCAGCAGAAGCTAAAACATTTGCCTATAACTGTTATTGATAAATGCCTTTTGGTAGTGACTTTGGCATAAGACAACTTAGGCTGGCAAGATAAAGTCAAATCTTTTCAACAGGACTTCTGGGAGCCACCACCATCAACTAAGGACAATTTGTAAACGAGGTCCATCTGCTCCCTCCTGTATTAGTTCTGATGTGGGCTATTATTTTCAAGACTACTGCTGAGATGGTGAGCGTGGGATGGAACTAGGGGTAAGTCAAAATGTCACAAAGCTCTTTGTTCTTACTGAGATTCAGCTGGCTTCTTGAATAAGTGCTCCCTGGGTTGCTGCAAGCTTTTATCTAGTTTCCAGAGTTTTAGAAAGGTTGATTCTGACAGTTTTTGCTAATTAAAAAAATTGCCTTTATGGAAGTGTGGGCTTTTGGAATTCCTTATTCTGCCATTTTCACTGCCATTAAACTGGAGGGTTTTCCCCAAGAAACTCATTTTAAAATCCCAGCACAGCAGTTCAAAGACAGTAGGTTTAACTAATTATTTTCCAACCCAGTACTTAGTGTGTTAGTGTGAGTACTGCTCTACTTTATGTGACTTCTAAAGGACCAATGCTTTTATCCATGTGATCATTCTGAAGGTCTGTCTTCCAAAGATTTTAGGTTGCTTTCTGTGCTGATCATATTTCCTCTGTCACATCTATGAAATAAGAGGCTATGGACAGTCCTCTTTCCCATTATTATCATGGAACTGAAGTTCACAGAGTTTGCTGACTTGCTCACGGTTGCACAGGAAGGTGAAGATGGAGGTAAAATTCCAGACCTCCTGATTCCCCATCTAGTGCTCTCTCCGTGAGATAAAGATGGGAGACGTGTGCAGGTTGCTCTGTGTGAGTAAATCAGAATTTCATCTTTTCCATTAACCTTAAGTGTTGGCCTCAGTTGATCTCTCCCTATACCCACTTTCTCTTTACCCCACTCCCCCATTTCCATCGATCATGAAGAAAAGAATTCCTTGGACTCTTTGACAGGCTGCTACCCTCTCTGGCTTTCAGGGAAAGAACATTCTTATTGAAAGCATTGATTCCAGAAGAGTTTACTCTTTTAGATTCTCTGCTGCCTGCTGTGGTCTATCCCAGAGAATCACACATGTTAGAGTTGGAAAGGATGCCTTTCCACTTTATAAATGAGGACACAGATCCAGTCATCTATCTACATTGGAGATTCTCTGCCTAGAATGCACATCACATTTATCTAGTTTATTAATTTGGCTGTTGTGCTCCAGGGGCAGATAAAGCACAGTGTGAATGGTGCCTATTGGGGTTGGTGATACTCTGGAATTGAATTAGACTAAATTACTGTAGGAAATAGATCCCAAAACATGTTGGCTCAAACACAAAAGCAGTTTATCTCTTCCTTTTTCTGGGACAGCTATCCCAGGTTGCGGGAGGGAGGTTACTCAGTGCTCCACTCCATGTAGTAATTTAGGGACCCAGGCTAACGATAGCGCTGCCATTTTCAAAGCATGACTTCCGAGGTGACTCTGGTTTTTGCCATTCAACAAGGAAATGGAAAGGGAAAAACAGTATGGGGAAGCACAGGTGGGAGATCTTATCGGCTGGGTCTTGAAGTGGCTCACAATGTGTCCACTCAAACATTTCTTTAGAAAAAACATGGTCTTAGGGCTACACTTAACAGCAAAATAGGCTGGGAAAGGTCATGTAGTTGGTCAGCCATATGCCAGGCTATAGTTGTTTCCAATGAAGATGGAAAAATGATGTTTATATCCTCATATCTGGTACTGAGCACACAGGTACTTAGAAAATATTAAGTTATGGGATAGATGAACAAGGGAAATGTTGAATAAATGAATGAAGGAGTGGGGTGATTCTTCCTTGGTTGTACAGCTAGTTACAGAAATTTTTCTGCAGACTTTACTATTTTTATTAGCAATGAAAAAGGTTACAAATCCCCCCAATATTTCTCCACATTTGCAGAAAACATTGTCACATGAACGCATGGGAAAATAACAATTGTCCCACTCTAAGGAAATTCAGTGGATAGAATTCTGAAACTACATTATATATATTTGGAGATATTCTTATTGATGTGATTTTAAACTTTACAAATAAATTAGCCACGGGTTATTGTTAACAAATTGATGTAGTGCTGTTTTTTAAGCAACTTTTTAAAATATACAATTTGCTATTATTTTTGTGTTTGTGTTATTGGTTTTATAGAAAGTCAGAACAACAATAAAGGTCCTTGGAGATAAACAAGTTCAATTCCCAATGAGTTCAGATACAATGTTCTTTCCTTCTTCAGCAATAGGATTTTAGTTGTATTAATACATGGTTGTCCCAAATAAAGCCCATATTTCACAGTCTTCCTATAAGTGCAGTGTGATCCTGAGGCTAGGTTCTGGACAATGGGATGTTGTGTAGCAGCTTCTAGGAATCTTACTTAAGAGACAGAATGTATGTGACTTTACCTTTTTCTTCAGTCTTCCTGGTGTCATCTTGGGACATGAGATTGAGATTATATACAGTGGAGCAACTAAGTAGGAGGAGCTTGACTTTGCACCAAACCTAGACTGCCTACCTAGACTTTAATGTGTGGGAGAAATAATCTTCTATTTTGCTTGAGACCTCTCATTTGGCTTTTTAAAAAAATTACTTCCAGCTGCAACTTGCCCAAATTATTACTCTATGCAACAATGAGGAAATGAAATGACTTGTGGTCACTTGTAGGAATTGGATCTCATGCAGTACCTCTATGTGCATTCTTCACTACAGAAAAAACAAGATAAGAAAAAAAAAACCCACCCCAAAACAAAACAAACAAAATACAATCCCCAAAACACTATGCAAACACCATGATAGTGAAAACAGCAACACTAATAACTACACATGCATAGAAAAAGGAAATTTACAGAGCACTGTTGCTTCTGTTCTAAAATCACTGAGAACTGACTAACATTTCATACACACTCAGTAAATCCTTTTCCTGGGATTTTTTTTCCCTGGCCACACAGGTAGCTCCATTTTCCAGCTTCCCTTGCAGTTGGTTGGTCATGTGACAAAGCTCCAGCCAATTGAATAAGAGTAAAAGTGCCGTTTTCTTGGTCAGAGGCGCCAATTTGACTCACAGGCAGGGCATGATGGTGGTGGGTACAGACACCTCACTGGCGATCTCCTCCCTCCTGTCCCTGCTGCTCTTCACTGGGATGCAGATGTAGATCCATCAGCTGGCCTCCACCGAGTGGCTTACCATCCAGGGTGGCCTGCATGGCTCAGGTCTCTTCGTGCTCTCCCTCACTGCCTTCAAGATTCTGGAGAATCTTGTGTTTGGCAAAGGATCCCAAGCAAAGACCTTCCCTGAGATTCTCCTGTGCCTCCTGTTGGCTCTCTTTGCATCTGGCCTCATCCACCGAGTCTGTGTCACCACCTGCTTCATCTTCTCCGTGGTTGGTCTGTGCTACATCAACAAGATCTCCACTCTGTATCAGGCAGCAGCTGCAGTCCTCACAGGACCTTGGCTCTTGCCAAGGTCACAGGCAAGAGCAAGAAGAGAAATTGACCTTGAATGTTCAATAAAGTTGATTATTTGTTTAAAAAAAAAAAAGAGTAAAAGTGTACCACTTCTAAACCGGCCCCCACCTCACACCTCCCATGCCTGTCCTCCACACTCGTTACTTATCCAGCAACTAAGTGCAAAGGATTCTAAGGTCCTAGGTGAGGATGGAACCATTTGATAAAAGAGCCTGGGTCCTTGAATCTCCCTGTGGGAAACCACCTGCTCACCGGAAGCACTCCTATTGAACTTTTGGGTGGGTGAAAAATAAGCTTATGTTTTGGAATTTATTTGTTACAGTGACACCTTATGTAGTCTTTTTTCCTGTTCTTTACCTCAACTCCATCTGGGTTGGAAGCTGACCTGTGTTGGGCAGATTTTGAGTTTGAGGTAGGTTTTTGTTGACATGCTACCAGGTATGTTGGGATTTTAGTCTTTCCTGGTCTCTGGTTTGGTGCCCAACACATCTTAGTTGTCTCTAGGTGATGTGGTGCTACACGTTTGTGCCTTCCTTGGCTCCTTCCTGGTCTCTAGGGAGGAAGGTGCTGCTGGCTGACGCCTGCCTGACTCCAAGTTTGTGTCTTGGCTCCAGATATCCTGGACTCTCACCTCCATCACCCTTTGTCATCACTCTTGTCTTCACTCATTCCTTGCCCCTAATTCCCTTCCCATTTCTTGCCATTGAATATTATTCGCCTTCAGGGCACTTGATTTACCTACTCCTTTAAGGTATAATAAATAAATTATAAAGTGATTCTCAGCCGGGCACTGTGGCTCACGCCTGTAATCCCAGCACTTTGGGAGGTGGAGATGGGCGGATCACCTGAGGTCACGAGTTCGAGACCAGCCTGGTCAACATGGTGAAATCCCGTCTCTACTAAAAACATAAAAATTAGTTGAGCATCGTGGTGCATGCCTGTAATTCCAGCTACTCAGGGGGCTGAGGCAGGAGAATCGTTTGAACCCGGGAGGTGGTGGAGGTTGCAGTGAGCCGAGATCGCACCACTGCACTCCAGCCTGGGCGACAGAGTGAGACTCCGTCTTAAAAAACAAAAACAAAAACAAAAACAAAAAAAAGTGATTCTTGACGTCTACACTTAAGGCTCCAGACCAACATCAGGGTCTAACCAGGGTCTAGGCTTTCAGATTAAACAAAAGCCTTGAGTCCCTTCTCATTTTCTCCAGTTACAAAATCTGCAGCTCTTTGGGCATCACCTACAAAACCTTGACCTTCTAAGAAAATCTCTGGCTCCAAGCTCATTGGCTGAAAGCTTTAACTGACAGGTCTCGAGTCCAGTGACAGAACAAAGCTCTGGTTCTCAGTTCTATCCACTTCCCCAGGCTTCTCTTGTATGGAAGTGGCCTCAGGCATTCCTTTTAGTGATTTCAGAGGCAGATTGTTCTGATTTTGAGATACTTTTACTTTAAGTCTCTGTGGCATCATCTAGACCTCCATGATGGCTGCCATCTCTCCACATCCTTCCCCCAATCCCAGGAGAGCAATCTTTATTCTTTGGGCTGGTTTGGTATCTGCTCTTTCCCCAAAACTTAACAACTCACCTCAAAAGTAGAGTGTAGAAGAAAGAGCCTCCATTAGCTCTGGGACCTCAGGAGAGCCACACATAACATCTTGAGCCTCAGTTTCTCATCTGCCAAACATGGACCAGAATTACTTTCCTGCCTACCTATATAATTGTGAATATTAAGCAATGAGAATTTTGTGAAACCGTTGAAATTCTGCAAAGTACCACATAAAGAATGCTAGGAACTATTCATATTACTTTGCTTTTTGAAACGATTCAGCTTCACCTTCTCTGCTTTTCTAATTCTCTCTGGCCACCTTCCCCACCCCATCAGTGCCAGGGCTCTTCCCTGGGAAGGAAATGGGAGGAGTACTCACACTTCTGGGTTTATCTCCTTAAGTTTAGCATCACCCTTAAGTTTAGCTCACTTCGCTAGGCTTGGATGGGTGACCTCCTTCATCAGTTCATGGTAGCTTTCCCGTGTCACCAAAAGCTTTGCCTCAGGACAATAGCCTATTTCATACACTTTATCTTAAAACTGATAGAATCATCTAGCTCTGGTGAAATCAGAGAGCTTGTACCACCAATATCTCCGCAGGTGGAGAAGGGGATGAAGGCTTCCAGTGGGGCCTGTGTGAGGCTGGGGGAGCAGAGATGGCCAGCTCTGTTCTGGTCTTTAGAGAGCAGGGTCTGGGTTCCCCCTCCCTCCCTGGCCTCTTTGCTCTGCAGTGGTAAACCAGAGTGACTGGAATGATGCTTTAATATACTGGCTCCCAGACAGAGAACTTTGCCCCCAACCCACCAGTGTGGGATTAATGGGGTAGGGTGGGGTGGGGAGAGGAGGACATCCCACAAGGACTAATGTCTCAGCCCTCAGGGTCCTTCTATCATCCTCAGTCTCATCTTCCTGAGCTGAGTGGCTGAGACCAGGTGGAGGTTGCAGAAGGAGGGGAAAGAGGGAGATAGCAGCAGGCTGACCTTGGGGTTCCACGGTTCCATCTTTACTCTGGAATAGCCAGCACTGGTAGAAACCCCTTCTGGGCTGCTGGACCGTGAGTCATGTCTACACAGTAGAGAGCAAGTGAGGAAAGAGTAATTTTGTGAATTGTTGAGGATATAAACTCTTTCACAGGATTTAAGCTATTTAAGGTGATCACTGAGGCTGTGAGTTCTGTTACCACCCCTCGGTCTACGTTTCACATAGCCCCAGAGCTGCTGATCCCTGCCTTTTTCATGGCCAAAATTGTATTTCCTACAAGGACTAACTGAGGATTGAGTAGCACGGTGTTCTCTCCCCACATCTAAGAGCTGTCCAGATCCCCCCACCGACCCCGCACCGTGGGAGTCACCACACCCGCCCCTGCTATCCAGAGCTCCTGGACCATGTGGGGCTCCAATCTCAAGCACTGAGCTCACTCACAGGCAGTCGGCATCCTGGGAAGAAAGTGGCTGCAAACTCTGAGACTGAGTTCAAATGCTCGTCCTGCTGCTGTAATTAATGTGTAACTCCAGCAAGTTCCTGATCCTGGCACCTTCGTTTCTTATACTGGTAATAATAATTTCTTGGTATGGGCTCTGTGAGAATTAAACAGATACCAAGTGTCTAAACTGCTCTATGCACATAGTATATGTTCAATAAATGGTAGTTATACACCAGGTGCAGTGGCTCACCCTCATAATCCCAGCACTTTGGGAGGCTGAGGTGGGAGGATTATTTGAGCCCAGGAGTTCAAGACCAGGGTAGGCAATGTAAGGAGACCCCATCTCTACAAAAAACTAAAAAAATTAGCCAAGCATGGTCACGCGCCAGTAGTCCTAGCTGCTGGGGAGACTGAGGCAGGGAGGATCATTTGAGCCCAGAAGTTCGAGTGAGCTATGATCGCACCACTGCGCCTGCACCCTGCGGCTGCTCTTACCCTCCTGCCCCACAGACCGGTTACTCTTTAGACGATCTCAGGTAGCTTAAGTCTGACTCTCGGGCTGGAGCAGCCGAGACAGCGCTCCCCAGCGGGACTACAGAATCCCGGGTGTCGGCCTGGGGGCCCTGGATTGGCAGTGGTGGAGTCTTCTGAGCCTAACAGCTACTAGGAATGACAGAGTTGCAGATGGCTTTGTCGCCCGCGGGGCGGCTCAAGCGTCCTGGGTCCCAGGCCTCTGTCCTACGGCCAGGCCGCCGGCTCAACGGGCCGAAGGGAATCGGGCTGACCAGTCCTAAGGTCCCACGCTCCCCTGACCTCAGGGCCCAGAGCCTCGCATTACCCCGAGCAGTGCGTTGGTTACTCTCCCTGGAAAGCCGCCCCCGCCGGGGCAAGTGGGAGTTGCTGCACTGCGGTCTTTGGAGGCCTAGGTCGCCCAGAGTAGGCGGAGCCCTGTATCCCTCCTGGAGCCGGCCTGCGGTGAGGTCGGTACCCAGTACTTAGGGAGGGAGGACGCGCTTGGTGCTCAGGGTAGGCTGGGCCGCTGCTAGCTCTTGATTTAGTCTCATGTCCGCCTTTGTGCCGGCCTCTCCGATTTGTGGGTCCTTCCAAGAAAGAGTCCTCTAGGGCAGCTAGGGTCGTCTCTTGGGTCTGGCGAGGCGGCAGGCCTTCTTCGGACCTATCCCCAGAGGTGTAACGGAGACTTTCTCCACTGCAGGGCGGCCTGGGGCGGGCATCTGCCAGGCGAGGGAGCTGCCCTGCCGCCGAGATTGTGGGGAAACGGCGTGGAAGACACCCCATCGGAGGGCACCCAATCTGCCTCTGCACTCGATTCCATCCTGCAACCCAGGAGAAACCATTTCCGAGTTCCAGCCGCAGAGGCACCCGCGGAGTTGCCAAAAGAGACTCCCGCGAGGTCGCTCGGAACCTTGACCCTGACACCTGGACGCGAGGTCTTTCAGGACCAGTCTCGGCTCGGTAGCCTGGTCCCCGACCACCGCGACCAGGAGTTCCTTCTTCCCTTCCTGCTCACCAGCCGGCCGCCGGCAGCGGCTCCAGGAAGGAGCACCAACCCGCGCTGGGGGCGGAGGTTCAGGCGGCAGGAATGGAGAGGCTGATCCTCCTCTAGCCCCGGCGCATTCACTTAGGTGCGGGAGCCCTGAGGTTCAGCCTGACTTTCCCGACTCCGCCGGGCGCTTGGTGGGCTCCTGGGCTTCTGGGCTCACCCTTACACCTGTGTACTAAAGGGCTGCTACCCTCCCGAGGTGTACGTCCGCCGCCTCGGCGCTCATCGGGGTGTTTTTTCACCCTCTCGCGGTGCACGCTTTTTCTCTCACGTCAGCTCACATCTTTCAGTACACAGCCACTGGGTCTCCCTGCCCCTCCAGCCTTTCCTAGGCAGCTTTGAGGGCCCAGACGACTGAAGTCTTACTGCTAGGATGGGAACACGATGAAAAAGGAAGGGGCCCAGTCAAAAGTCCTCTCCTCTTCGGTTTTTCTTCAACTGTCCTTCACAAAAACATTTATTTCTGTCCCAGCGCCCTGGCGGATTTCGGCAGATGGGCCCTAGGGGGTTGTGGAGGCCAAATTCCCAGGATGCTGGTCCTGCCTTTTTCATTGGCCAAAACTGTATTTCCTACAACGACTAAAGATAACCAAGAACTGAGTAGACCCTGTTCTCTCACCAGATCTCCCTGGCTCTGTTTAACTTTTCCTGGTGCAATGCGATGGCACCACCAGCTCCCCAGGCAGGCACCACTCCCTCAAGATACCATTTGGGGTAGGGATTTGAGTCCTGGAGAGGGTCAGCGGGGCGCCGGGGTGGGGGTGGGAAGGAGACTGACAGGGACACACCGCGAGCTCCGCATACTCTCCTCTGCCCCCTGTAGCCCGGGGCTTTAATGACCCCAAGCAGATTTCCTGTCTCTGGTCTAGCCAGCTGCCCCTAGGGCTGGATTTTATTTCTTCATGGGGTTTCACCCTAAAGGGCCCCCTGGTCATGGGACCTGGTTGGGAACAAATGAAAGATGTCTTGTAGCAAATGCTTTCAGGGGAGCAGAAAAGAAGATTGGGCACTTCCAGTCACTTGGTCACTTTAGGTGGCTGGAACAAAACTGGTGACTTTCACGACTGCTACAGGGTGAGGGGGTGAAGGGTGGCAGAGAGGTGACAAGCCACTGGGAATCCTATTCAGTGGGGATGCCGACAGGGAGTGGCTGTAATCAACTGAGCAACATCTGTGTGAATGTTATTCACAGGTCAGGACAGCAGCTTGGTCTTCCCAGGTGAGGAACTGAGGACTGGCCTGCATAGATTTGTGCAGTAGGTGAGTAGCTTCCAAATTTATTTTCAGAACTTCCATGTAGTACCTGCCTCTCCATTTAAATATTTTTTAAAATTTTATTTATTTAAATATTTTCTTGGTTAGCTTTCCAAGAGGGAGGAAAAGAGGGGAGTTGCAACAAGTAGTGCCCCTATGCTGGGATTCATTTTCCAGAGTAAAGCCTGGGACTGGCACCCTGACCCCTACCGGCAGGTGAAAACTCCAGGCAAACTGCTGAGATCCCACCTGGGCTGGCTGAGATAGTGCCTGGGGTGCATCCCTCAGCAGCTGCCACCTGGGCCCTGGGGCCATCTCTTTCTCTGGCATCAAGCAGCCAGGTGTCAAGGCCTTCCCAGCAATCCATGCTGCATGGCTGGGTCTTGTTCTAGCAGGTCGATGGGCAGGGACTGGTAGCTTAGCCAGGGCACCAGTGCGTGGCTGTGGGTTTGTGTGCTTCTGTGGAGAAGCATGATGTGTATGTGTGTGTGTGGGCACAGGCATGAGGAAGGGTTCATTTGTGCAGGTATCTCCCATGTATATCAGTGTGGGAGAGTGCCTGAGGATGTGTTTGTGTGTCTGAAAATGGGCGGAGGGTCTGTTGTGCTAATGTGTGCAGGGGTGAACATGTGTGTGACAGTCTGTGTGTTTCCCTGAGTGGTGGCTGCGTGAGAGGGTGAGGGGATTTGGTGTTGTCTACCATGCCCGGCACATAGCAGGCTCTTAATAATCTTGAATTTAATTAATGTTAAATGTGTATGTTCCCATCCTTGTGGAAGTTGGTATAGAGCCTGTTTTCCTGTGATTGTGAGACTGGAAAATGGGGGACGGGCAGGGGCGAGACAGGATACAGAGGCTACTGTTTTCTTCCTCCCTAGAAGTAAGTACATAGAAGAGTGGGCTCTGGCACCTCACGGGACATCACCAAGTCCTGTGTGGCTGGCTAGGCTGTCCCAAGGTGGCTTCAGGCATCACTTGAATCTTTTGAGACCTTCAGGCAGTAGCCTGCCATTCACCCTGTCAGTCAGCAGAAGTTGGGCCCACACAGGCCATAGAAACACAGAGCAGTTCCCGGGAGGACCTGAGCTGTCCCTGAGAGCAGAGCTTCCAGGAGAGGCCGCAGGAACTGCCTTGACCGGAATTCCTCTTGGGGTGCAAAGGTGGAGGGACACATGGTGCGACCCCAGGCAGAGGACTGCAGCCACTCCGTGCAGTCCCAGCCTCTGGGGTAGCCCCTTGACCTCCAGGCCTGCACAGATCCAAGGCCGAGGTCCAGGCTCCAGCGCCAAATTAGCTGGCCTAGCAGCCTGCAGCCGCTCTAATCTCAACTAGGAAGGAATCCTTGCGCTTAGAAAGTCCAAGCGAAAGGGTATTCTGATTTTATCCCGGTTTTACCAGAAAATGCTGAAAGGAAAAGCCCCGAGAGGACACAGTGCTCTAGGAACTCGGGGCGCCACGAGCGCCTCATCCCCTCCCTTCCGCCCGGCCGCGGTGCCCTGGTCGCTGAGGGACGCGGTCAGTACCTACCGCCACTGCGACCCGAGAAGGGAAAGCCTCAACTTCTTCCTCTCGGAGTCCTGCCCACTACGGATCTGCCTGGACTGGTTCAGATGCGTCGTTTAAAGGGGGGGGCTGGCACTCCAGAGAGGAGGGGGCGCTGCAGGTTAATTGATAGCCACGGAAGCACCTAGGCGCCCCATGCGCGGAGCCGGAGCCGCCAGCTCAGTCTGACCCCTGTCTTTTCTCTCCTCTTCCCTCTCCCACCCCTCACTCCGGGAAAGCGAGGGCCGAGGTAGGGGCAGATAGATCACCAGACAGGCGGAGAAGGACAGGAGTACAGATGGAGGGACCAGGACACAGAATGCAAAAGACTGGCAGGTGAGAAGAAGGGAGAAACAGAGGGAGAGAGAAAGGGAGAAACAGAGCAGAGGCGGCCGCCGGCCCGGCCGCCCTGAGTCCGATTTCCCTCCTTCCCTGACCCTTCAGTTTCACTGCAAATCCACAGAAGCAGGTTTGCGAGCTCGAATACCTTTGCTCCACTGCCACACGCAGCACCGGGACTGGGCGTCTGGAGCTTAAGTCTGGGGGTCTGAGCCTGGGACCGGCAAATCCGCGCAGCGCATCGCGCCCAGTCTCGGAGACTGCAACCACCGCCAAGGAGTACGCGCGGCAGGAAACTTCTGCGGCCCAATTTCTTCCCCAGCTTTGGCATCTCCGAAGGCACGTACCCGCCCTCGGCACAAGCTCTCTCGTCTTCCACTTCGACCTCGAGGTGGAGAAAGAGGCTGGCAAGGGCTGTGCGCGTCGCTGGTGTGGGGAGGGCAGCAGGCTGCCCCTCCCCGCTTCTGCAGCGAGTTTTCCCAGCCAGGAAAAGGGAGGGAGCTGTTTCAGGAATTTCAGTGCCTTCACCTAGCGACTGACACAAGTCGTGTGTATAGGAAGGCGTCTGGCTGTTTCGGGACTCACCAGAGAGCATCGCCAACCAGAACGGCCCACCCGGGGTGTCGAGTCTTGGTAGGGAAATCAGACACAGCTGCACTCCCGGCCCGCGGGCCTTGTGGCATATAACCATTTATATATTTATGATTTCTAATTTTATTATAAAATAAAAGCAGAAATATTTCCCGAAGAACATTCACATGAGGGCATTACGGGGAGACGGCAAGTCGGCGGCTCGGGGGGCGCGCTCAGCCGGGAGCGCTGTAGTCACAGTCCCGGGAGGAAGAGCGCGGTGTGGCGGGGCCTCGCCAAGAGAGAAGGAGGAGGGGCGTATGACGAGGCGGCGTTTAGGGGCTTCTGTGGCGCTGCCCTTTCTCTCTCACTTAAGTTACTAGACGAAAAGCTGACACCTGCAGCTCCCACTGACCCACATGGGCGAGGGAAAAGGCCTCAGGAGATGGCCTAGGTTCAAAGTCCCTGTATTTTCTCTCCTCTTCCCTCTCCCACCCCCTACTCCGGTAAAGCGAGGGCCAGAGGTAGGGGCAGATAGACCACCAGTCAGGAGGAGAAAGACAGGGGTACATACGGAGGGACCAGGACACAGAGTACAAGAGACTGGCAGGAGAGAAGAGAGGAGAAACAGAGAAGGAGAGAGAAAGGGAGAGACAGAAGGAGAGAATGAACGGTGGCAAGCTAGAAATCTAGAAGGAAAGCAATACAAGGAGAGGGAGAAAGACAGAAAGCAGAAAAAAGAAAAGAGAAGGAAGGGAAAGGAAGAGGAAAGGGGGAAAAGGCAAGACAAGAGAGGGTAAAAGGAAGAGACAGAGGGAGAGAGAGAATGACAGTGGTGTATAATTTATTCCCTTCTGTGGTTCAAGACTCAGTCTCCAGCCCCAAAAGGATCCTAAAAGTAACTTGTTGAAAATAAATCCCAAACAAGAACCAACATAGACAGCTATCTGCCCTACCCGGCTGTTCTACCCGCTCAGCCTGCGGGTCTTTCAGTACCTGGTGGGGCCGCAGGGGCGGGGCGCCCCTGGACACCGCCACTCCACGTCCCCAGTGTCAAGTCACAAAAGGCAAGCTCATCAAGGCAAATGGGTTCTAGGAGCCCAGGTCCACGAGGTTGGCTGACATGGGGTTGAGGATGGAGTCCTGCAGGCCATGGTGGTGTTGCAGTGGGTCCGCTCCACCTCCGCCTGGCACCGGCACTGGCACTGCGCTGGGGCCCGGAGGGTGGCCCAGGCTGTGCAGGGACGGCAGCCCAGGGGGCGGCGGGCTGAGGAGCAGTGCGGGGCTGGATGATGAGTGGTCTGGCGTCCCCGATGGAGTCTTCTCATCCTCCGAGCTGCCTAACACCGACTTGCCGCTGCCATTCAGCGGGTTGTGGCTGTTAGAATTGGAGTTCTCGTTGTTCTCCCTGCAAGTGCGGGAGCAAAGCAGCGGGGTCAGCAGGGACATCGAGACCACCCAGCGCCATCTCAGTCACAGTCAGAGCCAGCCACCAGCCTCGGGAGACAGATCCCGGGCTTGTGGCCTGCGGGTGTTTTCGGTTTCTACCATTTCCTCGACCTGGTCTGGGTTCTCCTTTCTGCCCGTTCTCTCCATCTCTCAACACCCAATTTCTCTTGCCCCTCTGCCCTTATCGTCCCCACCTCTCATGCTGTCAATCTCATCAATATCTTTTCTATATTTCCTCTTTCCCCCCTTCCCCAATATTTCTTTTCAGGAACAGAGGTGCAGGAGAACAGGGTTCCCTGAAGTTGTGGGGTGAGCCGGGAGGAAGAGACGATGCCTGGATTTTCAGATCACTCTAGGCTCCACAAGCCAGGTTTGCTGGGTAGATGTGGGGCTAGCAGGTTAAGGAACCCTGGATCCCAGGTCAAGGGATTTAGGGCCTCTCACAAGACTTCATTTCCCTTTGCTTTTTCTGCCCGAGGGAGACCCCTGGCTGGGAGACAGGCTCCTGGGGCTAAGCGTCCTTTCCCTGTAGCTCCAAACTGGGCAGCCCTGTGAGGGCTCTCCTTGCTGGGCCTAGAGACAAGGGTCCAAGGATGGAGGACTCCCTTTCCGTGGTGGTACAGTGAAAACGTCAGCTCGGAGACCAGAAGCTTGGGGGATAAAGGGCAGCCCCTGGGAGAAGGCCGAGGCTTTTCCATTGTAACCAGCCACTCCGGGAATCTGCAGCTCTCATCTGGGGCCTGGTCTGAGAACCCAGGTTTTCAGGAGTCTGATCACATGCCGGTTTGGGTGGAGGGGGACCCAGCAGAGAGAACCCACCTCCTTCTATGCCTTTGACTGACAGCTCCTCCCCAGATTTGGATATTTAAAATCCTGGGTAGGATCTCTTGTCACCAGCTTCGGGAGGGTTTTTCTTTCTGCTTTCCTGGGAGGGAGCTTCCCACAGGGCTGGCAGCTGAGACCTCACCACTGTGGAAACTCCAACCTCAGGGTCTCAGATACCTGGAAGTATCTGAGCCTGCAGCACTCCCCCTAAGATGTTTCTGGTTCAGCACCCTCACCTCTGACCCTGATCATTCAAACTCAGGGTGGAACACACCCCATATCACCAACCCCAGGTGTCCTGTTTTGCTCTTACCCCGGGCTGGATTCTGTTCCCATAATAAGTTTCTCTCCAGGTTTGAGGTCCTGAGGGGTTATAGGGCAGGCAGTGGCAAGGGCCTAATGATCAACCTTTAGGCTGGTTCAGGAAGTCCTGGTTTACCTGAGGACATCCAACTCCCAGCCCCTCTGTGCCTCTCAGCTCACCGCAGACATTCCGACCTACCCATCAGAGGTAGGGCCTAAGGAGAGAGGCATCAAGGGCCTGGAGTGCCAGGGAAGGGCGGCTATCTCTAGCAAGGCAGAAAACAGGGCATGCGTCTCTTCTCTCCCAGAACTGACACTTCCTCCCTTTCACCTCTGGATCCTTTCTAAGGAGATAAAGGACCCGCTCTCAACTCCATGTGACAACGAAAATTCATGGCCTGGCTTTTCCCCATCCAGGTCATTCTAGGGAAGTTCCAGCCCCAGTCCCGACCCCATCACACTTTGGCCTGGAGCTAAGGCTGGGGGGAAATGCCGGGAAGCACCACCAGCAAGAAATCTGCAAATCCCCTTTCATCTGGGCTCAAACCCCTCTGTCCTGAGGATGACCAGACCTACTGTGCCTGCCTCACAGGGGATACAGGCCCACAGTTCTGCGCTGCCCCGAAGCTCTCTGCTTCTCCACCCTTTTCCTCTAGCGACCGAGTAGTTAGTTGACAACTTCCTGAATTGCTCTGCCCGCTTTAGACAAATCCCTGCTCGCCGGGTCTCCGGCATAGAAAGGCCTAAGCATCGTCCAAGTCAGGCCGGGCTGCCGCTGGGCTGTGGCCGGGCCTGGGGGCCCAGTTTAGGCCTCTCCGGGGGACCGGCAGAAGCCCTGCGAACCCCTCCCTTGGGCCCCGGGGAGCTGGCGCCGAAGAAGGTCTACTTACTCGTACCTTTCCTTGGCCTCGGCCGCCCGGTCGCGCTGCCGCCGGTTCTTGAACCAGTTGCTGACCTGTGTGGTGGTGAGGCCCGTGGCCTCCGCCAGCTCACGCTTCTCGCGGGGTGAAGGGTAGGGGTTGTGCGCGTACCACTCGCGCAGCACGCTGCGACTCTTTTCCTTGAAGCAGTAGCTGGTCTCCTCGCCGTCCCAGATGGAGCGCGGCAGCGGGAATTTGCGGCGCACGCGGTATTTGCCCACGGCGCCCAGGGGTCGGCCGCGCAGCTTCTCCGCCTCGATGTAGTGTGCCTTGAGCCACAGCTGCTGCAGCTTGGCGTGGTTGTGCGGCGAGAACTGGTGGCTCTCCAGGATCTTGTAGAGCTCGCGGAAGTTGCCGCGGTGGAAGGCCACCACGGCCTTGGCCTTGAGCACGCTTTCATTCTTGTGAAGGTGCTCGCAGGCGGGCAGCGACCACAGGAAGCGGCCCAGCCGCTCGATGTTGCCGCCCTGCTGCAGCACCTCGCACACGCACGCCACTTGCTCCTGCGTGAAGCCGAAGGTGGGCAGCATGGACATGGTGCCGGCTGCGTCCCCGCCCGCCCGCGCGCGCCCTCACCGGGCCGCGCGGTCCCGCATGGGAGCTTCCTCGCCGGGCCGTCCGGGCCGAGACGCGGGCGGGGCTGGCCCCCTGGCCCGGCACTGGCCCCCGGTGAGCCCCGAGTCACTGCCGTACGTCCCCGCGCCGGCCGCGGGTCCCACGAAGCTCCGAACCCCAACGGCCCGCGCGCCTGGCCCAAGCCCTCGCCCAAGCCCGGGGGCCGCCCGGGGCGCCGCTCCGCATGCTCCGCGCCCGCCCGCCGTTCCCTCGCTCGCTTCTCACTCGTTCTCCCTCCCGTCTAGCTGGCTCTCAGCTTTCTTAATAATATTATTCTAAGCGGGCATGAGGCGCGGCGGCCCGCGCCCTGATTGGTCCGGTTATCTGACCCGGGGCCTGCCAGCGCCAGACAATAGTCGGAGTCAAATTATTCGCCATGGAGACGCTGTCAGTCACTGGTAACCCGAGCCTCGGCGGGCCGGGCGGCTCCCCCCGGCCGGCTCCGCTGACAGATCGCCCCGCTCCGCGCAGAACTGAGGGCGGCTCTACTGGAGCCTGGGGCGCTCTGAGAGCCTGGGAGGCGGAGAGGGGCCGGGTTGGGGCCGGCGGCGGCGGAGATTGACGGGGCGGATGCCCAAAGAGGGAGGGAGGAGGAGGACAGGAGAGCGGGGGGAGCGGGCGAAGACGAAAAGGGGTGGATCGAGGTGGGGAGAGAAGAGGAGAGAAGGGAAGGCGGAGACCGTTTAAGGGGGTGTCCAGGAGGAAGGGGAGGGAGAGGGGTGGAAGGAGACTCCAGGGGAAGAAAGTTTGGGCAGCTTTGGCTAGGAGAGGGCTCTGCAGCCTCGCCCAGACCCTACAGGGTTCCCCTTCTCCCCAGGTCACCGCGTCCCTCCCAGGCTCTCTGTTCACCGGGCACATTCTACCCCGGCGCAGGCCAGTGGGATGGGAGAGTTTGGACGTGCTCGGGTGCCGCCCAAAGACTTGGCTTTTTCTGCTGACAGCGCCCCACCCCCATCCTAGAAACTCTGGACTCAGCGGTCCTCGAGGGAAAAGGGGAGGGAGTAGACGAAAGAAATGGGGAAGATTTGGCAGTGGCCGCAGGCGGACGCCGGAGAATCGACTTCCCGGAGGATCCCGCCTTTCCTCCCTCTCCTAGCCCCGCCGGCTGCCTGGCGGCCTGTACCGCCCCAACTCTGCGCTCTCTGCTCCTCGCCGGGCGGGGACTCAGACTTAACCCCACGGGTCCCACAGCCCGAGGAGCGCCAGGCAGTTCCGTGTGGCCTCTATGGAAGCTGACTCCGGCCGGCAGCTGCGACGCAGAACCCCGGACGGCGCAGACCCGCAGTCTGCCCACCGGGGCGGGGGAGAGGGGCGACGGCAGGGACTCTAGGACGGTGGTGGGGCTTCCCCGGTGGGTGGTCGGGGAGGAGAACGGAGGCAAGATTCCCAGTCCTCCCGCTTCGCCGCTGGGGATCGGCTCGGCTCCTGGCCACTCCAGCCTGGGAACCGGCTCGCTGAGCTCCGGGATGAGGTGCTTTAAAAGGGGGTCCTGTTTTTTGCTTCTTTGTCAGGGTGCCAATGGAAACATGTGGTGCTGGTCCTGTGGGAGAAGGGCTCGCACAAAGGTGGGAGAACTGAGGATGGGTGTGTTCTTGCTCTACGTTTTGAAAAGCCCGGGGCTTAGCTCCTTCCCGGACATGTCCTTTCCACTTCCTTCAGTTTCCTCCTCTTCCCCCCTCAGCTGCTGCAGGCCAGGAGCTCCTAGGGCCATACTCAGTGCCTGACCCAAGCCAGCACAAATCCTGGGCTCTGCCCTCAGCCAGTCTAGGGCTATGGAACCCGAGTCTAGGCCAGTTCCTTCTTTCCCACCCTTTTATGCTTTCTATGGAGTTTGTGCTAGGAGCGCGGAATGGGAGTCTAGAGCCCTGGGTTCAACTTTTGGTTTTGCTTGGTGTCTATGGTAAGGCATATATTTATGCCTTTGTGTTTATTTCCTTCTCTGCAAGATTTCAAAAATTTTCCCTGTGCTGCAGCATTCCGGAAGTCCTTTGGGAGTGTTGTAGGCATGAGAGAATGGAACCCTGGGACTCCTCTTAAGACTTTAGCTTCCAGGGGCCTACCCTGGCATGTTGAATGAGGCCACAGGGCTGACAAAGTAGGTCCCAAGCCAGTGCGGGTGCAGAAAGGGGAAGCTTTCTGCAGAAATCCAGGTGGCATCTTTAGAGTCTGTATCTGTGGGCTGGGAGGAGGTCTGCTGTGTCCAGGCCACCCTATCCAGAGTCCTATGCACTGCTGCACAGGGGCTGCCCCAGAGTTGGATCTAAGGACCCTGGGAGACATGGAGAAGAATTTACCGCAGACTGTGATGAGGTTCAAAGCCCAATTTGCTGACCTCCAACAAAAGTGCAACGTACTCTTTTCAGCACGTCTCCTTCAGCTACGTGGTTAAAAGGATTCACCTGGCTGGCTGGTCCCAGCCCTGGCAATGGCCATCTTACATCTTAGCGTGCTTAGGCTGGGGCTGCAGAGGAGCACCCTGGTCTGGTGTGGGTGAGTGAGACCAGGCAGTCACTTCCTGGTATGAGACCCTGGGCCAGTCCCCAGTCTGCTCTTCATTCTCTTCCACTATTAGATTGAAGCCTGGGTAATCTCTCAAGTTCCTGCTGGTTCTGGGATGGGGTGGGTCTAAGAACACTAACCCTGAAAAAGCATACAATCTCTGCAACCTCAGCCACAGCCTTCACCATGAATGTGCCACTCCTCTGACCCATGAAGCTTTAAGATTAAACTTCCCCCAGGACTGGGTCCCGCCTATGTTCAGTGAAAGCAGATTTTTCTGGAGCTTCAGACTCACTGTTCCTCCAAGTGCTGCCCTCTTTGCAGCCCCTGGGCCCTAAGCCCATGAATCAGACCTGCCAGGAGCCTCCAGGCAACACTAAGCAGCACAGAGAGAACAGAACAGACATGGGGCCTGCCACCGTGGATAACATACTGTGTGCCATATGAAAAGTCATTACAGAGGAAGCACTGAAAACCTGGAGCACCGTTACCCGATGTATGGGTGTGTGTCAATATGCCCCTCATTCTCCTCCTCCCCCATGTATGTAGAAAACTGGTTCCAGCACATCTGGGCCAGAACCTCTTGGTAGCAGCAGTAGCTGGGTTACATGCTGAATGAGGGTCTCCTCACACTCCTTAGCCCCTTCCCTGCCTGGCCCATTCCCCGATAGTCTTTGCCACAGAACAGAATACTTGGGAGGTGTCTGGATGAGGATTTAATAGCCAGCCTGAGCCAATGACAATCTCAGCCCCCTAGTTGCAGTGCCCAGAGCAATTGCTGAGAGGCCTACGGGGTGCCGAAACTTTTGGTTCTACCTCACTCCAATCTCCGGAATCCCTGTCCTCCTTCCTGTCCAAAGACCCATTCCCAAGAGGCTTGTGCTTGCTTTTTATCCAGCAAAAACGGGAGAAACTCCATGGCTAGGGGGAGAAACCTTTTCGGAACCATGGAAATTTGAGCTTTACTGAAACACCTCCTTTCACCTCCAAGCTTCCCTGAAGTCCCTGGGAGGATGAGACTTTCTGGAAAGCAGCAGCAGGGGTGGGTGGGTGCTCCCCAGTGATCTCAGGCTGATGGAATAGCTTTGTCCCAGACGAATTGTCAGGGACAGTTTGGGGTCTTTGTGCCTGGAGTTGGGCAGGAAGCGCCCAGGACAGAGCCAGAAGGCACCTACTGTCCGGCGCCCATTGGGCAGCCCAGGGCTGGCACACCGCGCCCAGCGGGTGCACTTCTGGGCAAAGGAAGAAGTCAGCCCACTGGCCTCCCGAGGGCTTCCCTGGTTTTGGGATGGGGCCGTTTCGCAAAGAATAGGGTAATCTAGGAAGAAGGAGCTGCTCTCTGGCTATTTCCAAGGCCAGCGGATGGGTAGGCCTTTGTTCTGGGCAAATCAGAAACCTTGTTTGTGACAGAGGGAAAAAGAGAAGGGGGCGGGTGCTCGGTGCCAAGTCAGGGGACCAGAGCTTTTTTTTTTCGGTTTGTTTTTGATCTTTATTTTTCCAGCCTATAAAGGCGGCAGAAATCCCCTGGGTAGACTCTGGCCCTGGCGCCGCCCGCCTCGGGCGCTCCATGCTGCTCCGCACCTCGGGCTCTGGGATGCTCCGGCCTGGATGGAGGCTCTCCGCCCTCTCCCAGCTCCGAGCGCCCCAGCCGACATGGGCCTGGCGCGTTCCCCAGACAGTCCCGGAGTTCTCTGGGCCTGGGCGACGTGTTTCGTTGAAAGCGGGCAGGTGGTGCCGGGCGGGGCTGCGCTGAGGCTCCGGTGCCTCCCCACCTGCCCCTCGTACCTGCCGGTCTGTCGGGTCCCGGCGGACGCAACCAGCTACTCGCAAACCCTGCACCAGCGGTTTTCCGTGTTGTCCTAAGAGGGGCAGGTCAGGGCGAGGCCAGTCGGCTCACACGAATTCTCTGTGTCGGAGAACACGCCCCGCGACGTTCCGAGCCCGGGCAAGGTTGAGAGGCGCTGGGCTCCGGGCGGTCGCACTCTTGGAACCGCGCGAACCGCGGCGTCGCCCGCGCCGCACGTGGCTGGGGCAGTCACAGGCCCCGAGAGCTGGAGCAACGGGGTCACCGCCACCCCTCTGCCCTCCAGGCCTTCACCTTGAGACCCACGCGGCAGCCTGGAGGGCCCACAAGAGCAAACGGTTTAGAGGCCGCGGGCTCACGAGGGATCTTGTTCAAACGAAAAGAACGAGCACAGGGGCTCGGGGCCAGCCTGGAGGCCGGCACAGAGGCGAGTCGGCCCGGGTGGCGCCGGGACCAGGCGGGATTTGGGGCGGGTATCCGGGCCCGGGCGCTGGCAGCCTCCCTGCGACCCCCGGCCCTGCGTCCCCGCCCGCGGTCCCGCCTTAGTCCTGGAGTCCCTTCCTGGGCCCCTTCGCCTGGGTGCGGAGGGGCGCGGGCGCGGCGGGCAGGGCCACGGGGCGAGGGGACGGGCTCGCGGCTTTGGGTTCAGGGAGCCGCGGAGCTCCACCGCCGGGTTGTTTTGCAATGGGGCTTTGGAGAGGTTGCGCGTCCCGGGCCCCATGGCTCCGCCGGGTCTGCACGCCAGCGCCCCCACGCGGCGGGCCCAGAGTTCAGGCCGGCGGGGCTGCGCGCTCGGCTCCCCGCAGGCCTGTAGCCCAGGAGGGAGAGGAGGGAGAGGACGCGGAGAGGGCCCGCTGGTTCTTCCCTCCTCACCCCAGCACTGACCCGCCTGTGCGCTGGCACGGAGGGCTCGAAAATCGGGGCGCGTCCGCGAAGAGCGAGACCTCGGAGACAGACACACAACCCAGAGGTGCACTAGGTTGCCAGACGGTCTGATCACAGGATTCTTGGGGGGATAGACGCTGGCTTTTCTCCATCACACGTTTCCCCTGCAACGTCTGGGTGCCCAGGAAATGTTTGAATGGATGCCTGAATGACCAATCGGGTTTGACTGACAGCAACAGCTGGGAAGTGACCCGGCCAATAGGAGAATGGCCCTCTTCCTCCTCTTTCCTCCCGCTCTTCTCTCCCAGCCCCCCCTCTTACTCTCCTGTTCCTTGGAGGGGAAGTCTCAGAGAGTGGACGCTTTCCTTCAACCAGGAGCCCTGGGTGCTGGAGTCTCCCCAGGGCCCGAGGAGCTACAGACTGAACTCACTGCCCTTAGAAATTCCAGGTCTAACTGCCTATAGCATCACCAGGTTCCCATTCTTCTTGGCTCAGACCCACCACTTTCTGCAGGAAAGAAAGTTTTCTAAGTAGAGTTACTCCAATTTTTCTGGGGCTGCCGTCTTCAGTTGCATTTCCTTACTTTACAAAAATCCTCTGTAGGCAACGAGTAGATCAGGTTTCCTGTTAGAAGTGACTTTTTTTCTTCTTTCCATTACCTGAAAGAAACTCTATCCTGTCGTAGAGATTCCTGGCTTGGCACTTCTCTCATGTGGTATCTATTTTTATTACCATTAATTACAATGCATCAGCCCGACTCATCAGTGATACCCCCTCCTGCCTGGCTGGTGACTACTGTTCGCTTTACCCATTTGGGTAGCGCCTGGGCAAGAGGCAACTCCCACCCGGCCATTGGAGGCAGCCACATAAGGGTTTCTACCGAGTTCTACATTTTTAAAGGGAACCTAGAAAAAGCCAGCATTGTTCTTAACTTGGAAATCCAATACTTTACTTTGTTGTCTCTGAATTAAGGCTAAAACCCAGGGGCTGTTTCTTGTAGAAGAATATGTGCTAATTAATTTATGCACAGTGCCGTGAGAACACTCTAATGAAGCAGGTAGAAACAAGATGCAGCCCTGCTGGGTAGGGCAGATCGCTCAGGGAAACCTGCGCATGAGCCTGCAGCAGTGGGACCTGGTCAGAGTTAGCTGCAAAGAGGTGTCTTTCCAGTAGCACTGTGGTATTCTGGTTTGAGGTGACAGGTAGAGTCAGCTCTCTTTGTTCCAACTCTTGTAATGTAGTCACACTATTATAAATGCTGTCACACACACAGAGAAAGGTACGGTGAGTAGAGTGGAGAATGTGGGCTTTGGTGTCAGACAGGCCTGGGTTCTTGACCCAGACCCACCCCTTTAGTAAGTTACTCAATCTTGGAGCCTTATTTTGTGCATTCGTAAAATGGGGATTTTAGAGCCCAGTGTTTGGCACGCAGTAAGCATTCAACAAATAAATTGTTGAATTGAATACAACCACTTTGGGGATTAGAGAGAAAGTTTATGAAACATCTGGTACATAGTAGATGCTTAGTAATTGACGCTTTTGTCACTAGGGCTGTGATCATGATAGTGTGTTTAGAGTTGCATACAATTAATGTTATTTCAGAAAGCACCTGACTTCAATATCAAAAAATGGATTGACTTTCCAGGTGACAATTATTATCAAGACTCTATTAGATGCCCAGACCTGGACTAAGCACCCTGGGAAATGCTGAGATACGTGACTGGAGGTCCTCGGGGGCAGTTGGAAAGACAGGAATGGGTACAACAGGAGACCACCTTGGCGTCTGCGGTTCACTATCCACAGCAACCGTGGAAAGAGTGTGGGCTTTGGAGTCAGGCTATCTGGGTTAAATACTGCCCCTGCCACTTAATAACAGTGTGACCAAAGGTAAGCAACTTTATCTTATGGAGTCAGTTTCCTGGTCTTGGTAGATGGCAGAGGGAATAAAAGTAGGTGTAACTGGCTGGGTGCAGTGGCTCACCCCTGTAATCCCAGCACTTTCGGAGGCAGAAGCAGGCGGATCACTTGAGGCCAGGAGTTCAAGACCAGCCTGGCTAATATGGAGAAACCCCATCTCTGGTAAAAATACAAAAATTAGCTGGGTGTGGTGGCACAAGCCTGTAATCCCAGCTACTCAGGGGGCTGAGAACTGCTCAACCCCAGGAGTTGGAGGTTGCAGTGAGCTGAGATCATGCCACTACACTCTAGCCTGGGTGACAAAGCGAGATTCTGTCTCAAAAAAAAAAAAAAAAAATAAGATGTAACCAACACCTTGCTTCCAGGGGTTTGAGAAGAGGAAATAAGCTAATGTATATGACAAGGCTGGATTCCCTGTGTGGAGACAAACTGGAGAACTTCAGCTGCCATCATGTTTTACATTATCTGATAGTATTTCCAGGATTTTGGTCACATTAGAATAATTCTCAGAAAGCAAAAGGCAGCTGCATACAAATGTAGTATTGCATATTTCGATGGGGTTGAGATGAAGTTTTCTGCTTCTATTGTGTTTGTTCTCAGGACTGAATACAAAGCAGAACTCATACTGAAGGCTCTGTAGGTGTGTGTGGACTGGGATTGTGACCAAGATAAAATAAAGTGACTCCTCTTCCCTTCCCTAACTCCATCCTCATCAGCCCCTGAGCCCTCTGAGCCTTGAGAGAGAGCCAGGTGTATCTGTTGAAATAAAAAATAGCTTCCACTAATAGAGTATCTTCTATGCACAAAATGGTATATTAAGGTAGAGTGGGTACAATAATCCTGTAATGTGGGTATTATCAGCATTTACAGGTGAGGAGACAGGTTCAGAGAGGTTAAGCAACTTGCCCAAAGTCATACAGCTCATAAGGAGCCTCTGGAATTTCAGTCTTTGATGCCAGAACCCGTAGTATAAACCATAAGCCTTGCTGCCCTTAGTTCCTCTGTAACAGCAAAAGTAATGATAGGAAGAAGTTACTGAATTCTTATTATGTGCTAGGCATTGTGCTATTTCACATAATCTCAAGTACCGGTATGAACTGGATGTGATTAGCATCTCCATCTTACAGGTGATGACGCTGGGGCTCATAGAGGTAAGGTGTAAGTCTGGCAGCTATGCTAGAGCTGGGTTCTCGAACCCAGGCCATTTGGCTGCAGAGTGCATGCTCTGACCCACTACACTGGGGCCTGGTTTTCTACCAAGCTCTCCTCCTTCACCCACGAAGCCATTCCTCTCTCTGAGCTTGGGTTCCCAGACACTTCCAGCTTCCAATGGTTGAGAGAGTTCCTTCTAGGTATCAGGAAGATAGGTCTAGGTTCTAGGAAAAGCCATCCCTTGTCCTCCTCAAGTCTCAGCCCCCCAGGCCCTGAGATTTTCTGAGATTGGTGACCTTCAGTCCCTGTTTTCGCCTGGTGAGAAGGAGCCCACTGTGACCAGGGCAAACAATCCCGCAGCATCCTCAGCCCCACAGCTGGGAAAGTCTGGACATGCTCATGGCCCCATTGAGTTGGTATCCATTATGCCTGGGGTGAGCCTGGGGGACTCAGAGAATTTGAATGTCTTAGTCAAGGTACTTTGAAGCACAAGTCATAGAAATCCACTGAGACAAACAGAAGACACAAAAATAAATGTATTTTAAGGATTCAGGGGTAGCATAGCACATGCATTCAAGGGTAAGGAACACCATTGTCCTTAAAAGAAGTGGAACAGAACCTGGGAAATAGTTGGAAATCAAGGCAGGCACACTTTCCCCCACTCTGGATGGGAGAATGGTCTCTTTTCTGTGTTCCCTTCCAAGCGTCTTTGTTCTTCTCTCTCTGAAGAGCAACTTGCCCTGGGTGCTTCCCTAGCCTTTGTGTGTCCTCCTAGTTCAGGCACTCCAGAGGCACTCAGAAATCTCTGCCCCTGCTCCAAATTCCTGAGGGAGGGTATGAGGGTGGAGAGAGAGAGAATCTTATAGGCTCCTCTTGGGTCAGTGATTCCCACTCTGATCAGTGATATTCAGGTTGGTGGGTGGGAGGGATTCTATAGCCCACTGCCCAATCAACAGGGACTGTGAGCCCAGACTTGGAAGAATGAAGTGACTGTACCACTGCGATTCATGTCTGCTATCAATGTGAGAGTCTAGTGCTTGGTACATAAGACGTATTAAATAAATATTGATTTCCTTTCTTCCCCCTTCCTCCTCGCTCCCCAATGTCAGTCCTTTTCCAAGTTGCCCATCACAAATCAGCCAGAACAACCAATTTAGAACACAGATAAGATTGTGCCACTCTGTCTTTACATTCCTCTCATGGCACCTATTAACCTCAGGATGGTATTTAGCCTCCTTACCATGGCTAATGGGGCCCTTTGCTATTGGACTTTGCACATATGAGCAGCCTACCTCTCCCCACTGCCCACTTCTTCCTCAAGGCTTCAGCCAGCCTGAATAATTTGCAGTTCTTGGACTCTTCCACCCCTTCTGCAGCTGTGCATCACCACGACCTATGCTCCTGTAGAGAAGCAGAAGCCCCAGCCTCATTGACTCTGGGTTCAGTTGTGTGACAGGCTTTGATCAATGAAATGTGAGTGGATGAGCAGAAGCTTTTAGAGACATTGCAAGTTGCCACCATGACGCTTCCTTCTTTGTCCTGCATACCCCAGATAGGTGCTGCTCCAGCCTGTGTCACAGAATGAAAAGGAAGGTGGTGCAGAGCTCCATCCTGAAGCAAAGTCACAGATGCCCTGCAGCCTACGTTCAATATGAGCGAGGAATAATGTGTATGATTGTAAACCTCTGAGGTTTGGGGGTTGTTGGTTACTATGGCAAAGCTGAGTAATGTATTTCCCTCTCTCACCTCAAATCTCCCTAGAAATGTCTCCCTCCTTTCCCAATCTCTTAATCTTTCAGGACTCAGATTAGATGTTACTTTCCCTGGAAAACTTTCCTGACATTCTTCTTCCCCAGGTCAGGCCATGGCCCTACTCCAGTTCCCATATGACCTTCCTGTCCTCACCCCCAGCATCACACTTATGTCACAGTGCTCTCACCCCTTGATTTCACACCTGATGGCACCATGACTGGGAGCTCCTTGAAGGCAGGGACTATATCCTTCTGGTTCCTCACTCCTCACCTTTTAAGTCCTCAAAAAAGATTTGTTGAAAAAGGAATGAATTTAGTTGTATGAGTAATCTTCTACCTGTGTGGTAGATTTTGTTTTCTAAAGATGACTACAACATCTCCCATCCCATGTGCTTTTCTTTTCTTTTCTTCTCTTTTTCTTTTCTTTCGTTCTTTTTTTTTTTTTTTTTGAGACACAGTCTAGCTCTATCACCCAAGTTGGAGTGCAGTGGTGCAATCTCGGCTTACTACAACCTTCACTTCCTGGGTTCAAGCGATTCTCATGCCTCAGCTTCCTGAGTAGCTGGGATTATAGGCACATACCACTACACCAGTCTAATTTTTATATCTTTTTAGTAGAGGTGGTGTTTTACCATGTTGGCCAGGCAGGTCTCAAACTCCTAGCCTCAAGTGATTGGCCTGCCTCGGCCTCCCAAAGTGCTGGGATTACAGGTGTGAGCCACCGCACCTGGCTCCACATGCTTTTCTTTTAATGTGACTTTGACATTGCTCTAGTTGAGAGGTGTGTGTGTGTGTGTTTCTCTTAAATCTGGGTGGCCTTGTAAATATGGCAGAAGTAACACAATGTGACTTCTGAGGCTAGGTCATGAAAGGCAGTACCGTGTCCGCCTAGTTCTCTTGGGACACTTGTTCTTGGAACCAGCCACCATGCTGTAAGGAAGCCCAAATAGCCTGTGAAGGGGCCCATGTGCAAAAGAATTAAGGCCCCTTAGGCTTGAACTCTCAAGCAAGCACCAGCACCAATTTGCCAGGCATGTCAGTGAGCCATCTTGAAAGAGGATCCTCCACCTCCAGTCACGGTGTCCCAGCTGATGCCACAAGGAACATAGAGAAGCCATTCCTGTCAAGCCCTGGCCACATTTTATCCATAAATAAAACAAAAAATTGCCCTTGTTTTAAGCCACTAGGTTTTGGAGTGATTGCTACACAGCAATACATAATCAGAACTTTTGGCTTTCCTCTTAGTAATCCAGTTTTCTCGTGGATCTGAGTACCTGTCCTGAGCTCCAGACCCCTGCCTTGGGCCTTAAGAACTGTCTCCCCTGGGGATCAAATATTATTCTCACACCCCTAGCCACTAGCTGGGGCAACTCTCGGATGGATCTTAGCCTCTGGAACTCTGTGGCTGCCCCCTATCTGGCTTCAGGTAATACATTCCCCAGTGTCTGTTCCCTACACTAGGGGCAGGCGCAGTGCAAAGGTATCACAGGGAAATGAGCATAGGCAGAGAACAGATTCAGACTGGGAAGGTCATGAGCCCTTCATAGGGTGAGATTTCCTCTTGGGAAAGGCTTACATTAAGCCTACAAGGTTATTAAGTGATGTCTTTTGCAGCCCTAGCAAGACTATTTAGAATTCTTTTTAAACTTTTCTTCCTTTTTTTTGAGACAGGGTCTCACCCTGTTGCCCAGGCTGGAGTGCAGTAATGCGATCATAGCTCATTGCAGCCTCAAACTCCTGGGTTCAAGCAATCCTTCTGCTTCAGCCTCCTAAACAGCTGGGGCTAATTTAGAGTTCTTGCTGAAAGGATATAGAAAGGGACTCACACACATAAACACACACATAGAATCAAATACGAATGTACATGCACACATGTAAGTAAACATACATATAGGCAAGTATCTGTCTCAACACATACATATAAAAATACATTATAATTAGTAGGAATGATGGATATGCATATTCATAGTCACATGCAGATATAATTTCTGAAGCCATGGGGACTGGTTTGCCTTCAATGTGCCACATGTTTCTGGGTCACTCCCAAACCAGTTCTTTATAAGGGACTTTAGTCACAGTTTCTAGTGATGGTTTTGGGGGAGGGAGACTTGGTTGGTAAGAACAGTAGAACCTGAAACTAGAAAATGTAAACAAACGGCCAGGCACTGTGGCTGACACCTGTAATCCCAGCACTTTGGGAGGTCGAGGCGGGTGGATCGCGAGGTCAGGAGATCGAGATCAACCTGGCCAACATGGTGAAATCCTGTCTCTACTAAAAATACAAAAATTAGCTGGGTGTGGTGGCACGTGCCTATAATCCCAGCTACTCAAGAGGCTGAGGCATGAGAATCGCTTGAACCCAGGAGGTGGAGGTTGCAGTGAGCCGAGATCACACCATTGCACTCCAGCCTAGTGACAGAGCGAGACTCCGTCTCAAAAAAAAAAAAAAAAAACAAAAAGTAAACAAACTCAGTTACTGAACTTTCCCCCTTCTCAATAGCTAGCGCTCTTAATTGGGAAAATTTGTAAGCTCAATCTGTTATAATCTTTGTAGTTGGGACTGTGGTCATGTAGCACATGGCTGGGGCTGTGGTCATTCACAAGGAATCTGTAATTTCTACTACCTTTTTTCTAGCCTATATTTAATCTGAGAAGTTTCTAGGAGGTCATACGTCACCTACGTCAGTACTTACAATGCCCACCAGCAATTCAATCCAATCTAATCTCATTCCATTCCAGTCAATGGACAAATATATACTTCTTTTCCCACAGTATAAATCTGAGGAGTATTTACGCTGCCTCTACTCTATACCCAGCTCTGTGTTAGGCTGTCAGAGGGGGAAGGCTAGCTGGTCAACAAAACTCACCTGTGTGAAGCAGAAGAGAGCAAGACCACCCACCACTCCTCACCACCATGATTGGGACACAGGTGTGCCTAGGTGGGCAAGGAAGGCTTCTCGGATGGGGAAGGTGGTCTTGGTCTGGGGTTTGAACAAGGAGAATTAGGATAGGGGAGGTGTGCCCCTGAGGCTGAACAGGTCTGGGCGAACAGGAGGAAACCATACTATTTCCTTTCTCAGCTCAGAGACTAGGCACATCTTGGCCTTGTGTTTGCTTCTGACTTTGGATCAAAGGAAGCAGGGAACCCCAGAGTCTCCTATTTAAGACTATAAGCTCCGTGAGGTCAGCGTGTGTGGCTGTCTTGTTCGTCATGGGGTCCCCTGCGTCTGGCTTGGCACCTGGTGTGTGGCTTCCTTGCTTCTTCTCTTCCCAACAATTCTCCACCGCAGTCCTAGTGACTTTCAAAATGTGTCACATTACTTTGATGTTTAAAATTATCTGATAGTTCCCCACTGCCCCCAGCACAAACTCCCTATGGAGATCTCCAAGGGCGAAGGTGATCCAGCCCCTGCTTCTCTCTCTCACTGCTTCTGATGCTCTTTCTCTGTCTCTTTGCTCATCATGCTTCTGCTGCCCTAGCTTCCTTCCTGTTCTTCAAATGTGCCAAACTTGTTCCCACCTCTAGGCTTTTACCTTGAGTGTCTCCTGCTCTCTCCACTGTATAATTATGTTTTATCTTCACACTTACCACCATCTGAAAGTATCATGCTTGTCTGATTATCGTTGACTGTTTCGTTCTTAGAGTATAAACTGCATGGCAAAAGGGACTTTGCCTGATGGACTCATGGCTATATCTCCAACATCTGGAACAGTGCATGGCACACAGTAGGTCCTCAATAAATGTTTGTTGAAGAAAGGAATGACTAGCAGTATTATGGTGCACAATGACTTGTAAATGACTGCAGGCTTCAGTTCCAGCCCTAACTGGGTCAGGTGAGGAGGGACTGCTGCCTTCCTGATCTACCTTAGCCGTACCTGAGAAAGCCTGCTAGGCTTTGTGTTTGTCGCCTATCTCCCTCCAGGTGTCCAAAGTGAGAGATTTCTGGGAAAAGCTGAAATACGTAGAAATATACAGAGTCAACCAATACACATTTACTCTGGCCATATCAGATGATGGTGATGGATGGCAAATACAGTCTGGTTGAAGAGAGAGGACTGGTGCTAACAATATCATCTGAGAATCATGCTGGACAGGATGAAGTTAATGCATAGAGCAGTGGTTCTAAACCTTTTGAGGTCAGGGACCCCATTGAAAACATGAAGAAAATGTGTCTTCCCAAGAAAATTCTCACATGCACATAGACATGAAAGGCAGCCTTCAATGCAGGGACTCACAGACCCCAGCATCCCTCCACCAGCCCTGAGCTCACCCCTGGATCCATGGTGGGGGCAGGCTGACAGAGCTTCTAGATCCACCAGTAGAAGGCCTCCTGCTTCTTCCTCGGGAGTCCTAGCACCCCTTTGGATCTAGAACAGGGCGTTTGTGTCCCTTCATAGCCACTAGTATGACAGGCATGAGAATGGGAAATAATCTTCACACTCCCTCACCCCATCCTACTGCACCAGGGGTCTGCCATCTCATCTAGGGCAGAGGCCATTCTTAGCCTTTAGTCAATACTGTCGGTTTCCTCAGACATCAAATACTTTTCCTTTCTCATAACTGTTCATAATTTACTGGATTAAATAATTTCTCCCTCCCTTCCTTTGCCCAGCCATAATGAACACAGAAATGGTCCAGCATCTAGCATGGCAACTTGTACCCCGCAGAAGCTTTTTAAAAAGTCTTTTTGTTAATTTATAAATAGTAGCTGTCTTTTATTGAGTGCTCACTATGACACTGAACAAGGGGCTTGAGAAGAAGGATTTGTGACTCCCCTGACAACTCTCTAAGGTGGAGACTGCCATTAGGCCCATTTTACGTAATGGAAAGTGGGTACTTGGGGTGCAGGGAGGTTAAACTAGGGACAGAGAAGGGAGTTGAAGCAAGGTCTGCTTGCAGAGTCTGGGCATGTGGCCACTGTCCTGTATTGCTACCCTGAGCAGCAGGACTGTTGAATTCATGTTGAATGCACTGACCATGCTTTGGATTCGGCAGGAGCAGAAGGTAGGAGGGGAGAATCCAGGTGCTGCTTGGTGGCCAGGTGGGCTAGTCAATGCCCACATGACCAAGCCAGGCTGCCAGGCCAGGATGCTTCTCCCCTCCTCCTGGCATGGTCCTGGAGCCCGGGCCACCTGATCTGGGATGCAGCGACGGGTGGATGCTATGACACTTGCTGGTATTCTGTATCAGTGGTAGCCAGGGCAAGAGGGAAACTGCCTCAGTGGCAGAGCTGGCTCATTCTGGAATGGAGATTGATTTCCCAGTGTCCCCTCCTGCCTCTCCGGAGCTGGTTGGTGTCAGGGAGGATATTTTTGTAAGGATGAACTGTTCTTGAATGTTTCCTGCAGCTGCTGGCCCAGGTCTCCCTCCAGCAGTCACAGGGCCTGTTATGTACACCTCCCTTTGCTTCCCAACATATTCAAATGAGAAGAAGTCCCCTCTCTGAAGAGCCCCTGGCTCTCAGGAACCAGCGGGATGCAAGAGTGGGAGCAGGCACGGTGGCTCCCCACCAGCCACCTGTGGTGTGGGGGCTCAAAAGAAGCTGTGTATTTACAGATTCTTCCTTTAATACAGGGCTGCAGCTGTTTTGAGGAAGGATTAATTTTCATCTTTCACCAGCTCAGAGAGGTCCTGGGCAGACATCAGGGAGAAAGAGTGACAATTTGGGGAACCCTAAGAGGTTTTGATTTATCTGGTCTCAACTTTCTCATCTATAAAATGGGGTTGCCAAGTCCATCAACAGGAGGTGCTCTTTCTCCATCCCTGACTGGTTAGAAGGTTGGCAGAGTAGCTCACACTTCAGGTGCCCAGATTTGACATGGCTGGGCTCCGAGCCTGGCACAGTGACATCACAAAGTCAGCTGGACCCTCTGTGCTTCCTGCATGACAGAATGAAAGTGGCTTTTTTTTTTTTTCATTTGGAATCCAAGATGCTGAGTCATTCACCAGCTCAGAAGAGGAGATTTTGTTGTAAAACAATCCAAAAGGCCCCTCCCCGCGTCCTTGCCCAGCACTCCAGGCCTCGCCCCAATGTTAATTCTGAGGGGATGCCTCCAGGAAAGCATGACAGCAGATGGAGAGGGCGGGGCTGGATGAAGTAGATTCTGGGAGGAAAACCAGGGTTTCAGAGTTTCCTAGGGGTGAACCCAAGCCAGGCATGTGCCCTGGGGGACCACGTATACTTACTTTCTTCAGATTCTATGTTATTCTTAAAGTCTTTATTGATCATCTATTGTGTGCCCAGCCATGTGCTTGTCTTTGGGGACCCTGAAAGGGAATACAGTTCCTAACCTAGATGACCTGACCATTTAGCTGAGGGTGGGGGAGACAAATGTAGCTCACCAGATACGGTGCACCTCCCGAAGAGTATGTGCTCAGTGCTTGGTGTGTGTTACAGGCAGGCCCGGAGAAGGTGGGGGGAGCTGGATGAAGGGAAAGGGACTTGGAGAAGAGGCAGAGGGCACAGCGGAGGGCATTCCAGGAAAAGCTGTCAGTCTGAGCAAATGAGTAGGAATGGTTTTGATTAGTAGTGGTGTTAAGGACACTGTGATGAGATTAACCAGAATTGAAGTAAATGGCAAACATTGGAGCAGTGTAGGGTATGGATTATGGAGGACTGGCTATCCACCGAAGACTTTTGAGCAGGAGAATATCTGAATAGAGTTGATTTTGGCTGCATAGCAGGCATGCAGGATGGTGCAGGTCCCCAGGTTTCTGAGTCTAAGCCCTAACTTAATCCTGAGTTGTTGCTCTCCTGGCTTTCTAAATGTAGCAACCATCCATCTATCCATTCATTTATTATCGATCTATTTATCCATCTATTAATTACTCATCCATCTATTTATTCATCCACTCATTCCCTTATTTTCCTCTTCACTGGCCTCTAGTGTAAGATCCTTCTCTAGGCCAGAGACACTGTGTTCCCTGCCATATTCCTGGTTTCTAGCATCGTTCCTGGTACATAGTAGGCCCTCAATAAATATTTTTGAGCAAATTCTCTCGCTGAGCATTCACTCACACATGTACACTTTGCACAGGATATTGAGTCCATTCTGCTCTACTTTTTGGGGGAGCCATAGCTGGTTATTTGAGGGGGTCCTAGAATGGTTCTTCAGTATCCCAACAAAGTCCTAGAGAGATCCTTTCCCCACTAGTTTAGACAAGAGCCTTGAGCTTTGAGAGGAGACCTGAAGGCTAGTCCCAGTTTTGCAAAGACAAAGTATGTGGCCTTGAGCACTAACATTTTCCCTTTGTTTCTTTGGCAGATAAATGAATAAGCTTGGGATAAGAGAGCTTTGAGAGTCATCAGACTCTGACAGGTTATAATTCTATAACCTTAATCCTTCTCATTATAGGGCAAATAAAACTATGTTAAAAAACTGTTGGAAATCAGGCAAGGTGGCTCACACCTGTAATCTCAGCACTTTGGGAGGCTGAGGCAGGAGGATTGTTTGAGGTCAGAAGTTCCAGACCAGCCTCGGCAACAAAGTGAGACCCTGTCTCTACCAAAAATAAAAAATTATCTGGGTGTGATGGCGCACACCCGTGGTCCCAGCTAGACAGGAGGAAGAGGCAGGAGGATCACTTGAGCCAGGGAGGTTGAGGCTGCAGTGAACCATGGTCATGCCACTGCACTCCAGCCTGGGTGACAGAGCAGGACTCTGTCTCAGAAACAAGAAACAAAACAAAGCAAAAAACAGCAAACCTGCTTGGATTCAATCAAAGGAAAGTTTCCCCAAATTCAGCAATTTAATAGGTTTCTCAGCAACATGGAGTCTCCATAGCTGAGTAGCTAAGTGTTTTTCAACCCTGGAATAGAATTATCTTCTGGTAGTCCCAGTATGAATGCAATACCCCACTCATAATTAGGAGAATCCAGCAGTGCCCAGAAAGCAACTTAATTGCTCTGAGACTGAGTTCCTTTCCCTGATTAAGTCACTTAATAAATGACCACATCAAGTAGCCTGAGGCTGGACATTTCCAAGGAGGATCTAAATCCCTTTTAATTTTCAGGGCTGTGTGCTTTCCTTTTGCAGCCTCGAGCTGCAGTGCCCAGCCTGCCATCTGAGAAGCATTTCTTCAAGGTGTCAAAAGGATGTGTCATGCATTTGGAACGAGGGCTAAATTAAAAGGCCGTACGACACATAGTTACATAAATTGAGGTATTTGGGCTGTTTCCTCCAGTATAAACTACTCATTTGGCAGTTTTTTCTGGAGCAGAAACACAGTGTGCAGTGGGACACTTGCCTGACGTTTACACCTCCCCACATGCATACGCATGCACAAGTGCACACACATGCGCAAGTGTACACACATGCAGTCAGGAAGGGAAGTGCAGGATCCCCTGAATTGGACATATCCATTTGGCCATATGGATTTTGTTGCTCAGAAGAGGCAAAGATTGGTGACTGATAACTTGGCACTTCTAATTTTCATACTTGCTTCTGGGAATGGCCCTGGGACTTGGTCCCCTTGCCTCTTGAGAGACTTGGGTTCTGTGATGAACTCATATAGCATGTTATATTTCTTATTTTTATTTTTATGATTTTTTTGAGACTGAGTCTCACTCTGTCACCCAGGATGGAGGGCAGTGGCGCGATCTTGGCTCACTGCAACCTCTGCTTCCTGGGTTCAAGCAACTCTCCTACCTCAGCTTCCTGAGTAGCTGGGATTAAAGGCATGCGCCACCACGCCTGGCTAATTTTTGTATTTTTAGTAGAGACAGGGTTTCACCATGTTGGCCAGGCTGGTCTCGAAGTCTTGACCTCAAGTGATCCACCCTCCTTGGCCTCCCAAAGTGCTGGGATTACAGGCGCGAGCCACTGCACCCAGCCATATATTTCTTAACTCGGAGAGGAGAAGAAACTTAAGTGATTTAATCCAACTGCCTCAATTTTAAGATGAAGACACCAGTGCCCACTAGTGCATAGCCCGAGAAAGCCAGAGCCAGTGCCAGGCCCCAGGTTTTTTGGTTCTTTATACCACATTCCCTCCCCACCAAGGTTTAGAGGGCATCATTTGCACCAGTCAGCAAAGTGACTGTCCTTGTCACTTTAGCTTTTGCTTTGCCTGGCAACTGGGCTGATGGGCACAGCCCCAGCCACACAGCAAAGGCACTGTAGTAGCTAGTCTCCCCAAAAGCCTCCCACTATGGGTCAACCCTCCCAGAATTCACACCAGTCCCTCCTACACTAAATCTGGGCTGGCCCTTTTAATCACCAGAATGCAGCAGAGGTAAGTAACACTTTGTGACTTCTGAGGCTGAGTCATAGAAAGCCTTGCAGCTTCTTCCTTGGACTCTGGAAACACAAGTTCAGGGAAAAGCCGCTACTGTGTAAGAAGTCTGATACTCCAGACTGCCATATTGTGAAGGAGCTCAAACTAGCCATGTGGCAAGAATGTGTGGGATGTGTGGGGGCCATCATCCAGTGTTCCCACTATCCCTGCCCAGGTGCCAGACATGTGTGTAAAGAAGCCTTTTGGGACACAGCCTAGTTGAGGCTTCAGATGTCTTTAGCTCCTGCTGACATCAGAAGAGACCCAAAGTGAGAACTGCCCAGCTGATCCTATGCAACCCCCAGAACCATGTGAAATTTATTTATTTAATTTTATTTTTAAATTAAAAAAGTAAAAAAATTTTTAAGAGACAGGGTCTCTTAAAATTCTGCTACCCAGGTTGGAGGGCAGTGGCACAATCATAGCTCACTGCATCACTCAAACTCCTGGGCTCAAGCAATCCTCTTGCCTCAGCCTCCTGAGTAGCTAGGACCAAAGGCATGTGTCACCACACCCAGCTAATTAAAAAAAAATTTTTTTTTTGTAGAGACAAGATCTTGCTATGTTGCCCGGGCTGGTCTTGAACTCCTGGCCTCAAGCTATCCTCCCACCTCAGCCTCCCAAAGTGTTGGGTTTAGACGCATGAGCCACTGCACCAGGCTAAGAAATTTAAATAAATTGCTTTAAGCCACTGTTTTGGGGGTGATTGTTACACAGCAACAGACACTGGAACTGGCACGAACGCATGCCATGGGTTCTCTGCTCTGTCCTGCCTCTAGTCAGGACCCCCTTTTTCCTTTCCTTCTGTACCCAGTCCCCCTCTCCCTCATCCCGGAGTTATCCCAGCTCAGATAGGCCACAAGACAGAAAATTGAGAGCAGACTGCCTTGGCTACTGATTTTACCCCAGGGAGAATACAAGTGCTTGTGGCCAGCTGAGAAGTCCCAGCTGCTCACAGCATGCTCTGAAACTGTGGGCTCCGGAGAGGCTGACGGCTTTGCTTCTACTTCATGCCGGTAAGAGACTTCTTCCACCACCTGCCAGGAGCTTTCAGATATTTTGCCATGTGCATTTCTGCTCTTAATCTAGTTTTGAAGGTTGTTTTTTCTTTTCATTTAAAAAAGTCACCGTTTTCTCCAATTAAACTCTTACTGGGTGGGAGAGCCTAGGGCCAGCACTTCTGAGACAAATGAGGGTGAAAGAGCTTCTGAGCCAAGCTCAGCTTCCAACCCAGGAATGAATGAACCTGCGGAGAGAAAACCACCAAACCTCCTGGGCCCTTTGCCCAGACTCAGTACCATGCTCTGTCAACCTCTTCCTGGCCCTACAGGGTGGAGGGACCATCTGAGCTAAATGGAACAGGAGTTTACCTCTGAAAAGCCTGGACAGTGAGAGACAAGTTTCTGGGCACCCATTACTGCCAGGTGCTGAACTGAATGCCTTCTCCTTAGGTATTTAATTGAAGGCTCCCTGAGATCGGGGGCACCTGGCCCTGGATTGACCTCAGGCTGAACTTTGGAATGCTGTGATCACTCATTCTCCCAATAGGATCCATCACAGTCTCTCAGAGAATGCCTTCCAGCCCTGCCCCTGGGGACACCAAGGCTCAGACAGGCTAGTTGTAGGGCTCCTGAGCTCTGAGGGCTGCTTCCCCTGCTCCCGTTCCTTTGTCACCTATAGGAGGGTGGCAGATTTGGCAAATAAAAACACAGGTCACCCAGTTCAACTTGAATTCAGATAAACAAATATTTTTAGTATAAGTATGTCCCATGCAATGTTTGGGATATACCTATGTTCAAAAAAATTATTCATTGGTTTACTTGAAATTCAAATTGAATTGGGTATCTTCATTTTATCTGGGAAGTCTAACCTATAGGGTTCTGCATAATTCTTCATCTGACTAAAGGGATCGTGCAGAGTGAAAAGACAGTTGAAAGTTACAAATCAGTAACCTAAATCAAGGTCAACCCAGTTACTTTATTATTTTCCAGGAAAACTCAGAGAAGGGAAGTGACTTTCCCAAGCTTACCCAGGGAGCCAGTGTAAGTTGGAGCTGGAAGCTGCTCTGTTTCTAGTCTTTGCTCCAATGTCACCTTCTCAATCAGGGTACCTCTGATCTCCTCAATTTAAAATTGCATATCTCCCATCCCTGAGGACCTTCCCTGTTTTATTTTCTCCGTATTTTCTTTCTTTCTCTTTTTCTTTCTTTCTTTCTTTTTCTTTCTTTCTCTCTTTCCTTCCTTCCTTCTCTTTCTTTTTCTTTCCTTCTTTCTTTCTTGTTTCTTTCCTCTCTTCTTCTCCATCTCCTTCTTCCTCTCTCTCTCTCCCTCTCTAGAGTATAATCTCTATGATGGGAGTCATCTTACTTGTTCACATCTGTGTCCATAATGCCAAGAAAAGGGCCTGGCCCTGTGTTGGCTTGAAGTACATATTTGTTGAAGGAGGAATGAAAGAATCCGGGGCTCAGCTCACCGCGGGAGCTCTTCTCCTTGCAGCCCTCGGTTTTCCCCATCATCTCTTCACTGCCCAAATCTGCCTAGTGTAGAGGGAATTGTTTGCAACAGCTTCCTTGGGGACTGTGTGAAGATGAGTTTTGGGGTGGAGTGAGGAAGGGCCGCCCTTGGAGTGTGCCCTTAAATCCCAACCCCTCCTGCCGTCCTTCTTGGTGCCCCAGCTGCTCTGGGGCAGGCAGGAGAGTGAGTAGATGACTCCCAGGAGGGTAGAAAGAAGGGAGGAGTGTGTGGAGGAGGAGCTCTCTCTGTGGCAATGAGAACTCAGCCAACTGCAGTTGCTTCTCCTCACAGCGCTGCTGTCTACTGAGAGTAGAGAGGCAAATGTGTCTTGGAAAGAGGTCTGGACTAGAGCTGGAAAGAGTTGATGGGGAATTTTCTCTTACTTCTCATACTTGGGAGTCACTGCTGGCCTGGAAATCTCACATGGGGAGGGCTGAACCCCTTCTGCCATCCTCACCAGCCTCCAGTGGGACCGGACATAGTTCCCGGTACTGCCTTGCCGCCTACCCCATTGAACTCACTGCGAGGTGAACCTTTATGAGAGCACACCTCACAGGGTGGGGAACCAGCATGTGGGGCCTATTGCTTCTCAGTCTGAGGAGGTTCCCCATTCCCTTCTCTTAGCCTACTCTCTTGGACTCGATAAAAATAACAACAAGGCCTGGTGTGGTGGCTCACATCCATAATCCTGGCATTTTGGGAGGCCAGAGCTAGAGGATCGCTTGATGCCAGGAGCCAGCCTGGGCAAAATAATGAGAACTTGTCCCTGCAAAAAATTAAAAAAAAAATTAGCCAGGTATGATGGCACATGCCTGTAGTCCCAGCTACTCAGGAGGCTGAGATGGGAGGATTGCTTGAGCCCAGGAGGTCGAGGCTGCAGTGAGCCATGATCGTGCCACTGCACTGCAGGCTGGGGCAACATCCTGTCTCAAAACAAAACAAACAAAACCCCAAAACCAAAACAAATGAAAAAAATCAGCATCTCCCTTTTACTGAGTCCTGGCAGACACCAGCTATAGTGCTAAGTGCATTACACATATTAGTTTATGTATAATTCCAACAGTATTGTGAGGCTGATACTACTTCCTATTCCCACCTAATAAACAAGGAAACAGAGACTTAGAGAGATCAAGTCCCTTACCCAGAGTCACACAGAAAAGCCCTTGCACCTGACTCTACTCTTGTGGGAGGGCCTCATCTCAGGGCAGGACAAGAATTCCACTTTTCTTTTTCTTTGCTACTGAATGACTCTGCTGTGACTTTGCAAGAGCTTTCCTAAATTCTAGCCTCATTAGCTTAACATGAAAACAGATGCCACCTGAGCTTTGCAGCCAGGGGTCCTGATTTATTCTGTTAATGATTCCATTTATCAGCAGCTTTATTAACATATTCTCTGAACATCCAGATTACAAAATTCATGAAGACTAGAATTCTTATGGAAACATGTCAGGGGATTACAGGTGAGAGTTGGTTCATTATCTTTCCTTTCCAAATGGAAATTGACCTTAATTGTGAAATATTAATCCACTTATTTTATGCATTACATGAAACCGTCATTTTTGGCATGCAGAGCAAAGAAGGCATGACTGTGGCTACATAATTGTTTTTAATTTAAATGCATCAGTTAATTAATACTTGCAAAAAACCCAAGGTTTTTCAGGAAATGTACAATTATAATCAATTTAAATGTACAGCTACATTAATATGGTGACAAGTCCAATAATAAAACCTAAATGATTGCAGGCAAGTGCTGAACAGATGTGTGAATAGGCGTGCAGGCTTTGGGTTGAGTACAGATCATAATGGAAAGTGGGGCAGAGACTTCCACTCCTGGGCCCCTGCCTCCAGCCCCCAGTCCTAGGCCCCAGCATCAGCTCCAGCCCCTAGCCCCTTTGTATGATTGGATGGCTGGCCCCTTGAAATAGGCCACAGATAGACCTGCTCTCTATGTTTTGATTAATACACAACACACATATCTGACACTGATCTCCTCATTTTATTCACTTCCTAGCTATCACAGAGAGTTATTTCTCAGTGCTGAGAAGGTAGGTACCTCTCAAACTATCTTTAGAGCCCAAAATGGTCAGAGGGGTCCAAGGAGCCCACTAGAGCAGAGATGACATGGACCAGGAAGGGTCCCTTCTCCTTCTCACCTCCCTCCTTCTTGGCCCTGCTGCCACCTTTCTGTAGACAATCATCAAGGCATCACCCTGCAGTTGCCACATAGGAGAGTAAATCCTGTACAGGGAATTGGGATTACTTCTGACTTGCTGTTTTCTTGGCAACTGCGTGCCGTTGGGCAAGTCCACTTACCCTTTCTAAGCCTCAATTTTTCTATCTGTCCAATGGGGAATCGTGGCAATATTAAAATATGTTGTGTAAATTCTGGGCTCTCTTGTCATTGAGAGGTGAAAGTTAATGTCCCTCATCCTTGAATGTGGGCCAACCTTAGTGACTCACTTGAAGCCAATAGAGGGCAGTTGAAAGTGACACTGCATGACCTCAGAGACTAAAATTAGAAAAGGCCACAGAGCTTTTCCCTGGTTCTTCTGGGACACTCACCTTTGGAGCTTGACCAGAGAAGAAGTTCAAATACCCTGAGGCCGGCATGCTGTGGGGAAGCCCAAACCACAGGAAGAGGCCATGTGTAGGTGTTCGGGCCAATGTGCCCAGCCAAGTTCTCAGCTGACAGTGGGCACCAACCGGTAGAGGACTCCATCTTTTAGCTGAGGGCCCAGATGTCATGCAGCAGACTCAGGAGTATAATAACTTCATTTCCAAATGTGCTGGGTTGCTGTGAGGTACAAAGGCAACTATATACAAAAAAGCCTTTGAAAAGGTGATTTAAAGATAATTATTATTTTTGTGGCTATTTTTATAATCAGGTTTAGTCCTGCATTAGGTTATATAAGAAGAATATAAAAAACAGAGGAGATAAGGTCTTTGCTCTCAAAGAATCTATTCTAGTTGGAAAAGAGAAGACCAAGAAACAGAAAATTACAGCAAATAGTACAGAATATGGCTAAAAGGACCAGGTGTGAGGTGCAGATTAAGTGCTTTAGTTGTTAGTAGGAGGAAAAAGGGGATGGACCAAGAAACGCTCCTTGGAGGATGTGTGCACCTTGAAGGATGGGGAAGATTTAGGTTGCTTGAGAGGAAGTTGGGGAGAGGGAGAGGCCTTGGGAAACCAGTTGAGTAAAGGCACAGACAAGGCAGGCTTGTCAAGGTGAAGAGAGGGCTGCAGGCTGAGGGAACCTACCTGTTAAGCGTGGATGAGGTCCCCAATGCCAGCCAGGAGTCAGGGAAGCTTTCCATGTGTTTTCTGAATCCACGTGGGGAGGATTTCACGGCTCCTCTGGCTGGCCCTTCCTGATATCACTGTGGACCTTTTCTCAGAGGCAGGGAAGCAGCCTCCCGGCTCAATGATCCCCTTCTCTAGAAACTTATTCCCTTGCCCCTTCTTGGTATCTTTTTCATGCGCGTCCATGTGAAGAGACCACCAAACAGGCTTTGTGTGAGCAACATGGCTGTTTATTTCACCTGGGTGCAGGTGGGCCGAGTCCGAAAAGAGAGTCAGCAAAGGGTGGTGGATTACATTAGTTCTTATAGGTTTTGGGACAGGCGGTGAAGTTAAGAGCAATGTTTTGCGGGCAGGGGTGGATCTCACAAAGTACATTCTCAAGGGTGGGGAGAATTACAAAAAACCTTCTTAAGGGTGGGGGAGATTACAAAGTACATTGATCAGTTAGGGTGGGGCAGGAACAAATCACAATGGTGGGGTGTCATTAGTTAAGGCTATTTTTACTTCTTTTGTGGATCTTCAGTTACTTCAGGCCATCTGGATGTATACGTGCAAGTCACAGGGGATGCGATGGCTTGGCTTGGGCTCAGAGGCCTGACATTCCTGCCTTCTTATATTAATAAGAAAAATAAAACAAAATAGTGTTGAAGTCTTGGGGCGGTGAAAATTTTTGGGGGGTGGTATGGAGAGAGAATGAGCGATGTTTCTCAGGGCTGCTTCAAGCAAGATTAGGGGTGGCGTGGGAACCTAAGGTGGGAGAGACTAAGCTGAAGGAAGATTTTGTGGTAAGGGGTGATATTGTGGGGTTGTTAGAAGAAACATTTGTTGTGTAGAATTATTGGTGATGGCCTGGATATGGTTTTGTATGAATTGAAAAACTAAATGGAATAAGGAGAAAAACAGGTATAAAAGGTCTAAGAATTGGGAGGACCTAGGACATCTGATTAGAGAGTGCCTAAGGAGATTCAGTATAGTCCTGCCAGCAAAGATTATTTATTTACTTCAAGAGTTAAGAGGGGCAGTTTGGGGATAGCACGAGGAGATATCAGCTGTGATGGCTTGGAGAAACAGTGTAAACCGGCAGTGTAAACAAGAGCAGGGCATGTATGAGTAGTTGAGAATGGTGAATAGGAGTATGACTAGACAGAAAATAGTAGGGATGACAAGTTTTTTTGGGGCACAGTCTAAATTGGTCCGGTGTCTGGAATGAGACTGGGGCCTAATAAAAAGGAGCTCAAATGGGCTATACTTTGCAGCAGTCTGAGGACAGGCCTGAATTCTGAGAGGCGAAAGTGGTAAAAGTATTGTCCAGTCCTTTTTAAGTTGGTGGCTGAGCTTGGTGAGGTGTGTTTTTAAAAGACCTTTAGTCCATTCTACTTTTCTTGAAGACGGAGGACCGTAAGGGATATAAAGGTTTCACTGAATACTAAGAGCCTGAAAAACTGCTTGGCTGATTTGACTAATAAAGGCTGGTCTGTTATCGGACTGTATAGAGGTGGGAAGGCTAAACTGAGGAATTATGTCTGACAGAAGGGAAGAAATGACTACAGTGGCCTTCTCAGACCCTGTAGGAAAGCCCTTTGCTTATTCAGTGAAAGTGTCTATTTAGACTAAGAGGTATTTTAGTTTCCTGACTCAGGGCATGTTGAGTAAAGCTAATTTGCCAGTCCTGGGTGGGGGCAAATCCTCGAGCTTGATGTGTAGGGAAGGGAGGGTGCCTGAATAATCCCTGAGGAGTAGTAGAATAGCAGATGGAACACTGAGAAGTTATTTCCTTGAAGATAGATTTCCATGATGGAAAGGAAATGAGAGGTTCTGAGACGCGGGCTAGTGGCTTGTACTATAGCATAGCCTGCCTTTGCTGGTGTGTGGCGATTAGGCCTGTTGGAACTGCCATCAATAAATCAAGCGTGATCAGGTGAGGAACAGGAAAGAAGGAAATATGGGGAAATGGGGTGAATATCAGGTGGATCAGAGAGATACAGTCATGGGGGTCAGGTGTGGTATCAGGAATAATGTGGGAGGCTGGATTGAAGTCCGGGCCAGGAACAATGGTAATTGTGGGACTTAACAAAGAGTGAGTACAGCTGAAGGAGCCAGGGAGCAGAAAGTATATGCATCAGGTATGAGGAAGAAAATAGATTTTGGAAGTTATAAGAAATGTAGAGAGTGAGTTGAGCATAGTTTGTGATTTTGAGGGCCTCTAAAAGTATTAAAGCAGCGGCAGCCACTGCACGCAGACTTGAGGGCTAGGCTAAAACGGTAAGGTCAAGTTGTTTGGACAGAAAGCCTGCAGGTTGCGGTCCTGGCTCTTGTGTAAGAATTCTGACCGAACTAACCATGCCTAGGAAGGAAAGGAGTTGTTGTTTTGTAAGGGATTGAGGTTTGGGAGATTAATCGGACATGATCGGCAGGGAGAGCACGTGTGTTTTTATGAGAATTATGCCGAGATAGGTAACAGATGAGGTTGAAATTTGGGCTTGACTGAAGTAATGGGGGCTGTCTGTGAAGCCTTGCGGCAGTACAGCCCAGGTGATTTGCTGAGCCTAATGGGTGTCAGGGTCAGTCTAAGTGAAAGCAAAGAGAGACTGGGATGAAGGGTGCAAAGGAATAGTAAAGAAAGCATGTTTGAGATCCAGAACAGAATAATGGGTAGTAGAGAGAGGTATTGAGGATAGGAGAGTATATGGGTTTGGCACCATGGGGTGGATAGGCAAAACAATTTGGTTGATAAGGCGCAGATTCTGAACTAACTTGTAAGCCTTGTCTGGTTTTAGGACAGGTGAAAAGGGGGAATGGTAAGGAGAGTTTATAGGTTTTAGAAGCCCATGCTGTAGCAGGCGAGTGATAACAGGCTTTAATCCTTTTAAAGCATGCTGTGGGATGGGATATTGGCACTGAGAGGGGTAAGGGTGATTAGGTTTTAATGGGATGGTAACGGGCATGTGATCGGTTGCCAGGGAAGGAGTAGAGATGTCCCATACTTGTGGGTTAAGGTGGGGGGATATGAGAGGAAGATGCGAAGGAGGCTTTGGGTTGGGGAGAAGGGCGGCAATGAGATGTGGCTGTAGTCCAGGAATAGTCAAGGAAGCAGATAATTTGGTTAAAATATCTCGGCCTAATAAGGGAACTGGGCAGGTGGGGATAACTAAAAAAGAGTGCATAAAATAGTGTTGTCCGAGTTGGCACCAGAGTTGGGGAGTTTTAAGAGGTTTAGAAGCCTGGCCGTCAATACCCACAACAGTTATGGAGGCAAGGGAAACAGGCCCTTGAAAAGAAGGTAATGTGGATGGGTAGCCTCCATATTGATTAAGAAGAGGACGGACTTACCTTCCACTGTGAGAGTTACCTGAAGCTCAGCATCCATGATGGTCTAGGCGGCTTCCGAGGCGATCGGGCAGCGTCAGTGTTCAGCCACTAAGCTGAGAAGATCTGGGAAGGAGTCAGAGAGCCTTGGGCCAGAGTTCCAGGGGCTCTGGAAGTGGCTACCAGGTGAGTTGAACAATCCGATTTTCAGTGGGGTCCCGCACAGATGGGACATGGCTTAGGAGGAATCCTGGGCTGCGGGCATTCCTTGGCTTGGTGGCCAGATTTTTGGCACTTGTAGCAAGCTCCTGGGGGAGGAGGTTCTGGAGGAATGCCTGGCCGCTGCGGTTCAGGCGTTTGGAAGTTATTGTGTGCTGGAGATGTGGCTGGGGTTTGTCTCACAGTGGAGGCAAGGAATTGCAACTTTTTTCTATTACTGTACACCTTGAAGGTGAGGTTAATTAAGTCCTGTTGTGGGGTTTGAGGGCCATATTCTAATTTTAGGAGTTTTATTTAATGTCAGGAGCAGATTGGGTAATAAAATGTATATTGAGAATAAGACGGCCTGTAGACCTTTTAGGGTCTAGGGCTGTAAAGCGTCTCAGGGTTGCTGCCAAACGAGCCATGAACTGGGCTGGATTTTTATATTTGATGAAAAAGAGCCTAAATGCTATCTGACTTGGGATAAAGAAAAAGGAGCCTTAACCTTGACTATGCCTTTAACTCTAGCCATCTTTTTAAGAGTAAATTGCTGAGCAGGTGGGGAAGAGCTAGTTGTGGAACTAAACTGTAAGCCGGACCGGGTGTGAGGAGGGGAGGTGATAGAAGGATTATAGGGTGGAGGAGCGGAGGCTGAGGAAGAATTGGGACTTAGCTCGGCCTGGCGACGAGCAGCCTGGGGAGGAGGGGAAAGGTCAGATGGGTCTGTAGAAAAGGAAGACTGGAAAAACTCAGCGACGCTTGGGGTTGGGACTGAGGGGACAGGCAGCAGGGAAAGGTGGATCTGGGAGGAATCGCATTGGGAACAAGGCTAGGGAGGGAATGAAGTGTGAAAAATGCCTGGACGTAAGGCACCTCAGGGCATTTGCCCATTTTTCGACAAAAATTATTTAGGTCTTGTAGGATGGAGAAATCGAAAGTGCCGTTTTCTGGCCATTTAGAGCCATTGTCAGGTTTGTATTGGGGCCAAGCGGTGTTGCAGAAGAAAATAAGGTGTTTAGGTTTTAGGTCAGGTGTGAGTTGA